>NC_000006.12:42484242-42787272 GCF_000001405.40 Homo sapiens | reverse complement strand
GTCTTCTCCAACCAGCAAATGGTACCATCAGCAGCCCAAGGCTGGAGCCTGCAACCTGAAGGCACCCTTGATTCCTCCCTCTCCCTCCACAGCCAACCCATTAAGCAAATCCTTCTGATTCCACCTCCAAAATACATATGTAAAAGTTGCTGTCTACTCTGCTGTATCTCATTGCCACTTTACTTGCCTGAGATACTATCGATCTTGGGCTGACTACAATAGCCTCCTAACTTCCCTGTTTCCTCTCTTCCTCTAAATAGCCAGTTATTTTTAAAAACATTATCACTGCCCAAATTAAAACCCCTCTCATTGCCATTAGAATTAAATCCAAAAATCCCCCTATGGAGTAATACAAGACGACCTATAGGATCTCTCCAACTCCATCTCATTCCTACCCTATTCATAATTTCTCCCCTTGCTCAGAGGAGCCTTCTCTCCAGTCTAACAACCAGCCTTCCAGGTCTTTGAACTTGTTCCCAGGTCTGAAATGTCTCCCCAGCTTTTCACATGGCTAGCACAAGTTCATGTTTCACGTCTCAGCTCAAATATCACCTCTATGAAAAGACTTTCTTTGACCCTTACTAGCCAAAATGGTCATTCCCAACATACTCTTTTAGATCCACCAGCCACTTAATATTTTTTCTTAATCTGTCATTATCTTGATTTTTTAACTATTTTCTGTCCTTCCCCACTATACTGTAAATTTCATGAGTGCAGAGATCTTGCCGGTCTTAAAATTCCAACAAGGTTAAAGAAGCTACTGTTTCCCTCTAAGCAGTTTTAGATTTCCCCCTCCTTTCAAGCTTTATTGGATTTTAGTCTAGTCAAAGATTATAATTACTTTGGCATTTACCATAAAAAACAAGGGGAGAAAAACCAGAAGTGACTTCCCTTCAAAAACTGGAAGTCACTCCACCCACCTAGTGGTCTAGACTGGACACAGACTGCACAGAGGTATCCAACAAATGCTCCTTACAAAAACTTTCCAATGTGGACATATGCAAAGATGGTATAATTCTGACATCTGCATCAAAAATCTAAGTTTTAAACTACTCTCCCTAGCAATTACTAAACACAACGATTTGAGAAGAATCAACAAGAGAAAGCACAAAATAAAATCCATGATCCTTAATCCAGAGAAATTAATGATTTCATCACTGACTTGGTTCTTTCTCATTTTAGTAAGGTCATCTATTCATCACCTGCTCTAGATGCTTCTTCCTGACCTGTGTTTTTTGTCTCCAGGCTGGAGTGCAGTGGCGCGATCTCAGCTCACTACAACCTCCGTCTCCCAGGTTCAAACCATTCTCCTGTCTCAGCCTCCTGAGTAGCTGAGATTACAGGCATGTGCCCACCAAGCCCGGCTAATTTTTGTATTTTTAGTAGAAACGGGGTTTCACCACGTTGGTCAGGCTGGTCTCGAACTCCTGACCTCGTGATCCGCCCACCTCGGCCTCCCGAAGTGCTGGGATTACAGGTGTGAGCCACTGTGCCTGGCCCTGACCTGTGTTTTTATCCATATTCTGCTATTAGGTTCCACATAACTTGACTATCCTACTTCCCAAAACCCAGAAGATATGTCCACAATTCAAAATTCAGGAAACAACCTTTTCTTTTAAGGATTTATCTTCAGGTCTTTATATCAGGGTCTTTTCTACCCTATTCTCAATTTCTGGATCAATCCTGGATTCAATTCTTTTTTTTTTTTTTGAGATGGGAGTTTCGTTCTTGTTTCCCGGACTGGAGTGCAATGGTGGGGTCTCGGGCCACTGCAACCTCTGCCTCCCCAGTTCAAGTGATTCTCTCGCCTCAGCCTCCCAAGTAGCTGGGATTACAGGCACCTGCCACCACACTCGGCTAGCTTTTTTGTATTTTTAGTACAGACGGGGTTTCACCACGTTGGACAGGCTGGTCTCTAACTCCTGACTTCAGGTAATCCGCCCGCCTCAGCCTCAAAAGTGCTGGGATTACAGGCATGAGCCACCGTGCCAGGCCTCAAGGCTACGTTTGTTACACAGCTGTCTTGACTAAACTAGATGGCCTGGCTAGACCTAGAAGCCTGTATGTTGTATAACTTCTCAATAGAATGAGACAACATACTTTAAAAAAAAACGTACTGAGATTTTAAAGTCTTAGGATACCTAAACCTTTTTCTCTGAGGAAATAATTTCGATTTGATAAATGGCAGCTACAAGAGGAAAAACAAAAATGAGACTAATGTGAGCAAAAAACTACTGAAACTCAAAATTACATGGACCTCAATTCTCATGTTCCAATTCAAAAAAGAGCAGAACAGTGCATAGCATAGTACAAGACAGTCCAAACGTGTGTCTGTGTCACTGGAATCACCTGGAGAGCTTTGGAATACTAGATCTTTGGATATAGCGGGTGCAGGGTGGGCCAGAATGTCAATATTGAACATCAAGAAGTTGGAGTGCCTGACACATTATTAAAAGACCCAGTTGGCCCTAGCAAATGATGGTGGAAGAGGTGATGTTACAAATCTCTATTTAAAAACATCTCCCAAATTAATTCTGATGCTCACATTTGGAAACCATAGGTGTAGGGGGAAGAATACAGCTTTTGTGATCCAATGGCAACTTTACTACTTAAAACTGCAAGACCTCGAACAATTACTATACTTCTATGAACGTTAGTTCATTCCCCGGTAGACAGATCATAAAATCACTATTTCTGGGCTGATATAATAGAAATTATACAAAGCATCAGGCACAGTTCCTGGCATACAGCAGGTATTCAATATATAATAGGTCTCATTAAATGGTCTAAAACATCCACTATGTATATTTATAAACACAAGGACACACCTACTGGCACCACGGTGTTATTTTTCTACACTAGAAATTAACTATTTACTTTCCATGTATGTGGACTTCTAGAGAGATCAGAGCTTTATAGACCTTTCCCCTCCTCTTTTCAATAATAATGTAAAAGTTAAACCCCTCCCCCATCTCTAATAGATACTACCAACAGATACTTACATGGATGCTTTTAATAATGCAGTTTTGCTTTTTAGAAGAGTTTCAGACTGTTTTAAAGCGTATTTAACTTTTCAGATTAGAGTTCTAAGAAACTGTTTTAATTCACTGCCATTTGAAGTAATATGAAAGCCAACAAAAAAAGTTTCAAAAAACTGGAACCCATCACCTTCCCGTAATCTGACAACTAGTAAATGTCTCCTCAGGGTTGTTTTAGAGTAAAACTAAGAAACGAAGCGTAGGGTACCCACAGAGAACCATGCTACCGGAAGGCAGACAGACAATGTCCTGGACTCTTTTTTTTAGTTTTGTAACCTGGTTGGACTCTACTTTCAATAACTGAAGAATTAAGGAAAAGGCTCAATGCCCTGCCCCCACGCCGGGCCAGAGAAGACAAAGACGTCCACTCTCAGACCGCAGGAGAGAAAATGGCAGGAGCGCCTCACCTCCAATTTCGACTGGGAGGAGTGGGGGTGCGGGGTCAGGGAGGGAACCCATCAGCCGCGAGGCTCGACCCCCAGCCCCCTTCTTCCATCACAAACAAGTGGTTAGGAGGAAGAAGCTGGCCCCAGCCCTTCCCGCTCCGAGCCGGCGGCCTCGTCTTTTGGGTCTGGGGGCGTGGGGAAGGAGAAGGCCGCGCGACCCCAGTCCCATCTCCAGAATTCAGCACCCTGCTCTCGGCTCCCGCTAGCCCCGGGCCTCGCGGCGCCCTGGTCATCGAGATGTCCTCGGAGGGCGCCGCCCGCGCCGCGAGAAAGATGGCGCCCGCCGAGCAACTGCGCCACCAGCCCTGGCGACAGGCCAGGCCCAGCGCCATCTTAGCGCCTTCCAACCGCACCCCCCCACCCAATATCCCGCATTTGGGGCGACTCGGGGGGGCGCGAACAGCATAACGCCCGCGCGCACTCGGCCAAAAATGCGCCGTCCCAGCCGCACATCTCTTCTGGCCGGCGCGGCGAACAGCGCGGGCCTCGCAGGAGACGCCCGGCTGGGCCGCCGGTCCTCCGCGCGGCTGGGGGCTCGGCCGGACGCGGCCGCGGATCCTCGGCGGTGCTTCGAAAAGGCAGCGAGGCGGCTGGGAAGGGGCAGTCCCGCGGCAGGTGCGCGCCGCCGCCGCGGGCTCGGAGCGGGAGCGGGAACGGGGCCGGGGCGACTCGCCTGCCCCGAGCTCTCCCCGCCGCACCCCGGACCTGCTCTCCTCGCCGCGGCCGCCCGCAGATGCGGCGGGAATGGGGAAGCCAGGATGAAAAATAAACCCCGTCTCCGCCGCCTCCCTCCCCACCCTCTCCCCTCCCCCTCCCCAGACGCGGGGTCCATTTTGCCGAGAAGAAAGAAAATGTGATTCACACCCTAGAGCTTCCGAGAGAGAAAAGAAACGAGGGGGGGAAAACAGAGGGGAGGAGATTGGAAAAGCTTATTTTTCTTCCTCGCCCGCCGTCACTCCAGGCCCTCCCTGCCCCCTGCTCGCGGCCCCGCCGCGCCGTCTTCCCCTCGCCGAGCCCTGCTCCCTCCTTCCCGGCTCCCGGCGGCTCCGGGGGGCGGAAAACACACTCACACTCGCGCACACAACTAATTTTAAACCGGCTCAATCAATGAGTCATTAAAAGGCTTCCCTCCCCTCCCCTCCCCACCACCAACCGCCACGCCACCCCCTTCCCGGGCTCTCCCTCTCCCCGCTCCAGAAATTTGCATCCGCGGAAAAGAAAAAAAAGGAAAAAGAAAGGCGCCGGGCCCCCACCCCGCCGAGGCGCCCCCGGCCCGGCCTCGCCGCCCCCTGCCCGCCTGCGCCCCCGCCCGAGACACTGAACTTGGTCTTCCCGGGGCCCCGGCAGCGCTGGGAAAGGCATAAACACTCGATTCCCCTTTTCTCCGTGTCCATTAAACATCCACCCACCACCACCATCACCCACCCACAAACCCACCCCCCCCCAAAAAAAAAAAAAAAACACAGCCTTAGCCAATAGCTCTCTGGGCTGAAACCTAATATCCTGGTTTTGGCAACTCGGTGTTTAATTTGCTCCTTTCTTTTCAGTCTGGAGACAGATCTCCAGCCCCCCCTCCCTCGCTTTTCCCCTCCCCGAAGGAAAGAGGCAGAGGAAGGAGGTTGTGTGTTTTTTTTTTCTCCTTGAAATTTTTATCACAAAATTATAATACACTCAAAGGGAAACTCACCGTCATGAAAAAGCAGTGCCTTGTCAACGGGGTTTCTGCGCCATCGCAACAGGGGCGGCGGCGGCGGCGGCGGCGGGCGCGGGGCCGGGGGCCGGAGCGCGGGAGCTCCCGGCCGAGCGGCGCCGGCCACACGCGCTCCGCTCTCTCTCTCGCTCACCCCCGCGCCGGGCCGGGGCGCCGCTCCCCGCGCCCGCCCGGCCTTCATGCTCTGCGCCCGGGCAAACCGCTCGCCTGCTCGTCTACCTCCAAACTTCGGTTCTCGCCTGGCAAAAAATGTGGAGATTAGGATTTTTTTAATTTAAAAAATTTTTTTTTTTTTTTTTGGAAAATCAAGCTGCAAGGATGTTCATTCGTTTCCTTTGGGATTCTTTTCAACTTCAGAAATGTATTGGTTTATTCAAGAAACAGTTTTATTTGGCTTTAAAACAATTACTAAGATCCACGAGGTGCGTGCTAATTCTCTTGCAGGCTCTCTCTCCACACACACACACACACACACACACACCCACCCACCCACCCAGTTTAACTTGACACGGGAAGGGGGGAGATTAAAGACAAAAAAAAAAAACCCTACAAGATTTGTTTAGAACTCTAATTAGAGCAAGCCTCAGTGAATACGTTTTGCATATGCTTTTTAAAAACCAAAACGACTTTTAACTTAGTTATTAGGCAAATAACTGGTTCATCCTAACTTTCAAATGTACTAAGCTTTCCTTTGCAACACTCTTTGTCCATTCCAAAATTCTTGAAACCTTACCTGTGAAGCCCGTATGTGAACATTAAAAAGGAAAACAAAACTTCAGTGACTAAAAGGAAGGTGAGGCAGAGTAAATCACTCTCAAAACATTCATTTTCTACTGCCTTCTCTTTATGTAGATATCTTTTATCTCTATATTTGCGGAATTTTCATTACATAACCCCCTCATTCTTAAAAGAGAGCTAGTCAATCTTTTAACATTCTTTGGTCCAAGTATAACTACCACCTATTTTTAATCTCAAATCTCAAATTGTTGAAACTTCTCTGTAAACTATCTAGTATCCAAAGTATTTAGATTATGTGGCCCAGGCCGGGCGCGGTGGCTCACGCCTGTAATTCCAACACTTTGGGAGGCCGAGGCGAGTGGATCACCTGAGGTCAGCAGTTCGAGACCAGTCTGGACAACATGGTGAAACCCTGTCTCTACTAAAAATACAAAAATTAGCTGGGCGTGGTGGTGGGCTCCTGTAATCCCAGCTACTCGGGAGGCTGAGGCAGGAGAATCGCTTGAACCCGGGAGACAAAGGTTGCAGTGAGCGGAGATCGCGCATTGCACTCTAGCCTGGGCGACACAGCAAGACTCAAACAAAAACAAAACAAAACAACAACAACAACAACATTACGTGGCCTGGAGTGGGAGCAGGTGCCTTTGTAGTCTAGGTTAACTACAAATGCCCACAAAATATACTAGGGGTTTTGTTGTCTTTTATTTTAAATAAACATCAAGGATAGGTAAAAGGTGAATTGTACAGAATGTAATTCAGGTTTTAAAAAATACATATTAAGCCTAAGAAATGTTATAAATTATTTTAAAATTCATTTGTAATGCATATAGCAATAGGATCCTGCTGATAAACAGAATGCTCAGCTGCTCTGCCTATGGAGTAGCTATTCTCAAATGGCTCAAGCCCATCTCTCCCAGATATTTGGTGAGTTCTCAATAAAACTCTCTCTAGATTAAAATTATTTAAGTGAAATTATTGTATGGCTTCTATATCCCCTTAAGCATTAAAAAAAAATGTAATGGTAGTACACCTTTCTTGCATATATAAGGATACTGTAACTGGACTATGTTGCATAAATTAAATCTGTTGGGGCCGGCATACAATGTTGTCATATTCAACACAGAAGATCTTTTTAGTCAGGGTACAGTGGTTCAAGCCTGTAATCCTAGCCCTTTGGGAGGCTGAGGGAGGAGGATCATTTGAGGTTAGAAGTTTGAGACCAGCCTGGGCAACATGGTGCGAGATCCCATCTCTAAAAAAAAAATTAAAAATTAGCCAGGTATGTGTGGCACATGCCTGTAGTTCCAGCTACTGGGGAGGCTGAGGCAGGACGACTGCTTGAGCCCATAAGTTGGAGGTTGCAGTGAGCTATGGGCAGGCTGACAGAGTGAGACCCTGTCTCTAAAAAATAATAAAAAAGATCTGGCTGGGTGCCGTGGCTCACGCTTGCAATCCCTTTGGGAGGCCAAGATGGGAGGATAGCTTGAGGCCAGGAGTTCAAGAGCAGCTTGGTCAACATGGTGAAACCCCGTCTCTACCAAAAATACAAAAATTAGCCGGGCATGGTGGCATGCACCTGTAGTCCCAGCTACTACAGAGAGGCTGAGGCACGAGAATCGCTTGAGATTGAGCAACAGAGCAAGACTCTGTCTCAAAAAACAAACAAAGAAAAACACTATATCTTGTTCTGGTACTGCCATTCTATCATTCATAATGTATGCTTTATATTTAAATGTGCCTTAAAAATACATTCAGTGATTTAGTATTACACAGTATCATTGAGGTGTTTTCTCAGATATTTTGCTTCAAATGCAGCCAAGGGCTCCTTGGAACAGTAATCTTTGCATAAATTAGCATATTTTTCTACACCTGATGGTTGGACCAACCAGTTTTCTAATTGGCTTGGAAAATTTTTTAAACATGTTTTAAGTTGCCTTTGGATTGGCTGGGATGTAATTATAATACCCATTTCTAAGAATTACATTTCAAGAGTCCATATATTATGCATTGCAATTAGGACCAACCAAGCAAGTTTTACAGCTGTTGCTCCACAGCTCCAATGATATGTGTGTGTGTGTGTGTGTGTGTGTGTGTGTGTGTGTGTGTGTGTGTGTGTTTTTCTTGAGACAGGATCTCCCTCTGTGACTCAGGCTGGAGTGCAGAGGCATGATCATATCTCACTATAGCCTGGAACTCCTGGGCCCCAGGAATCCTCTAGCCTCAGCCTTCCTAGTAGCTGGGAATATAAGTGCACACCAGCACACTCAGCCAATTTTTTTAGTTTTTTAGAGACGGGTCCAGCCTGACCAACATGGCGAAACCCCATCTCTACCAAAAACACAGAAAAAAAAAAAATTAGCCAGGCGTGGTGGCAGGCGCCTGTAATCCCAACTACTCAGGAGGCTGAGGCAGGAGAATTGCTTGAACTCAGGAGGTGGAGGTTGCAGTGAGCCAAGATTGCGCCATTGCACTCCAGCCTGGGCGACAGAGCAAGACTCCGTCCCTCCCCCACCCCGCAAAAAATAAGAGACAGGGTCTTGCTTTGTTGCCCCCTGGGTTTTGAACTCCTGGGATCAAGTGATCCTTCCGCCTCAGCCTCTCAAACTGCTGGTATTACAGGTGTAAGCCACAGTGCTGGGCCCTCCAATAAAACAGTAATGGATTTCGGAAAGCTATCCTCTCAAGTCAGCCAGAATTGCAAGGAAACTGAAATCTGACTTTGAAAAATGACCTAACAAACCTGAATTTATATACTCATAAAGAGCTTAGGGCATTGCAGGCTTTTTAAAGAGAATGTCCAAATACAAGAACATTGACATTTATTGAAGGTCTTCTAAGTGCCACCAGGCACTATGCTAGATACTTATACACATTATCATATGAACTTTCACTCAAACCCGAAGAATAAGGTTTAATTATCTTGATTTTGTAAATGAGGTTCCCAATAGGATAGTTTCAGCAATTTGCCTGGGAACATCAGTCTAATAAGGGCAGACAGGAGAACCAAGTCTGGCTGACCCCAAAACTCACGCTCTGTCAGGCCTGAAAAGGATCTTTGGAACAAGCAGTCTTTGCTGTTTCAATGTTAACATTAGAGTCCAGTGGTGTGGTACAGAGGGGACAACTGTCTAATTAGTAAAGACCTACTTTGAGAATGCCAGTTGTCCAACCTAATTTTAAGTCTGGAGGAGTTTACAAAATACTGGGACACAGTAGGAGAATTTCAGATTCTCCAGGTACAACCAAAATTGTAATTATTTAATAATATGGCAAAACAAAAACAACTTTTTCCCCAGATTATTACAAAACTTCATTTAAATGAGGGATATGCTTTGTATATTAAAATTTAAAATTATAGTTTATATAGACAGGATTTTGGTAGTGAATGTAAGATTAGAAAACTTTTTAAGAGGAAAGTTCTTAAAATGGCTTTACTATATGCAAATAGCTTTAATTGTATTCTCTACAATTTAATTATGTACAATAAAATGGCCACTCCTATGATTCCCATCTGTGTATGTGACTTAGAAAGAAAGGCAACTGGACAGTAAAAAAAAAGAGGATGGAAATATAATTGAAATGTTCTAACACATGCTTGGACCTCCAAATAAACAGGCCCAGTGTCCACATAACAATGAAAAGTGAAAGTGTTTTTCTTTTTTTCCCTCCAAATGTTCCCCTTGGTTGGTTAAACATTCTCAGAAGTGGAGAATGAAAATGCTGGAGATTGAGTAGTGATATGCATGACCAGATGTATCCAGATCACAGAAATACCAACACATACCAGAAGAGTTAGTAAGTGTTCTATAGAGTGTTTGTGAAGCAAATTTTTTTAAATTATCGGTGTGCATAAATAAGGTATATACTTTTATTTGTACATATAGATGTACTTATATTCTGAGGTTTAAGTGTACTGGCTCTGTATTCAGACTGACCTGGGTTCAAATTCTAATTTTGTCACTTACCAGGTGTGTGGCTTTGGGCAAGTCATTTCACCACTCAAGGCTTCAACTTCCTCATCTATAAAATGGGGATGATTATAGTACCCACCTCTGAGAGTTATTTTAAGCGTTCAGGAACTAGTGTAAAATGTTTAGCATGGTGTCTGAAACATAATGAGAGTTCAATACATTCAACTGTACTGCCTTATTTTAGTTATGTGTCAGGTTAAGCCCTGTGAGATCTTCCCATGTGAATATTCAATGGCAGTCTCCTATGATTCAACCTAATATGTTTCTCTTATGTTCCCTCCTGGATAGGGAGCTCCTCAAGGATGCCAGACCATCATCTGCAAACTTAAATTCTCTAAGAGCCTAGCAGAGTTATTTTGTATATAGTTTGCTCACAATCAATGCTTTTGCAATAAAAGCAACATAGCCCAGTCCACAAGATCTACAAGAAATTAGCATATCTCTGTCTAGAGACCCATATATTAAGGGGGTAAAGTAGATCTCCTTAAACCATGTAAAACCATTGCCCAGTTGATTACAGGCAGTACTATACAGCCTAATGGTTTAGAGTTCTCTCTCTCCAGTTTTATTACTGCCATTTTTTAGCCACGTGATTTTGGCCTAGTTTAAAAATTTCTCTCACCTAAGTTTCCTCATCTGTAAAATGGAGATAGTAATAACCTATATCTCAGGTTGGTTGGAGGAGAGTTCAGTAATATTAAGTATATAAAACCTTTGCTTTGGCCAGGTACGGTGGCTCATGCCTGTAATCCTAACACTTTGGGAGGCTGAGGCAGGAGGGTCGCTTGAGCCCAGGAGTTTGAGACCAGCCTGGGCAACATGGTCAGATCCCATTTCTACAAAAAATACAAAAATTAGCTGGGCATGGTGGCATGTGCCTGTGGTCCCAGCTACTTGGGAGGCTGGGGTGGGAGGATCACTTGAGTCTGGGAGGTTGAGTCTGTAGTGAGCCATGATCAAGCCACTGCACTCCAGCCTGGGCGACAGAGCAAGACCCTGTCTCAAAAATAAAAAAATAATAATAAAAATAAGGGCCGGGCTCAGTGGCTCATGCCTGTAATCCCAGCACTTTGGGAGGCCAAGATAGAAGGATCACAATGTCAGGAGTTCAAGACCAGCCTGGCCAAGAGACCAGCCTGGTCAATATGGTGAAACCCCATCTCTACTAAAAATACAAGAATTAGCCAGGTGTGGTGGCGGGTGCCTGTAATCCCAGCTACTCGGGAGGCTGAGGCAGGAGAATTGCTTGAATCCAGGAAGCAGAGGTTGCAGTGAGCTGAGATTGCACCATTGCACTCCAGCCTGGGTGACAGAGAAAGACTCTGACTCAAAATAAATAAATAAATAAAATAAAAAACCTTTGCTTCAGTGTCCCATATATAGTATTGAATAACAGTTGCCATTATTGTTGTGGTTGTTGTTGTTATTAAAAGTACCGTGGAATTATTTTCAAAGCAATGATAAGCAATTTATTGGAGTGATTACAAATGTTTTCAATACCTTGCCTACATTATTTTATTCAATATATGAATTTAAACACTTCACATCATCCTTGTAGAGGACTAAAGCTATTTGTCTCTATATTAAATGACATGTTTCAAGCTGGTTATTTTCCTTGACAGACTTAAAAAAAATCTGAACTCCTACAAGCTTTCAGTACAAGGATAAGGAATTAATACAATACAGCAGAGCTGTTAATAATAAAAAAAAAGCATTCAGCACTCCCACTGGCCTTCCTGTCTTACCCATGTAGACTGTTTCCCCATAGAATATGTTGAGGGGAGGACAGCCATCAGGTTAGGGGGGCACCACATGCTGTTGGAAGGCATGCCCAGGATGTGCCATTCACTGGCTCCCAGGTCCCCCTGGTATTCTATCAGAACTCTTTAACTCTCCTAAATAGAGCATTCCTTCTATTCCACCTGCTCAGGAGGATGGGGGAGTGGAGAGGAAGTGGAATGGAGGTCACATAATCAGGCTTTAAGGTGCTACCACAAAGCACACTTGGAGCTTAGTGAGAAAGTCAGTCTCTAAGATAGAACACCCATGTAAAGGGACTTGCCCAATAAATGTCAGTGTGCTTTCTGAAAATGAAACTACTAAGAGGTAAAACATCTGAAGAAGGAACTACTCTGGCCGGGCGCAGTGGCTCACGCCTGTGATCCCAGCACTTTGGGAAGCTGAAGCGGGCGGATCACCTGAGGTCAGGATTGTTCAAGACCAGCCTGGCCAACATGGTGAAACCCTGTCTCTACCAAAAATACAAAATTTAGCTGGGTGTGGTGGCATGCACCTGTAATCCCAACTACTTGAGAGGCTGAGACAGGAGAATCGCTTGAACCTGGGAGGCGGAGGTTGCAGTTAGTTGAGATGGCGCCACTGCACTCCAGCCTGGGCAACAAGAGCGAAACTCTGTCTCAAAAAAAAAAAGGAACCACTCTGAAAAAGATGACTCATAAATATGAGTGGAAGACAAGGAAATAAGTATGTACTAAGCAGGCACAAAGAAATATCCTTGACAATAAAGAAAAAAAAAAACTACGGGAGTGGAGACACTGTGTGACCCTCACAAGTATTCTGATCACTAAAGAGCCACATTCTTACTTGAGCACTTTTTAGAGCCTGATTAAATACCCTTAGACCATATAATTCTTTCTTTCCTAAATCTTCCAATTACTAGTTCCATTTCCCAGGGACCCTAATACTGTAAAAGTGACACCCTGTGCAAAGGTACTCTTATACTCCAAATGTTTATATATCTCTCTCACTATAAATCATACAATCAACTACTAGTTAGGTGTATTTATCAATCCTGAGTCAGGTCTAAGACAATCAGGAGGATGTTCAGAGATTGGCAGTCAGAGCAAAGGGCACACTGATGCTCTGAAAGGATATTTCGCACGCGGCCTGGTGAAAATGCGATGAGTTACTCCTGCCCCACCACATGCAAGCACCAAAACTCAAGTAATCATCTTCCCTTCTGAATTTGCTCTTCCTCTCTAGTCTCTATGCATGTTTGTAACACCCACCTTTCCCCTAGACCAACCCCTGGATACTTTTCATTTGTCTATGATTCCTCCTCATTCTCCCTCAAACCATGGAGCTGTTGGAGCTCAGAAAAATGATAGCTTGAAAGATGGCACCCTGATATGCTGAACTAAAGAATGGGCCTCAAGGTCTCTCTGACCTCTCCTCCTCCAAACCCCTATCTTTTCAGTCCTCCGTCTCTCTCAAAAGCACAGGATGTTCTCTGAAGTTTCCTTAACTACTGGACCCCAAAAGAGAAACAGAATTGCCTTAGTTCTCCTCTCTGAAATCTCATTATTTGTCACAGAAAAGACTGAGAAATGCAATCACATCTGGACGGGTTTTTTCACAAGATAATGTCTGCCTCTCACTCAAATTCCAAAACAATCATTTACAAAATAATTTCTGTCCCCTGAACCATTTATTCTTCTTAAAAATCATTTGCTACCCTTCAAAATTGCTCTGATCGCTTAAGCCCAGGAGGTCAAAGCTGCAATGGGCCATCATCCCCAAAAACAGGCTGGCCAGCTGGGCGTGGTGGCTCACGCCTGTAATCCCAGCACTTTTGGGAAGCCGAGGCGGATGGGTCACCTGAGGTCAGGAGTTTGAGACCAGCCTGGCCAACATGAAGAAACCCTGTCTCTACTAAAAATACAAAAATTAGCTGGGCGTGGCGGTGGGCGCCTGTAATCCCAGCTACTCGGGATGCTGAGGCATGAGAATCGCTTGAACCCAGGAGGCAGAGGTTGCAGTGAGCTGAGATTGTGCCATTGCACCCTAGCCTGGGTGACAGAGCGAGACTCCGTCTCACACACACAAAAAAAGGCTGGCCAAGGTGGCTCTTGCCTATAATCCCAGTACTTTAGGAGGCCTAGGCTAGAGAACTGCTTGAGCCCAGAAGTTCGAGACCAGCCTGGGCAACATGGCGATGCTTTGTATTTTTTTAATTTTTTTTTTTAATTGCAGCCAGGTGCAGTGGCTCACGACTGTAATCCCAGCACTTTGGGAGGCTGAGGTGGGTGGATCACCTGAGGTCAGGAGTTCAAGACCACCCTGGCCAAAATGGCGAAACCTTGTCTCTACAAAAATACAAAAATTAGCTGGGCATGATGGCGGGTGCCTGTAATCCCAGCTACTCAGGAGGCTGAGGCGGAAGAATCCCTTGAACCCAGGAGGCAGAAGTTGCAGTGAGCCGAGATCGTGCCATTGCACTCCAGCCCGGGCGACAGAGCAAGACTCCGTCTCAAAAAAAAAAAAAAATTGCTCCACTCCCCATCTCCCCTTCTTCTGTGAAGAAGGGTACTTAGGCACCTGGACCTCATTGGGTTATTGGGTAATCATTCTCCTGCTATTCCCCCATGCTATACATGTTAAATATTAAATAAATTGTTATGTCTTTTCTCCTCTTAATCTGTCTACTGCCAGTTCATTTTCAGCAAACTTTCACAGGGCGGAGGTGAAGCTTTCCCTTGGTCCCTACAAAACTCACTTCCAAAATCTCCCTCGAATACCATCCTCCCTCAATGGTAATTCTTTGCCAATTACCATCACCTGAATTCAGGTCCGCCTATTGCTTGGCCTCCCATTGATCTCCTATCCAAATTGCTACAAAGATCATCTTTCTAGATTCTAGAGCTGGTTGTGTCACACCTTCATCAGCACCTCACTGCCTCACTGCCCAGGGATGTTTATTGCAAGTACAGATTCCCAAACCCAAATCCATAACCAGAGAATGGGAATTTCTAGGGCAAGCTGAGAAGTGGTATATGTACTTTCAAGTGGCTCGGTAATTGGCTCCACCTGCCTCCCCAGGCACATCTCGAGCCAGTCCTCTCCTAGTACCCTGTGGTCCCTTTACAGAGAATACCCTGCCCCTGAACAAACAGATCCAGATTTGGACATATCCTTTCCCATCTGCCTGGAATTCCCTTTTCCTGTGGCACAAGTCCACCATTCTTCAAGGCCCAGCTCCAATGCCACCTCCTCTGGGAAGCCTTCTCCCGTCGCCTAACTCAGTGGCTTTCAAACATCTTTGCTTGAGACTCAATCCCAAGAAACACATTTCACATTGTAATTCAGTAGATATATAATTGAAACAAAGGTTTTTGAAAAAAAAATATCTAAACCTACTATGGAGGATGCATCTTGATGTATTTCATTCTATATTGTCTTTATTTTTTCAAATGCTGTTAGGCACTTGGTAAAGGACTTCATGATTCACTAATGGAGGTGACCCCATTTGAAAAACATTGCTTAAAATGAGTGAGTCCCTTCTCTATGCACTCTATACACGCCTCTATTACCCACTGATCACTTTACAATAATGATTTGTTTACAGTCTGCCTTCATCCTCCTCCTCCCCTCCCCAGACAGGCACATACCACAACCAAATCAGCATATCTTGTGACAGTTCCACAGCTGCTGACAAATGCAGAAATGCGAATATTGGAGAATAAATACTTTAATTGCTTTTGCTCGTGTCTAATTTTTTTTTCTTTTCTGATTACAATTCACAGCATAGTCTATTGAAGACTATGCTATTGGAGACTCAGCCTCCCAAGAGGCTGAGCCTGGGAATTATACTAGCTTCAACCCTTCAGTTAACAGCAATTTTTAAAAACAGCCATTGTATCTCAGTACAATTTAACCAAGGTGTTAATTATTCTCTCCCTCAAAAACAAAAACCACATACACGAAAAACCATCAGAAAATATTTTGTCGGGTTGCTAGCCAAGAGAGTGCAAATGTGGGCAAACAAATCTCTTACTTAGATACTTGCAAGCAAATAGTCAAAAACCTCAAAACCCTCCTTCCCTACCACTTCAGACAGGACCCCCCCACCACCCCCCGCCACCCCCACAGGGGTGGGGATGCAGATATAGAGGCCTTTCTATCTGCGCAGCCTGAAGCTCAATTTCTCACTAGGCGGTCCCTAACAACACAAACAAATGAGAAAAGTAGAAAAAACAAAAAGAAACCAGAGCAGCTAAAAAGCATCACGTAATGAAGCCGGGCCGCAAGTTCCGGTGCGAATTGTACCTGTGACGGATGCACGGGCGCAGCGGCGGCCCGCAGGGGGAGGGGTCCTCTTTCTGCAGCACGTGGCGCCAACGACAGGAAACCTGCCTGCAACACCCGCCAACCCTGTACACCGCTCATTTGCAGCATCGTCATTTGTGTGATGCTAATTTGCTCCATGTCCTTGTAAACGTTCTTACAGAGATAAATGAAAATCTACTGCAGGCTTGGGGTGGCCCTGGGCAGGCTAGGAGAGAAGGAGGGACCCAGCAGTCCCCAGGTGTCAGTGAAAAGCTCTGGGAGTCGGAGGACAGAGTAGGCAATCCTGTTCAGAGAGGGGAGGGCCGGGTGCGGTGGCTCACGCCTGTAATCCCAGCACTTTGTAAGGCCGAGGCAGGCGGATCACTTGAGGTCAGGAGTTCGTGGCCAACGTGGTGAAACCCCGTCTCTACTAAAAATACAAAAATTAGCGGGGCGTGGTGGCGGGCACCTGGAATCCCAGCTACACGGTAGGCTGAGGCAGGAGAATCACTTGAACTCGGGAGGTGGAGGCTACAGTGAGTGGAAATTGCGCCACTGCACTCCAGACCGAAAAAAACAAAAACACTGACCGGGTGGGGTGGCTCATGCCTGTAAACCCAGCACTTTGGGAGGCCGAGGCGGGTGGATCACCTGAGGTCAGGAGTTCGAGACCAGCCTGGCCAACATGGTGAAACCCCGTCTGTACTAAAAATACAAAAAATTAGCTGGGTATGGTGGCAGGTGCCTGTAATCCCAGCTACTCTGGAGGCTGAGGGAGAAGAATCGCTTGAACCTGGGAGGTGGAGGTTGCAGTGAGCTGAGATTGCGCCACTGCACTCCAGTCTGGGCAATATGAGCAAGGCTCCGTCTCAAAAAAAAAAAAAAAAAAATAATAATAATAATAAAATTAGCCGGGCATGGTGGCACGTGCCTGTAATCCCAGCTACTCGGGAAGCTGAGGCATGAGGATCGCTTGAACCCGAGAGGCGAAGGTTGCAGTGAGCCGAGATCACGCCTCTGCACTCCAGCCTGGGTGACAGAGCAAGACCCTGTCTTAAAAAACAAAAGAAAACAAAAAACTAAGAGAGGGAAGAACAGGAGATACTTTAAAGCTGGGTTTTAAAGAATGACTAAGAGTTCTCCAAATCACATGGGGAAAGGCAGAAGAGAGCTCCTGGTAGAGGAACCTAAGAGAGTGTATTTGGCAAAGTCCTTAAATATAAATGAGGGGGACAGGCAGATGATGAGGGGCTTTGCAGATCATGGAAGGGTGTGGATGATCCGTAGGCCGCTGCTTTCCACACTGCAGGTCACAATGCAGTAGGCTGTGCAAGTCATGAGACTGTGACCAGCTTTTATAAAAAATGAAAGAACCTAGATCAGAAGATACCAGAATACATACAAGCAGTAAGGGTGTAAACTTGGGAAATCTGTTTCAGTTATAAATGTGTCTGTGTATGTATGTACTTGTTTGTAATATAAGTGTATTTCTTACTGTGGTGGTGATCTTTAAGTTTTTGAACAAAAAAAATTCTAGACAAACAGGACACAATAAGAGAATGCTATGAACAGATTTGAATTCCATGAGGATAAATGTGGTAGCAGTATGGAAGGTCGGTGGGCAGAGGTGAGGGCTCCGAGCACACATGGTATTGTGTTTGTGTGAGGCTTCTCCAGCCCAGACAGTGAGCTTGATGCTCTAGGACAGACTCTGTGTCATGTAGCTCCCAGTCCCGGCACTTGGCACACAGTAGGCACTAAAGGAATGTTTCTTGACCAGATATGGTAACTAACTTCCAAGATGGCCCCTAGCAAGCCTCACCTCCTGGTATTCTCACCTTTGTGCATCCTCCCTCCTACTGTGTACCAGGGTTGGTTTGGGTGACCAATAGGATAGGGCAGAAGCTTCCCATCTTGGGTGCTCTCTGGATCGCTCACTCTGGGAGAAGCTGGCTGCCATGTCATGAGGACACTCAGAGAGTCTATGGACAGACCCATGTGGTGAGGAACTGAAGTCTCCAGCCAATAGCTAATAGCTTAGGCATCCTGCTGGTAGCCAGACCGCCTCACGGGTGAGCTTGGAAACAGATCATCCCCAGCCTACCCTTCACAGTACTGCAGCCCCAGGGGCCAGCTTAACTATAAACTCATGAGAGACCCTGAGACAAAAACACTCAACTAAGCTCTTCTTGCATTCCTGACCCACAGAACTGTGACGTAATAAATGCTTGCTGTTTTAAGCTGCTACATTTTAGGGTGCCTTGTTATATAGTCATAGACAACCAATACACTGGGTTAACATGAAGTCCAGAAACGTTTAAAATATATTAGAGTTACCCATTCTTTACTACTATTTTGTTTTTTCTCAAAGCATCTGTCACATCACATCTTTAGCCTGCTTAGAGAACGACATCTGACCCAACCTGGGCCATTAGGATCCTCTCTTCTGGGTATTAGCACTTGGGACACAGAGACTGGGTCAGCTGTGAGGAGCAGACTACAAGGCTAGAAAGCCTAGGGGGCAATGCCACCATTTTGGAGAAGTGGTAATGGGGCCCATGTAAGTGCACGGCCTCAGAAGGACCAGTGATTGGGGTAGAGGGGAAGAAAGCAGATTCTCACTGGGCATGGAGGGGAGAAGGGAGGAGAAAGTGCCTGATTGATATCTGAGTCCCCTGAGGCCTGGCTGGCTTTCTAGCTTTGGAGTTGGAATATTTCCTTTCCTTACGATTATTCCTCATTCTACCTGCTAATCTGAGCAAGCTCACTTTCTTGCAAACCAAAGATCCTGGAATATGCTGGCCAGCTTCTGTCCAGTGCTGGCCAGAGAAGCAGCTCCTCCTTTTGTGGCAGGCCAAGTATCTCTCCAGAGAGAACAACAACCCACCAAAGATTAAGCTTTAGTATTACTGCTATGTAAAAACTACTATCGATGGGGTAAAAGGTCCTCTCAGACCATCCAACTCCTTTTGCCTTCACTTCACTTTCAGCCAGTAATCTTTTGATTATTAATGGACTTCACTTTTAAAAGTAGTGTTCCGGCCAGCTGACCTAATCATTCCAGTGGTTGGTAAGTTCATGCCCATTATAAATTCACAGATTGGCTTTCGAAGACAAATCATTCTTGAGTAACCTCAATTTCATTTCCACTGCTCTCAGTCAAGCCCTGTCATTTATCCAGTGAAACATTACAATAGCCTCCCAATGGCACTTCCCCTACTCCAATCCATTCTCTTCACCTTCTTCTAAAACACAAATCTGATGCCTCACTCCCTGCTCTAAACCATCTGACAGGTCCCCAAGCACCCTCAGAATGACTGGCATCTCCAGCCCCATCTTCCACCACGCCTCCTCCATGCTGCTCCAGACCACTCTCCACTCTTGCCATGCGGTGTTATTCCCAAGTTTCTCAATTGGTGTCCACCCAGCTCTGCCTGTGTTCTTCCTGTTGCCTGGTGTTCCTTTCCTATGGACACCTCCCCTGCCTTCCCACTTTTCCCACCCTCCTGTTTCCTCTGTACTTCCATAGAACTTCCTTCCTCCTTGATAACACACAGTATGGTCAGCTTGACTAATAATTACTTGTCCTGTCTGTCCCTGGATTGTAAGCCTCAAGGAGATGAAGACTACACTTTGTTCATTTTTATACTTCCCTTCTCCCCAGGGCCAACTACAGTAGCTTGCATCAATATGTTAAGCTAACATTTCTTGCGTCTTTACCATATCAAGCCACCTGGCTGGTGTTGCAGGTAGCAGACACTCAACAAACACCCACTGGATTAAAGTCAGTCAGGGTGGCATGGACAAGTGTTCCCTGGACCTAATGATGTTCAGATGAGATGCCCATCTATCATCTGTGTTTGCAGAGCTGAGACAGCAGAGTTAGACTCATGGTGGCATCCATGGTGAGGCAATGAATGAATCTCAGCCTAGCCTTTTACAAAAAAACTTTTACATGAGGCATAATTTCTCATTTAAAATTAAATGACATTAATTAATAATTAAATGACATAAATAGAAAACAAAAAAAAGCACTGGAATTAATAAGCAAACAGACAAATCCACACACATACAACACAGTTTTTCCTCTTTTTAAACAATTAATTAAGTTGACATTCCTCTCTCCTCTTTTCTTTCTCTTTCTTTCTTTGAGACAGAGGCTTAACTCTGTCGCCCAGGCTGGAGTGCAGTGGCACAATCTTGGCTCACTACAACCTCTGCCTCCCAGGTTCAATCTATTCTTCTTCTTTTTTTTTTTTTTTTGAGATGGAGTCTCACTCTGTTGCCCAGGCTGGAGTACAGTGGCGCCATCTCAGCTCACTGCAAGCTCCGCCTTCCGGGTTCACGCCATTCTCCTGCCTCAGCCTCGCGAGTAGCTGGGACTACAGACGCCTGCCACCACGCCCGGCTAATTTTTTGTATTTTTAGTAGAGACGAGGTTTCACTGTGTTAGCCAGGATGGTCTCGATCTCCTGACCTCATGATCCGCCCGCCTTGGCCTCCCAAAGTGCTGGGATTACAGGTGTGAGCCACGGCACCCGGCACAATCAATTCTTCTGTTTCAGACTCCCGAGTAGCTCGGATTACTGGTGCTCACCACCACACCCAGCTAATTTTTGTATTTTTAGCAGAGATGGGGTTTCACCATGTTGGCCAGGCTGGTCTCAAACTGCTAACCTCAAGTGATCCACCCGCTCGGCCTCCCAAAGTGCTATTACAGGCGTGACCCACTGTGCCAGGCCTCTTTCTCTTTCTACAATTGCAATTATGACTCACAAGCACATTACAGGATGCTAAGTTTAGATGAACAAATATTAGAGAATGGCATGGGAGTGGATTCCCCAGTTAGCCAGTTTGCGTGTTTCAGAGCTAAGGCATGTGGGTCAATCCACAGGTGACTTTATTGTAGTTCTTTCAAAAGAGTCAGCATCTACACATGAAGGTAGAAGCAGAATCTGGTCCTGATTTTCCCACTGACGATCCTTGTCCTGGCTCCAACTCTTCATCTCTCTCTCTTACCCCCAAGATTTGTGGAAAAGCCCCAGCTCTGGGCAAACTTGAGACTGATGACACAATCCTAAAGAACTTGACTACTCAGATAATATCAGAGAACTTTACAAAGTCACTCCTAAAGCAATTGATGAAAAAGTACCGGAAGGCTGGGCATGGTGGCTCACATCTGCATTCCCAGCACTTTGGGAAGCTAAGGTGGATGGATAGCTTGAGCCCAGGAGTTCGAGACCAGCCTGGGCAAAATCCTGTCTCTACCAGAAATACAAAAATTAGCCAGTCTTATAACCTGGTCTCAAAAGAAATAAATAGAAAACAAAAACAAAAAGCACTGGAATTAGTAGCAAACAAACAAATCCCCACATATACAATATAGTTTTTCCTCTTTTTAAACGATTTCTACACACTAAGTTTCTATCTTCCACAGGCTATATAATCAATCATTATATATTGCCTCAAATCAATGCTCACCCCTACAGGTTCTTAAAAAAAAAGCAGCAAATAATATTGCCTTGATCCCTGACAGCCTGTAGAGCTACCAACAAGAGAGCACCAGGAATCGCCCACTTGTACGATACATGAAGTCCTACAGTGGCTCTGGCTTTCTGGGGAACTCACACCTTTATCAAGAGCCTATATTTTCCTTGGCTTATGTTTGCAACACACATTTCACTCAAGCTTCACCTTTCACTTCATCATCATTCTTCAGATGAAAAGAGTTTCTATTACCTGAAGGGAATTACTCTGTGAAGACAAAGAACAGAAAAAAATAGCATGCATGCCATGTTTAAACACATACATGGAGCAGGGGGCGTGGCTTGCTCACTAGCTCAATGACTGTCTCCCTCCCCACAAGCCTCCTAGGATGTACTTGAATTTGCGCCTCAGCAAATTTCAAATTACTACATGTCATGGACCACTGGGATCTCTCCCAGAGAGAACTCCCAATTGTCAGAGCTACAAATCCCTGGCAACATAGCCCTGTTACGCATTCACATTCCTAAATGTTTCCTGCCATTATTCCGTCCTCCAAATCAGCCTCTTTCACTGTTTAGCAATAATAATGCAACTTTGTAATAGTTACTTTGTAAAAGCAAACTTTCATTATTATTACCAACTACAGAAGGGAAAAGTCTCTGCAGCACAAATAGGTTCTCACTTGACAAGACATTTCACAGGAGTTGGCTCAGCATGCATAGTTCCTTATTGCTACAGCGTTGTAATGACACAAAGACAGCTCTTTATCCAATTCAACAAACACTTCTGAGCCCCATAAAGTGCAAGGCATCATTTATTCACAAAACGTTTTTCTAACATTTTTAAAACATAACCTAGGCCGGGCGTGGTCGCTCATGCCTGTAATCCCAGCACTTTGGGAGGTTGAGGCGGGTGGATCACAAGGTCAGGAGATCAAGACCATCCTGGCTAATACGGTAAAATCCCGTCTCTACTAAAAATACAAAAACTTAGCCAGGCGTGGTGGCACACGCCTGTAGTACCAGTTACTCGGGAGGCTGAGGCAGGAGAATGGCATGAACCCGGGAGGCAGAGCTTGCAAGTGAGCTGAGATCGCACCACTGCATTCCAGCCTGGGTGACAAAGCAAGACTCCGTCTCAAAAAAACAAACAAACAAAAGACCCCATAACCTATAAAAAGAATACAACCTATCTCTCAAGTCGTGTATGTGTATATATAGAATACAGTTACATAATATAAATCTATATATGCAACACAAAACTCTTTTTTTTTTTTTTAAGACAGAGTCTTACTCTGCTGCCCAGGTGCAATCATGGCTCACTGCAGCCTCAACTTCCCAGGCTCAGGTGATCCTCCAACCTCAGCCTCTGGAGTAGCTGGGACTACAGGCACGTGCCACCACACCTGGCTAATTTTTTTTATTTTTGTGGAGACGAGGTTACGCCATGTTGCCTAGGCTGGTCTTGAACTCCTAGGCTCAAGCAATCCTCCCACCCACCTCCGCCTCCCAAAGTGCTGGGATTACAGGTGTGGGCCACTGTGCCCGACAGACATTTTTGTTTTTTTTTTTTCGGAAACAAAGTCTTGCTCTGTCGCCCAGGCTGGAGTACAGTGGCATGATCTTGGCTCACTGCAACCTCTGCCTCCCAGGTTCAAGTGATTCTCCTGCCTCAGCCTCCCGAGTAGCTGGGACTACAGGCGCGTGCCACCACACCCGGCTAATTTTTGTATTTTTAGTAGAGACAGGGTTTCACCATGTTGGCCAGGCTGGTCTTGAACTCCTGACCTCAGGTGATCTGCCCGCCTCGGCCTCCCAAAGTGCTGGGATTACAGGTGTGAGCCACTGTGCCCAGCCTTGGCAGACATTTAATATGCTATTTTCTTTTGTCTTTTTTTTTTTTTTTTAATGCACTAAATGCATTTCATGACCTCACTGGCTTGGTACCTGCATTTTGAAAACGCTCGTTTTTTTTGTTTGTTTTTTGTTTTTTTCTGAGACAGAGTCTCACTCTGTTGCTCAGGCTGGAGTGCAGTGGTGTAATCTTGGCTCACTGCAACCTCCACCTCCCGGGTTGAAGTGATTCTCTTGCCTTAGCCTCCCAAGTACCTGGGATTACAGGCACATGCCACCATGCCCAGCTAATTTTTACATTTTTAGTAGAGATGGGGTTTCACCATGTCAGCCAGGCTGGTCTTGAACTCCTGACCTCAAGTGATCCGCTTGCCTTAGCCTCCCAAAGTGCTGAAATTACAGGTGTGAGCCACCGCACCCAGCTGAAAACACTGGTTTGTAGTATTTCAAGAAAAGCGGCACATCATAGCAAACAATAAAATCCTACCTAAAGAAGATAACCTTAAAAATTCTAGGCAGAAGAATAATTTTTTGCTTCTTATTTAACTTTCAACTGCCAGGACATTTTAAAAGTATTTGAACTCAGTGAATGAGCATTTATATAAAAGCTTTTAAACGATCTCCAAATCTTTATCCTTTATCCTGAAGAACCTGAGACAGAAAAAGTAATCCTCTTCCCAATCTGTATTAAAGACTTACATCTGTGTCTTTTAAGAAATCTTAAACCTGTTCTTGCTTCAAATGATTACCCTCCTGGCAAGATTACCATGAAGATTAAATGAGATAATATAAGTGAAGTACCTCGTGGTTCCTGCTATGATTCAGGTTATTGGGTTATCTTTTCTTGAAAATGCTTGATCTGTTTGACCTTTGGGCTCATTCACCCAGAGAATCTGTTCTACTGGACAATAAGGGGCAGAGGCTCCCTCGAGGAGTTTACTAGCTCTATCAGTAAGAATAAATATCATTACAATCTAAGGTTCAAGAGTGCCAGGCTATTTCATTTATTCATTCAATAGATTTTTTTTTTTTTTTGAGACAGAGTCTCACTCTGTTACCCAAGCTGGAGTGCAGTGGGTATGATCACGGCTCACAGCAGCCTCGACCTCCCAGGCTCAAGCAATCCTCTGCCTCAGTCACCTGGGTAGCTGGGACTACAGGCGTGTACCACCACACCAGGCTTAAGTTATTTTACTGTTAGTAGAGACGAAGTATCATTGTTGCCCAGGCTGGTCTTGAACTCCTAGGCTCAAGGAATAAGTGCTGGGATTATAGGTGTGTCTACCACACCCAGCTAGATAATTATTGGGTGCCTCACATGCCAGGCATGATGCCATAAACTGGGATTATGGGGTGTAAAAAATAGGAGACACAACCACATCCCTCCAGGAACTTACAATTAAATACTTAGACTTTGTGAAGACACCTCATATACCACTAATATTACATAACACACAAGTGTTTTACATGCCCTTATCTGTAAAGTGAGATAAGATTAGATTAGTGGTTCCCAAAAGTGAAGATTTCACAGATAGCGAAGCTTTCATAAAAAAAATGCTTTAAAAAAAGTTTTTAAAACTGTCATTGAAATCACTATATATCTTTATCTTTTCCTTTCATTACAAGCCAGTTAAATTTTGTCCTGGCATTAAAGGAACCCTCAGAGTTTGCCCAGCTCTGTCTTTCTAGGATTCTTTGGGGCCTTTTTGTTTTGTTTTTTCCTGGCATTATTTACATGTAAATTCTGCCCAACTATTCCCCAGCATTGCAGAAAGGCCAGAGACCTATTCATAAGGGAATCAATAAAGGGCCCTTTCCAAGAAAGTCATAGAGTACAAAGCAAATTCGGCTCCACCACTGACCTTAAGGACTGGGAACTGCAAAAGAACAAAAGTATAAAAGGTCGTGGTGACTGGAAGGCAGAAGGACCTGGCATTTTTGAGGAGCTACTGTAGGCCTGGCCCAATACTTGGTACTTTTCCATACTGTAAGCACTTTATTTAACATCACGATAATCCTGAAAGAAGTACGTATTTCTTTTTCTTTCTTTTTTTTTTTTGAGACAAGGTCACCCAGGATAGAGTGCAGTGATGCAATCATGGCTCGCTGAAGCCTCGACCTCCTGGGCTCAAGTCATCCTCCGATCTCAGCCTTCTGTGTAGCTAGGACTACAGGCCTGTGCCACCATGTCTCGCTATTTTTTTTGGTATTTTTTATAGAGATGGCAGGGTCTCACCATGTTGTCCAGGCTGGTCTTGAACTCCTGGGCTCAAGTGATCCTCCTGCCTCAGCCTCCCAAAGTTCTGGGACTACAAGTATGAGCCACTGTGCCCAGCCAAGAAGTAAATATTTCTTTCTTTTTTAAAATTATCTCATGCAACAGATGAAAGAAGTATATATTTCTTTATCTGCACTTTGTAGTTGAAAGAAACCAAGCTCAGAGAGGTTAAATATCATTTCCAATGTCACAGAGCTAGTATTGCACAACTAATCAGAATTAATTAATTAATTTATTTATTGCACTCCAGCTCTGCTGCCCAGGCTGGATTGCAGTGGTGCAACCTCAGCTCACTGCAACCTCCACCTCCCAAGTTCAAGAGATCCTCCACCTCCCAAGTAGCTGGGATTACAGGTGCGTGCCACCATGCCCAGCTAATTTTTCTACTTTTAGTAGAGATGGGGGTTTCACCACGTTGGCCAGGCTGGTCTTGAACTCCTGGCCTCAGGTGATCCGCCAGCCTCAGCCTCCCAAACTGCTGGGATTACAGGCGTGAGCCACCGGTGCCCTATCAACTAATCAGAATTTAAACTCAGATCTGTTCACTTATTAGCACCACTACATCTCACTGATAGGAAGAGACGTGAGAGAACAGGTGCAGAAAAGTTTTAAGAGATTTAAGTACCTTTTTTTTTATTTGAGACAGAGTCTCACTCTATCACCCAGGCTGAAATGCAGTGGCGTGATCAGGCTGAAATGCAGTGGCGTGATCTCGGCTGACTGCAACCTCCACCTCCCAGGTTCAAGCAATTCTCGTGCCTCAGCCTCCCAAGTAGCTGGGATTACAGGCGCCAGCCAGCATGCCCAGCTAATTTTAGTACTTTTGGTAGAGATCGGGTTTCGCCATGTTGGCTAGGCTGGTCTCCAACTCCTGGCGTCAAGTGATCCACCTGCCTCTACCTCCCAAATTGCTGGGATTATAGATGGGAGCCCCAAGCCTGGTCTTATGTACCTTTTGACAAGAAAGTAATTTAAAAGCAGTCGGACACAGTGGCTCATGCCTGTAATCCCAGCTCTCTGGGAGGCTGAGATGAGCAGATTGCTTGAGCCCAGGAGTTCGAGACCAGCCTGGGCAACATAGCAAGACCTTGCCTCTAATAATAATAATAATAGTAATAATAATAATAATGTTGAAACCACATTCAAAAGGCAATTTATACAGCTGACAATATATTACTCTCTCTTAGAGTCAACAGCTAAGGCACCTACCTCTTTAACTAGGACTCTTTCCTGATCAGCTAAGCAAATATCCCTTGCCCCTGGACTCCTTTCCCTTACTCTAGAAATGAGAACAAGTCCCCTGACCCACTTTTTTTTTTTTTTTTAGTAGTAGAGATGGGGTTTCTTCATGTTGGTCAGGCTGGTCTCGAACTCCTGACCTCAGGTGATCCGCGTGCCTCGGCCTCCCAATTTTTTTTTGTTTTGAGATGGAGTTTTGCTCTTGTTGCCCAGGCTGGAGTGCAATGGTGCAATCTCAGCTCACCGCAACCTCAGCTCACCGCAACCTCCGCCTCCCAGGTTCAGTGATTCTCCTGCCTCAGCCTCCTGAGTAGCTGGGATTACAGGTGTGCACCATCATGCCTGGCTAATTTTTGCATTTTTAGTACAGACGGGCTTTCACCATGTTAGTCAGGCCGGTCTCGAACTCCTGACCTCAGGTGATCCACCCGCCCCGGCCTCCCAAAGTGCTGGGATTACAGGGTTAAGCCACCACACCTGGCCATAAATCATCTCTTTAACAAGCACTTACTGTGTACCTCCTGTGTCCCAGGTGCTGTGTGAGGGACACAGCATGGAATAAAACACATCCTTGCTTGGAGAAGCTCAAGCTGCAGAAGAGATACCTGTAAACAGATACTGACTTCACACACTCATAATCATCTAACCAGAACCAACAGAGGGCGAAACCCAGATAGGCTTCCCAGAAGAGGAGGAATTTATAAAACAGATCTTGTAGGAGGCAAGTGCCTTGTTATGCAGAGAAGATGAGGCATAGGATCACAGAGGAACCCAGGAGCAAGCAGCATGTGTAAAGGGACCTACCAGCTTGCTCCAAACCTTCTCCTCCAGGTTCACTCTGTCAGGTACCAAGATCACCACAGACCCAGTTCCACAAACTGGAACTTCTACAACTCTTGCTTCCAGTTAATCACTGAGTCCTGTCTAGTCTCCTTCCAAATCTCTCAGACACTCCCCCTTCTTTCCTCTATCTTTACTCCCATCATCGCAGCCCAATGCCATTTCTCTCTGGCTCCTGCAATGGCCTCCAAACTAACATCTGTTTATTTTTGTCCATGTAAATCCACTTCACACAGAGCATCCAGACTGATCCTTTGTTAAAGGGGGAAAAAAGGAAAAATAATGTGATGCTCTCATCATCCTGCTTAAGCCCTTTGGCAGCTCCAGTGCCTTCAAGATTAAGCTGAAACTTCCTAACAGGATTTACAAAGCCCTTGGTGGGCTGGCCCCTGCTCACCTCTCTAACTTCATCTCTGATCTCCACTTCCAGCTTTGAAGTGCTTCAGTTCCTGACACAGTGACTTATAACCCTGGTTGCCCATGAGAACCACCTGGGGAGCTTTAAGAAATACTGATGCCAAGGCCCCACTCCCAGAGATTCAGATTTATTCAAGGGGCATTAGGATGCTGTAAAGCCTCCACGAGATATCAATGAGCAGCTAGGGTTGAGAACATTGCTTTAGCCTGACACGTCTCTGTCTCATGTCCAGGTTTGTTGCACATGACCTGTCTGTTGCTGGAAGCACTGGAGCTCTCCTAGCCTCCTGGCCAGAAGGCAGAGACTTTTTGGTCTCTCTCGTTCACTGCTGTAGTCCCAACACCTAGAAAAGTGCCTAGAACATAGTGGGTACTCCATAAATACCTGCAGAAAGAAAGAATGAATATGTGACTCTGCTTTCACCCTTCACCTGGATAGATGCCACTCAATTCTTTTTTCTTTTTTTTTTTTTTTTGGACCCCCCGACTCCATCATAAGGACCCAGCTTATATTTCCCAAAAGATAGTCCTGATTCTCCTGGTCTGAGATAGGTTACTCTGTATAATTTCAGCACTCCAGATTTCCATTGTAGTGTAAATCGTACCACACTGTAATTATCTGTATCTCTTACTTAGCTTCTGAGCTCTGAGGGAGCCCAGTCTGTGTGTTCACCAATACACCTGCACCATCTGGCAAAGTGCCTTAAAAAGTGCAGCACGAATACATGGAAGTGAACAGACACAGTGTGCTGGGTGACAGCAGACCTTGGTGTGGCTGGAGTAGGGCGCTGGTGGGACATGAGGCTGGTGAGGTACACCGCGGGCCAGATGCAAGAGGCCCAGCATTCACACTAAGGAGTCTGAACTGTATGAGACAATAGAGAGCCAGCAGAGGTTTTAAGTGACACAATCGGCTTGCATTTTAGGGCAATAACTGGCTACGGTATAGAGAACTGGGGGATTCAGGGAAGCCCAAGGGTAACGAGACCAGATGGGAAACTGTAACAATAGCCCAGGGAGAAGAAGATGAGGAAGGAGCCAAACCTGAAGAGAGGGAGCCAGGCCAGAGAGACAGAGAGAGAGATCAGAGAGCATTAACAGTATTTGTCAACTGGGTGGACCAGTGAGAGAGAAGGAGGTGCTGTGGTTGGCTCTGATCCCCCGTTTGGAAGACTATGGATTTGGTGTCATGAGCATGGTCAGATGTAGTCTCATGATTACACAGGCAGTGTCAGAAGCCTGAACTCAGGAGCCAGACTGCCTCCATTCAAATCTTAGCTCTAGTTGCTTCTTGGCCTTTTGGCTAAGACCACGTACAAATCTTAACTCTACGACTTAGCTAGCTCTCAGGCCTGGGGAAGTCAGCTTCACTTCAGTTCTTCATCTGTTAAATGAGAATAATAGTAGTATGTACATCACAGGGATGTTGTGAAGATTCAATGAGGTAAAACATGTAAATAGCCATTTCCTGGCACATAGCAAATGCCACATAAGAGTTAACAGGCTGGGCGCGGTGGCTCATGCCTGTAATCCCAGCAATTTGGGAGGCCGAGGCAGACAGATCACTTGAGGCCAGGAGTTCGAGATCTTTCTGGCCAACATGGCAAAACCCCATCTCTACTAAAAATACAAAAATTAGCCGGGCATGGTGGCCAGAGCCTGTAATCCCAGCACTATGGGAGGCCGAGGCAGGTGGATCACGAAGTCAGGAGATCGAGACCATCCTGGCTAACAGGGTGAAACCCCGTCTCTAGTAAAAATACAAAAAATTAGCTGGGGCGTTGTGGCAGGCGCCTATAGTCTCAGCTACTCAGGAGGCTGAGGCAGGAGAATGGGGTGAACCTGGGAGGCGGAGCTTGCAGTGAGCTGAGATTGCTCCATTGCACTCCAGCCTGGGTGACAGAGGGAGACTCCATCTCAAAAAAAAAAAGAGTTAAAAAAAAACTATTTATATAGAGCATGGTAGATTATCTGCACAAAGATGGCTGCCAACAGTTCTTTCCATCCCTCTAAGTGACTCTTGCTCCATCCATCAAAAAAAGCAGTCCATTTCTCCTTCCCTTGAATCTGGGCTGGCTTTGTGATATACTCTGACCATATGAATGCAATAGAAGTGTCACTGTACCAATTCCAGCCAAAGCCACAGGAGGCCTGGTGGCATCTGCTTTTGCCCCCTTGGAAGCCAGCCACTGTGAAAAGAAGCTTGAACTCCACTACTGAATAACAAGAGCTCAAAGAGAGAGGGAGAGAGGGAGGGTGGGGGGGGGGGAGAGGGAGAGAGAGAGAGAGAGAGAGAGAGAGAGCGCGCGCGCGAGAGCCAAGCGAGAGACAGCGCAAGCATGTGCACATGGGGAGAAAAAGCCAGGTGCCCCAGCCCACAGCCAGCACCAAGGCCCCAGATGTGTGAGTGAAGCCATCTTGGAGGCTCCAGTACCAGTTGAACCCACAGAATTGTGAGAAATTATTGCTGTGTAAGCCAGTAAGCAGTAAGTTTTGGGGTGAGTTGTTACCCAACAATCAGTAACTCAGACTTACGTATAGAAAAAAAAAAAGATCTCTGGGGCAATAAAAACCTCATTTTGGGCCATCCTAAACATGAGGTGTTTGGGATAGTAGATAGTTACATGGAAACATCTAGAAAGCAGTTGGAAGATCAGGTCTGGGCTCAAGAGAGAGGCAGAGGGAGGAGCTGGGGATCTGAGAGTCAATCAGCACATGAACAGGACTTGGCACCCTGGGAGAAGGTAAGCTTGCCAAAGGAGGTGAGAGGAACAAGAAAAGAAATAGAATTCTGGCCTCACTTATATTTAAGGGATGGACACAGAGAAGTTTATCAGGGATGAATAAAGAACCAAGAAAGAACCAGGGAGATAAATTCCTGCTGTGAGAAGAAGGGGTAATCAAATACTTAGGGCTACAAAGAGCGATGCATTTGAAAATTAGGAAGGAATGGGAATAGGGCAATTTCCGTTTCAAATACAATGGCAGGGGCAGAAGTCGGATAAGTGGCTAAGGAGGGAATGACGATTGAGAAACTGGACACAGCAAATGTAGACTATTGTTTTAAAAGTCTATTGTTAGGGGAAGAAAGTTAGAACATCACTTGGGTGGATGATAGGACAAAAGGTAAATTGTTTTAAGTTGAGGAAACTTGCTTGCTGAGAGGAGATGCCAAAGAAAAGAGAGATTAAAAATCCTGAAGAAAGAGGTGACTGGGCCGGGCGCGGTGGCTCACGCCTGTAATCCTAACACTTTGGGAGGCCGAGATGGGTGGATTTCCTGAGCTCAGGAGTTCAAGACCAACCTGGGCAACACGGTGAAACCCCATCTCTACTAAAATACAAAAAAAAAATTAGCCGGGCGTGGCGGCGTGCGCCTGTAATCCCAGCTACTTGGGATGCTGAAGCAGGAGAATCGCTTGAACCCAGGAGGCGGAGGTTGCAGTGAGCTGAGATCACGCCATTGCACTCCAGCCTGGGCAACAGAGCAAGACTCCATCTCAAAAAAAAAAAAAAAAGAAAGAGGTGACTGGTGGCTCGAGGTCCCAGGCAATGGAAGGAAGAGGACAGAGAACCCTGGTGGGAGCTTTGCCCTGAGTGAGAAGGAGAGAGACAAAGAGGTGGGTCTTCACAGATAAGTTAGAAGTGAGAGGGGAGGCATGTGGAGGTCCTATCTGGCCACCTCTTTTCTGTGAAGAGTAGGTAAGGTCATCTGCTGACAGGCAGTGAGGGTCTTGGGGAGAATGGTGTTCACTTCTAAAGAGTTTTATAGGAAATGCATGAGGGGCTGCAGGAGTCAAGCCCAGACTCTTCAGAGACACCACCTTCCAGGGATACCCCAGCTCCTGAGGAGTAGGCTCTTCACATGAGCTTTTCCCCTCTGACCTGCCCCAAATCCCATTGTCTTCTCTTGAGCTGGTCTCCTGCTTAGATTGCCCCACCTGGGAAGCTCTCATTCATTCCCAACTTCATTCTCCAAGTATTTGCTCAACATCCACACCATACCCAGCCCCATTTCTCTGGACAACACTCTCCCTATTCCCCCAGGGTTTTCAAACCTTCTGCACACTTTCCAGACCCCCTACCTCCACCCTTTTCTCCTCATACTCAGCATGAGACCTCACTGTCTGCTTTATAGAGGACGCAGAAACTATCAGAGTCATCTACCAACTACCATACATTTTCCTGCACCTGTACTCCCCTTTTCCTTTTCTATAAAGAAATGCTGATGCGGCATTTTAAAATTGCAGTTTAACTTAGGGAGGTCTTGATCAGCTGTTTTTGCTTTTGTTTAGAGACAGGGTCTCGTTTTGTTGCCCAGGCTGAAGTGCAGTGGCACGATCATGGCTCACTGCAGCCCCAACTCCTGGGATCAAGCGAGCTTCCTACCTCAGCCTCCTGAATAGCTGCAACTATAGGTGCATGCCACCATGCCCAGACAATTTTTTAAAACATTTTTTTGTAGAGACAGGGTCTCACTATGTTGCCCAGGCTGGTCTCAAACTCTTAGCCTCAAGCAATCCTTTTGCCCCAGCCTTCCAAAGTGCTGGCATTACAGGCATGAACTGCCATGCCCAGCCTTGATCAGCACATTTTAAATGCAATAAATAGAATAGAAAATAGGGTCCACTGCACATAGTAAGAGTATTTATTGTTTCTTAAAACATCTGTTTCAATTATGACACATCTGTTACTATGAGTTGACGTCAAAAAGTCTATGTATGGCACGGTGGCTCACACCTGTAATCCCAGCACTTTGGGAGGCCGAGATGGGCGGATCACAAGGTCAGGAGATCCAGACCATCCTGACTAACACAGTGAAACCCCGTCTCTACTAAAAATACAAAAAAATTAGCCAGGCGTGGTGGCGGGCGCCTGTAGTCCCAGCTACTCGGGAGGCTGAGACAGGAGAATGGCATGAACTCGGGAGGTGGAGCTTGCAGTGAGCCCAGATTGTGCCACTACACTCCAGCCTGGGCAACAGAGCAAGACTCCGTCTCAAAAAAAAAAAAAAAGTTTCTGTATGTTAGCAAATTCTCATTAAAAACTTCAAACACGGCCTGTAATCCCAGCACTTTGGGAAGTGCTCATGCCTTCCCATGAAGTGTAGTGGCTCATGCCTGTAATCCCAGCACTTTGGGAAGTGCTCATGCCTTCCCATGAAGTGTAGTGGCTCATGCCTGTAATCCCAGCACTTTGGGAAGTGCTCATGCCTTCCCATGAAGTGTAGTGGCTCATGCCTGTAATCCCAGCACTTTGGGAAGTGCTCATGCCTTCTCATGAAGTGTAGGGGCTCGTGCCTGTAATCCCAGCACTTTGGGAAGCTGAGGCGGGCAGATCACCTAAGGTCAGGAGTTCAAGACCAGCCTGGCCAACATGGTGAAACCCCATCTCTACTAAAAATACAAAAATTAGCTGGGTGTGGTGGCGCACACCTGTAATCCCAGCTACTCAGGAGGCTGAGGAAGGAGAATCACTTGAACCCAGGAGGCGGGGGTTGCACTGAGCCAAGGTCGTGCCACCGCACTCCAGCCTTGGTGACAGAGTGAGACCCTGTCTGAAAAAAAACAAACAAGTTCAAACAACAGTGCAATAGAGAGGATGTCCCTCCTCCTATCTATAACTACTCCTTGCACCTGTGTTTTAAGTACCATTTCCTCCAGCTTTTCCAGGACCCTTACGTGCTTTATGTCTTCTCTCTTGTTAATTCCTACTCATGCTTTCCCGTTCAGCTCAACCCCCTCTGAAGCTTTCCATGACCATCCCAACAAGGCAACCCCCACCACTAGTGGGCTCCTTGTAACTCTTTCTTTTATAGCAATGATTGGCCAAGTGTAGTAGCTCATGCCTGTAATCCCAGCACTTTGGAAGGCCGAGGCAGGAGGATCCCTTGAAGCCAAGAGTTCAAGACCAGACTGGGCAACACAGCAAGACCCTGTCTCTACAAAAACATTTAAAAATCAGGCCAGGCATGGTGGCTCATGCCTGTAATCCTAGCACCTTGGGAGGGTGAGGTGGATGGATCACCTGAGGTCAGGAGTTCGAGACCAGCCTGGCCAACATGGTGAAACCAGTCTCTACTAAAAATACAAAAAATTAGCCAGGCATGGTGGCAAGTGCCTGTCGTCCCAGCTACTCGGCAGGCTGAGGCAGCAGAATCACTTGAACTTGGGAGGCGGAGGTTGCAGTGAGCCGAGATTGCACCACTGCACTCTAGCCTGGGTGACAGAGCAAAACTCCGTACCCCCCCAACCAAAAAAAAAAAAAAAAAAAAAAAGTCAGCTGGGGGCAGGGCACTGTGGCTCACACCTGTAATCCCAGCCCTTTGGGAAGCAGAGGCAGGTGGATCACCTAAGGTCAGGAGTTGGAGACTAGCTGGCCAACATGGCAAAACTCTGTTTCTACTAAAAATACAAAAATTAGCCACACATGGTGGTGTGTGCCTGTAATCCCAGCTACTAAGGAGGCTGGGGCAGGATAATTGCTTGAACCTGGGAGGTGGAGGCTGCAGTGAGTCAACATGGCGCCACTGCACTCCAGCCTGGGAAACAGTGAGACTCAATCTAAAAAAAAAAATTAGCTGGGCACGGTGGCATGCATCTGTAGTCCCAGCTACTCAGGAGGCTGAAATGGGAGAATTGCTTGAGCCCAGGAGTTTGAGGCTGCAGTGAGCTATAATTATGCCACTGCACTCCAGCTTGGGTGAGAGAGAGACCCAGTCTCAGCAAGCAAAGAACACATTTTACATGTTTTTGTGACTATTTGCCCAAATTAGGCCTTCTTAAGGAGGACAGGGACGATGTCTGTTTTTATCCACCTTGGCAGTCTTAGGGCCTCCCTGGCTCAGTGCTGGGCACAGTTAGTGCTTAATAAACAGATGTTTAGATAAATAAACACGTGCCAGCCTATGTGCTAGACGTTAAGTGTACAATGATGAAAAAAGTTTCAGAAGGTCAAGGGCGTTGAGGCAGAGGAGAGCGCCAGGGGCAAAGGCAGAAGGAAAAGGCTGCTCCTGTCCTGCTTCCCAACAACAGGACCTGCCTGCACAACTGTCACCTTTCACTGTCTTCCTGCCAGAAAGTAGCCAAGGTAGGAAGATTTGCCTAACATTTGATAATTTTGATGTGCACAGCTCTTTAATGAATGCTTTACATCCCATATATAGTCAAGACTTGCTGAAAGATGAATAGGTGATGCTTCTTTCTGGCATCAAACTACTAGAAAAAGGGGCTTGGCCGGGCGCGGTGACTCATGCCTGTAATCCCAGCACTTTGGGAAGCTGAGGCGGGCGGATCATCTGAGGTCAGGAGTTCAAGACCAGCCTGACCAACATGGAGAAACCCCGTCTCTACTAAAAATACAAAATTAGCCCGGCATGGTGGCGCATGCCTATAATCCCAGCCTCTTGGGAGGCTGAGGCAGGAAAATCGCTTGAACCCAGGAGGCGGGGGTTGCGGTGAGCCAAGATCATGCCACTGCACTCCAGCCTGGGCAACAAGGGCAAAACTCCGTCTCAAAAAAAAAAAAAAAAAAAAGAAAAGAAAGAAAAAGGGTCCTTTTATTTGCCTGGGTGTGGCTGGTATCTTCCACCAGTGCAGGGTCCCTGACAAACTCCAGAGAACACCGAAGGGCCTATTCCTTTATTGTTTACCATACCTAAAGACTGTTTTCCTTTGCTTAAATGCTTTCACTACTTACTTCTTGAGGCATGTAACTACAATCATGAGATTCCCTTTGTAACATTAAAAGATCAAATAAATACAACAGACGTTTAAAATTTAACAAATACTGTATAGAGATGCAACCAGCAAAATGCAGACTGTGGGAAACTCTACTGAACAAATGACCAAGCTGCTTCAACAAAACAATTTAGAGAAAAAGGAACCCACACAGTGAAAGTGATTTAAGGCTCTCCACCCAGGACACGGGTCCTCCCACGCCTGAGGCCAATGCTGCCAGGACCTTGGGGTTGGAGGGGGACTTGGCTGACCACATCTTTCAAATAAAGCTGTTTGTCTAACTAAAAAAAAAAAAAAGTGATTTAAGGGACACAATAACTAAATGCAGTGTATGGAACTTGTTTGGATCCTTATTCAAATAAAATAACTTTAAAAAAAGGAAACTGGGCAAGGGGAGGGGGAGCATTAGGACAAATACCTAATGCATACGGGGCTTAAAACCTAGATAACAGGTTGATAGGTGCAGCAAACCACCATGGCACATGTATACCGATGTAACAAAACTGCACATTCTGCACATGCATCCCAGAACTTAAAGTATTAAAAAAAAAAAAAAAAAAAAAAAAAAAAAAAGGCCGGGCGCGGTGGCTCACGCCTGTAATCCCAGCACTTTGGGAGGCTGAGGCAGGCGGATCATCTCAGGTCAGGAGTTCAAGACCAGCCTGGCCCAACATGGTGAAACCCCATCTGTACTAAAAATACAAAAAATTAGCCAGGCATGGTGGTGGGCACCTGTAATCCCAGCTACTCAGGAGGCTGAGGCATGAGAATCACTTGAACCCAGGAGGTGGAGGTTGCAGTAAGCCGAGATCGCGCCATTGCACTCCAGCCTGGGCGACAGAGCAAGACGTCGTCTTGAGAAAAAAGCAAACGTATATTATGGGATAATCAGATGTGAATATAGACTGGCAATCTGCTATTGAGAAAATATTTTCTATGCTTTTTTGGAGTGTGGTGACGGCAATGTGGCTGTCTTAAAAGGGAAGTGGCCAGGCGTGGGGGCTCACACCTGTAGTCCCAGCACTTCCAGGGGCCGAGGTGGGCAGATCACTTGAGCCCAAGAGTTTAAGACCAGCCTGGACAACACAGCAAAACCCTGTCTTTGCAAAAAAAAATACCAAATTTAGCTGGGAGTGGTGGTGCACACCTGTAGTGCCAGCTACTCAGGAGGCTAAGGTGGAAGGATCACTTCAGCCTGGGAGGTCAAGACTACAGTAAGCTGTGATTGCACCACTGCACTTTAGCCTAGGTGACAGAGTGAGACCCTGTCTCAATTTAAAAAAAAAGGGCCCAGGCACGGTGGCTCACACCTGTAATCCCAGAACCTTGGGAGGCAGAGGTGGGCAGAACATGAGGTCAGGAGTTCGAGACCAGCCTGGTCAACATAGTGAAACCCCGCCTCTACTAAAACTATATATATTAAAAAAAATTAGCCGGGCGTGGTGGTGGGCACCTGTAATCCTAGCTACTTGGGAGCCTGAGGCAGGAGAATCACTTGAACCTGGGAGGCAGAGGTTGCACAGAGCTGAGATCGTGCCACTGCACTCTGGCCTGGGCAACAGAGCGAGACTCTATCTCAAAAAAAAAAAAAAGGAACTCCCAATCTTTTAGAGGTATATAGTGAAATATTTATAGACAATAAAATATGAAATAATATAATATAAGGGATGGGCCAAAAAATAATCAGGGTGAGAGGTGGGGAAGTGACTAGGGCTTTACAGGAAACAAGATTCTCAGTTGGTAACTGTTTTTTAAAAAGTTATTATTATTTTTATTGATATATAATAATTGTACATATTTATGAGGTACATGTGATATTTTGATACATGCATATAATATGTAGTGGTCAAATTAGAATAATTGGGATATCTATTACTTCAAACATTTATCACTTCTTTGTGTTGGGAACATTTCAAATCCTTTCTTCTAGCTATTTTGAAATGTACAATACATTATTGTTAACTCGAATTAGGCTACTGTGCTATCTGACACTAGAACTTATTCCCTCTATCTAACTTGTGCCTTTGTGCCCTTTAACCAATCTCACTTCATCTCCCTCCACTTCCCAGCCTCTGGTAACTATCATTCTACACTCCAACTCCATATGATCAACTTTTTCAGTTCCCACATACGAGTGAGAACATGTGATATTTTTCTTTCTGTTCCTGGCTTATTTACTTAACATCAGTTGGCAGTTGTTGAAGCTGGGTGATGGGTATGTGAGTCCTTGGAACACTATTCTAATACCCTCTCCATGTTATATATGTTGGAAATTTTCAAAAAGTTAAAAGGGGGATCTAACAAATAGAACCATAAAGTATCTAAACTGTTGTTAAATAAACGGTAAAGTCCATAATACGTTAGAATTCTTTCATTTTTCAAGATGTCTACAAGAGAGCAGTACCTTGATTCACAAGCCCTTTGAGATATCATTGAAAGTAGGATGCAGAACTCAGAGCTGCTTGCCTTTTGCTACATTTCCCCCGTAATGCATTCCCCACTCTCCTTCCATCAAAACAGGCACTTACCTCTGACAAGCTGGGATATATTTCAAAGATGCATGCTGAATCCACTGCCCTCAAATGGCAGAGAGAGGATGCAAACACAGCCGGGCAATGCCAGCCATTTCGCAGCCTTCCTACTGTGTTTGAACTCAGAAACAGCTTTATCTCCATTTCTTGACCACATACCTCACAGCCTGCAGCTGTGCAGGGGGGCTGTAAAGAACTGTCCAGCCAATGCTTCACAATGACCGTATCACTCACTGACCCCTTTCCACTACTCCTCACATCAGTCTTTGAAACTGCCCCTAACACACCGGGTCACCTGGGTGACCTGTCAAGCTCTGTTTTTAACTGTTTCCTTTTCTTGAAAGTTCGAACTAACCAACTTCAAGTATTTAGAAACTTCCCAAGTCTACTGGATTGTAGCAAAAACCTGTTGGTAGACAGAAATGAAGTTCTTGAAAGGGTTTAATAACATTCAATTCCACTTGGGATACAGCCAACACTTACAACACCCATAGATTCACTATGCCTAATACCGAAATGTTATCTCACTCCAGCTGCAACCTCCAAGTCCAATAAACCTTCTTTAGCTACAAACGTTCTTAATTTGAGTGAGACAGGTTCAACCTGAAAAACTTAAAAGGTCAGGTTGTTTTTTTCTAGAAAAATAAATCTTCTCTAAAGCTTCTTTGCTTAAATCAACATTTCATAAAATAAAGCAGCTATTGCAATTCCTCCACGACTTGGACAATATAACTAGCTTTCTTGTCCACCAGCTTTCAGACCCACAGTTTTGTGAAATAAACCTGCTTTTCTGGAAAAAAAAAAAAAAAAAAAAAGGGCCAGGCACAGTGGCTCATGCCTGTAATCCCGGCACTATGGGAGGCCGAGGCGGGCGCATCACCTGAGGTCGGGAGTTCGAGACGAGCCTGACCAACATGGAGAAACCCCGTCTCTACTAAAAATACAAAATTAGCCGGACATGGTGGCGCATGCCTGTAGTCCCAGCTACTCGGGAGGCTGAGGCAGGAGAATCACTTGAACTCGGGAGGCGGATAGCGGTGAGCCGAGATCGCGCCATTGCACTCCAGCCTGGGCAACAACAGCATAACTCCGTCTCAAAAAAAAAAAAAAAAAACAAAATAAAACAAAAAAGCAAAAACAGAAGCCTCACCTAATCTGCCCATAAAACAAGACTAGTGAAAACGATGACTATGCACAAGAGTAAGCACCATTGTTTTTCGGCACCCCCTTTTCCATCGGGTGCACGCAGGCACGCGGACACACAAGCCTCTCCCCTGCCCCCGCGCCCCGCCTGCGCGGGGAATCTGCCACACGGTATGAACTGTGCTCTCAGCGGAGAAATACTCTGGCCCAGCAATTTATGTGTGTTTTGTTTGTTTTAAGTGGGAAGGAAAGGAAGAGAGTGGGGCGTGAAAATGGGAGATCAGTTTTAACTCAGATTTAATTCAATGGTTCGCGTTTCCTCCCATCTTTCTCTGCATCAAAATGCAGGTAGATCGGTGAAATTTCAAGTTTCTTGGGTCGTTAAATACCCCAATTTAAACGATGGAGGCTGGGAACTGGGGATATAAGGAGGAAACCTAGGGTTGGAAGGGCGGGCAGGGTTAAAGAGGTTCGGGAGCTCCGCAGATCTGAGCGAAGCATGCGAGGCTGCCGCGCCCGGGCAGCGGCTGCGTCTCGGGTTCTCGCCCTGCCCGCTGCCTCGGGTTTTTGCCAGTGACTGCGCCGTCTTGGCTGCCCACCCACACCTCGGGTTGGTCCCGACTTTAGGCTAGGCCATTCACTTCCGGTGACAAATCCCTCCCACCACCCCTAGAAATAATGTACCGCTTCTCCCACCGCTTTCCTAAGACCGACCGCCCCAGAGAGCCACGGAGCCCGGGGCTAGGGTCTCACCCCAGCGCGGCCGGCGACGCCCAGCTGCGGAGGGAGTGGCCGGGACCGAGCTCGGGGAGGGCAGGGAAGAAAGAGGAAGGGGGTGTGGATCTCACCTTCCCCCGCCCCCACCCCTCCGACTGCAGCAATTGGCCAAAAAAATAGTAATCCTTTTATGGACTCCCCCAGGGCCCCTCGAACCAGGTTGCAGTGAGGAACCCAGTCTCTCCCATCGCAGTGCCCCTTGCCTTCTCCTGCCCTAGTAACTGCCTGCGGGGATCCAGGAGCCCCCAGGCCGCGCCGAACTGCAGTGGATAGGGGGGAGGGGGGCGGTAAGGATGAGGGCTACGGGGAGGCAGAAATGGGTTGGGGGAAGGGGTGGTGGAAGGGAAAAGAAAAAACCGGAGGCATGCAAGCGGCTCCCCAGCCAGCTGTTCCAGCTGCTGCTTCCTCCGGCGCGGGCCAGGCGGTGCAATATTCCCCCCCGCTCCATCTTTCTCACCACTACCTGTCCCCCCAACCCACCACACGCACTCATCCCTCCCACCCACACCCCTAGTAGCGGATCTCCGGCCTGTAAGGGGGTAGTAGGGAGGAGCTGGGGGGAGGGGGAGGCCTGCGAGTTTCTAACCTTGTTCTTATAAACAAACCCACATGTGCAGCTGCCGCTGCTGCAACTCACCCCACAATCCCGGATATAAGTCCTGCCCCTTTAAGAGGAAAAAAAAGATTCCCCCGCCTGCCTCCCACCCCACCCATCCACAAGAACCTTTGTCTTCCCACCCCCATAGTCAGTCGGCCCCGCCCCATCTCCCCGCCCCCTCCGACGCAGAGGAACCAATAGGCGAAGAAAATAAGGCCGGGGATCTGACATCATCATGTTAGGCCAATCACCGGACGCGTTGGTGGGAGGCCTCACGGACAGCGCGCCCGGAGGAAGGAAGACAAGAGAGAGGAAGCTTGAAGCCAATATGGAGTCCGTCAGTTGCTCCGCTGCTGCTGTCAGGACCGGAGACATGGAGTCCCAGCGGGACCTGAGCCTGGTGCCTGAGCGGCTTCAGAGACGCGAACAAGAACGGCAGCTGGAAGTTGAAAGGCGGAAACAAAAGCGGCAGAACCAGGAGGTAGAGAAGGAGAACAGCCACTTTTTCGTCGCCACCTTTGTTCGGGAGCGAGCGGCCGTGGAAGAGCTTCTGGAGCGCGCGGAGTCGGTCGAGCGGCTGGAGGAGGCGGCCTCTCGGCTCCAGGGGCTGCAGAAACTAATCAACGACTCAGTTTTTTTCCTAGCCGCTTACGACCTGCGGCAGGGACAAGAGGCGCTGGCGCGGCTGCAGGCGGCCTTGGCCGAGCGGCGCCGGGGGCTGCAGCCCAAGAAGCGTTTCGCTTTCAAGACCCGGGGAAAGGATGCTGCTTCGTCTACCAAAGTAGACGCGGCTCCTGGCATCCCCCCGGCAGTTGAAAGCATACAGGACTCCCCGCTGCCCAAGAAGGCGGAAGGAGACCTCGGCCCCAGCTGGGTCTGCGGTTTCTCCAACCTGGAGTCCCAAGTCTTGGAGAAGAGAGCCAGCGAGTTGCACCAGCGCGACGTTCTTTTGACCGAACTGAGCAACTGCACGGTCAGACTGTATGGAAATCCCAACACCCTGCGGCTAACCAAGGCCCACAGCTGCAAGCTGCTCTGCGGTCCGGTGTCTACCTCTGTTTTCCTGGAGGACTGCAGTGACTGCGTGCTGGCAGTGGCCTGCCAACAGCTCCGCATACACAGTACGAAAGACACCCGCATCTTCCTGCAGGTGACCAGCAGGGCCATCGTGGAGGACTGCAGTGGGATCCAGTTCGCCCCTTACACCTGGAGCTACCCGGAGATCGACAAGGACTTCGAGAGCTCTGGTTTAGATAGGAGCAAAAATAACTGGAACGATGTTGACGATTTTAACTGGCTGGCCCGGGATATGGCCTCCCCAAACTGGAGTATTCTTCCTGAAGAGGAGCGAAATATCCAGTGGGACTAAGCAGTTGTCACTCTGTTCTTCACTCCTACCAAATACTTTCCACGTTGGACTTTCCCCCTTATTGGGTCTCGAAGTTTACTTATTGTCACACTGTGTATGTTTTCAGCATTTTAAGGCTAGAGATTGTAATGGGCTCCTACTTGTAATTTCCATTAAATTCGTAACAGGTATAACACTAAAGCATTTTTGCTATTTTCGTCATGCCTTTGAGACTGAGTCTTACTCCGTCCCCCAGCGTGGTGGCGCGCTGGGATTACAGGCGCGCGCCACCACGCGAACTTGTATTTTTAGTAGAGACGGGGTTTCGCCATGTTGTCCGGGCTGCTCTCGAACTCCTGACCTCAGGTGATCCACCCGCTTCAGCTTCCCAAAGTGCTGGCATTACAGGCGTGAGCCACCACGCCAGGGCTTTATTTATTTATTTTTACCACAATAGTTTGAAGCAGTAAGGGGGAAGGAGGGTGATTATATTGCTTTGTAATGGTTTGTGATACTTGAAACATCACGGTGCATAATAAAGTAGGTCTGCAGTAAATACATGGGTTTGTTTGGTGTGTGTGTGTGTGTGTGTGTTTTGTTTTTAAAGAGATGGGCTCTCCTTATGTTGCCCAGGCTGGTTTCGAACTCCTGACCTCAAGCAATTCTCCTGCCTCAGCCTCCCAAAACACTCGGATTATAGACAGTAACCAGCAGTGTCAGGGTATAGATACATATTTAATAAATTCCAGAGCTGAGCCCGGGGGCTCACGCCTGCAATCCCAGCACTTTGGGAGGCTGAGGTGGGCAGATCACTTGAGGTCAAGAGTTGGAGACCCGGTGCCAGGTGAAACCCCGTCTCTACTAAAAACACAAAAATTAGCCGGGCATGATAGTTCACACCTGTAGTCCCAGCTACTCAGGAGAACTGCTTGAACCTGGGAGACAGGTTGTCGTGAGCTGACATCACGCCACTGCACTCCAGCCTGTGTGGCAGAGTGAGACACTGTCTCAAAAACAAAAAACCATAGGTAATTCCTTTGTCCCTAGACATTCAGTTCCTTCGGAGAGCCATCACTCTTTACGTGTTTCTTTTTTTTTTTTTTTTTTGAGACAGAGTTTCGCTCTTGTTGCCCAGGCTGGAGTGCAGTGGCGTGATCTCAGCTCAGTGCAACCTCAGCGTCCCTGGTTCAAGTGACTCTCTTGCCTCAACCTCCCGAGCAGCTGGGATTACAGGAGCCCGCCACCATGCTCGGCTAATTTTTTGTATTTTTAATAGAGAATTTCACCATGTTGGCAAGACTGGTCTTGAACTCCTGACCTCGGCTGATCCACCTGCCTCAGCCTCCCAAAGTCCTGGGATTATAGGCGTGAGCCACTGTGCCCGGTCCTTTTTTTTTTTTTTTTCCTTTGTTTCTTTGAGACAGGGTCTGGGTGAAGGACCTTCTGGGCTCAAGATATCCTCCAACCTCAGCCTCCCAAGTAGCTGGGACTACAGGTGCACCCCATCACCCCCGGCTAATTTGTGTATTTTTTGTAGAGAGGGCTTCATCATGTTGCCCAGGCTGGTCTCGAACTCCTGAGCTCAAGCAATCTGTCCCCCGTGGTCTTCCAAGTGCTGGGTGGTGGTGCGTGTTTGTAATCCCAGCTACTCGGGATGCTGAGGCATGAGAATCCTTTGAACCTGGCAAGAAGAGGTAGCAGTGAGCCATTACTGTGCCATTGCATTTCCAGAGCAAGACTCTGTATAAAAAAAAAAAAAAGAAAAAAAAGAAAGGGGGTGGTGCCAGGCGCGGTGGCTCATCCCTGTAATCCCAGCACTTTGGGGGGCCAAGGCAGGTGGATCACCTGAGGTCAGGAGTTCGAGACCAGCCTGGCCAACAGGGTGAAACCTCGTCACTACTAAAAATACAAAAATTAGCCGGGCATGGTGGCACACACATGGAATCTCAGCTACTTGGGAGACTGAGGCAGGAGAATATCTTGAGCCCAAGAGGCAGAGGTTACAGTGTGCTGAGATTGTGGCGCTGCACTCCAGCCTGGGCGACAAGAGCAAAACTCCATCTCAAAAAAAAAAAGAAATTTTTGGGTCTTTGCCAGTTTGATGGTTACAAAATATTACCTTCCTCTACTAGTAATGGTAATCATCTCCTAACTCATCTCCCCATCTCCAATTTCTGAACTATTCTGCATACAGCTACTAAATTAGTTTTCTTAAAGTATGTCACTCCTGATCTAAAACCTTCTGAGATTCTTATTATCTGATAGACTTCCTGGCCTGGAAGACAAGCCCCTCCACCATCTGTTTCAGCCTACTGTTCTTACATGATGTTTTACTGTTTCATCACACACATTTCATGCACCAGCTAGTCTGAACTAATACCCATTAATCAAACACAATGTCAGGGCTCTGGCAGGAAACAGATGGCTTGCTCAAAATGGATACTTTGAGAAGAGCTTAATACAGGAGCTATTTACAAAGCTGTGGGCAGAGTATAAGAAAAGCAATTAGAGATGGTACAATATCTGTTACCATCCTTAGGGCTGAAGGGACAAAAATGTTACCTGAATGCAGAGAGAGATAGACAGTTATTGAGCTACCTGACAGGAGTTTCAGTCCTCAGTGGAGGGATGCTGCCAATCCATGGTGACCTGGCAGGGAGAGAGCCATGGGACTTAAACAATGTCATTCTCTTTTATTGGTGCCTCCCGTTGGTAGAGCCCAACTGGAAATTTCAGGGCAAAGAAGTCTGCTGCCGCAGTCCATATGAGTCAGCTCCCAGGATGTAGAACAGCGTGGAGAAAAATGAAGAATGGATCTGGAGGAGGAAATGGAAGACACTAAGGGCAGGCCAGCGCTGTGGCTCATGCCTGTAATCTCAGCACTTCGGGATTGCCTTGGGATTTGCCTTGGGAGGCCAAGGCAGGTGGATCACCTGAAGTCAGGAGTTTGAGACCAGCCTGGCCAACATGGTGAAATCCCGTTTCTACTAAAAATACAAAAATTAGCCGGGCATGGTGGCAGGCGCCTGTAATCCCAGCTACTCAGGAGGCTGAGGCAAGATAATCGCTTGAACCTGGGAGGAGGAGGGTACGGTGAGTCGAGACTGTACCACTGTACTCCAGCCTGAATGCCAGAGCGAAACTCCATCTCAAAAAATAAATATTCAGTGCAAATAGTTTTTGCCGTATTTCCTGGCCTTTTCTCGAGCAGTGCCCACACAGATTGGGTCCCCATGCACTTGCCAAAATTTCATACAAGACAAATGTCACTTCCTCTGGGAAATCTGGGATTTTCCTTAGTCTCTTTTGAAAATGAGGCATGGGCCAGGCTTGGTAGTTCATGCCTGTAATCTCAGCATTTTGGGAGGCCTTGGTGGGAAGATCACTTGAGCTTAGGGGTTCAAGACCAGCCTGGGTAACATAGGAAGACTCTGTCTCTACAAAAAATACAAAAATTAGCTAGGCATGGTGGCACACGCCTGTGGTCCCAGCTACTCAGGAGGCTGAGGCGGGATGATTGCTTGAACCTAGAGGTCAAGGCTACAGTGAACTGTGATTGTGCCACTGCACTCCAGCTTGGGCGACAGAGTGAGACCTTGTCTCAATAAAAAAAAAAAAATGAGGAGGCCAGGAGCGGTGGCTCACGCCTGTAATCTCAACACTTTGGGCGGCTGAGGTGGGCAGATCACTTGAGGTCAGGAGTTCGAGACCAGCCTGGCCAACTTGGTGAAACCCCGTGTCTAGTAAAAATAGAAAAATTAGCTGGGCATGGTGGTGTGCACCTATTATCCCAGCTACTCGGGAGGCTGAGGCCTGAGAATCACTTGAACCCAGGAGGCAGAGATTGCAGTAAGCCTAGATCACGCCACTGCACTCCAGCCTGGGTGGCAAAGCAAGACACTATCTCACAAAAAAAAAAAAAAAAAAAGGAAAAAGCTTAAAGAGAAACCAAGGAACGACCACTATGGGAAAGAACAGGGGAAACTTCTGGCCAATCAAAAAGTACTAAAGATTTACATAAAAGTTAGCTGTAATCTTTGAGGAGGGGAAATGAAGGAGGGAGGAGTAACTGCTTTTTCCCCAGCTTTGGTTACTGAAATTCTCCGGGGAGGGCCATTCACGCACATCTCATCAGAGATGGTAATTTCCAAGAAAGATGATTAAAAAGTTGGATGACTTTTAAGGTCCTTGAGCAGAGGAATGCTTATGGACATTACCAAGAACATTCCATAGAAGTTGCAGTTTAATAAACATTAGCAAATCCAGTTCATGCACAAATTTCTCCCAAGGAGCATTGACAGTTTAGCTTTTTTGTTGTTGTTGTTTTTTACAACAGGGTCTCACTCTGTTGTCTAGGCTGGAGTGCAGTGGTGCAATTATGGCTCACTGCAGCCTTGACCTCCCAGGCTCAAGCAATTATCCTACCTCAGCATCCTAAGTAGCCACCACACTTGGCTAATTTTTTTACTTTTTTTTGGAGAGCTGGGATGTCACCATGTTGCCCAGGCTGGTCTTGAACTCCTAGGCTCAAGGGATCCTCCCACCTTGGCCTCCCAAAGTGTTGAGGTTACAAGTGAGAACAAGCCAATTTAACTTTTTGACTGGGTACATGTTTAGTTTATGTTTGTTATTTATTTGTATTTTATTTTATTTTAATTTCTCTTTTTTTTTTTTTTTTTTGAGACGGAGTCTCGCTCTGTCGCCCAGACTGGAGTGCAGTGGCGCGATCTCGGCTCGCTGCAAGCTCCGCCTCCCGGGTTCACGCCATTCTCCTGCCTCACCCTCCCGAGTAGCTGGGACTACAGGCGCCCGCCACCACACCCAGCTAATTTTTTGTATTTTTAGTAGAGACGGGGTTTCACTACGTTAGCCAGGATGGTCTCGATCTCCTGACCTCATGATCCGCCCGCCTCGGCCTCCCAAAGTGCTGGGATTACAGGCGTGAGCCACCGTGGCTGGCCCACGCCCAGCTAATTTTTGTATTTTTAGTAGAGATGGGGTTTCACCATGTTGTCCGGGCTGGTCTCGAACTCCTGACCTCAGGTGATCCACCCACCTCTGTCTCCCAAAGTGCTGGGATTACAGGCATGAGCCACTGCGCCTGGCTGATTTTAGTTTCTCTTAATCTTCAATTTTGGTATGGTCATGGCATGAAATGTGTTTCCTGCCATGGAAACCCAAACTATAACATTACATCTCTGGAAACTATGGGCTAGACTTGACTTGGGTTCAATTGTGACTGACGTTAAAGAACCAACTGACTTCTTCAGTCCAATAACAGCTGTAAGACTGGGATACTGGGGCCGGGCGCAGTGGCTCACGCCTGTAATCTCAGCATTTTGGGAGGCTGAGGTGGGAGGATCACCTGAGGTCAGGAGTTCGAGACCAGCCTGGCCAACATGGCGAAACCCCATCTCTACTAAAAATACAAAAATTAGCCGGGCGTGGTGCATGCCTGTAATCCTGGCTACTCAGGAGGCTGAGGCAGCAGAATCATGTGAACCTGGGAGGCAGATGTTGTAGTGAGCTGAGATCGTGACACTGCACTGCAGCATGGGTGACAGAGCAAAACTCTGTCTCAAGGGAAAAAAGAAAAAAGAAGAAAAAACTGGGATATGTCCCCAGGGGCCTTAATAAAAAGTACTGGATGGGGCAGTAGCTCACCCCTGTAATGCCAGCACTTTGGGAGACTGAGGTAGGAGGATCACTTGAGCCCAGGAGTTAGAGACCAGCCTGGGCAACATGAGACCCTATCTCTAACACAAAATTAAAAAATTAGCCAGGCATGGTGGTGCATATCTGTGGTCCCAGCTACTCAGGGGGCTGAAGTAGGAGGATTTTTAAATTTTTAAATTTTTAATTTTTGTGGATAAGTAGTAGGTGTATAAATTTATGGGTTATTTGATACAATGAGTAATAGTAATGCAATGAGTAATAGTCACATCAGAGTAAATGGGGTGTCCATCCCCTCAAACATTTATCCTTTGTTACAAACAATCCAATGATACTCTTTTAGTTATTTTAAAATGTACAATTAAATTATTTTTGACTATAGTCACCTAGTTGTGCTAACAAATACTAGGTCTGATTCATTTTATTTTTATTTTTTCAGACAGGGTCTCGCTTTGTCACCCAGGCTGATGTGCAGTGGTGTGATCCTGGCTCACTGGAGGCTTGATCTCCCAGGTGTAAATGATCCTTTCACCTCAGCCTCCCCAGTAGCTGGGACTATAGACCTGCACCACCATGCCTGGCTAATTTTTAAATTTTTTTAGAGACAGTGTCTCCCTACGTTGCCCAGGCTGGTCTTAAACTCCTGGGCTCAAGTGATCCTTCCACTCCAGCCTCCAAAGGTGCTGGAGTTACAGAAGTTAGTTAGCCACTGTGCTCAACTCTGATTCATTTTTTCTAAGTAATTATTTTTTTTTTGAGACGGAGTTTCACTCTTATTACCCAGGCTGGAGTGGAATGGCACAATCTCAGCTTCCTGCAACCTTTGCCTCCCGGGTTCAAGCGATTCTCCTGCCTCAGCCTCCCAAGTAGCTGGGATTACAGGCAGGTGCCACCACCCCCAGTTAATTTTGTATTTTTAGTATGGATGGGGTTTCACTATGTTGGTCAGGCTGGTCTCAAACTCCTGACCTCAGGTGATCCACCCACCTCGACCTCCCAAAGTGCTGGGATTACAGGCGTGAGCCACCGCGCCCAGTCTTTAACTAATTTTTTGTACCCATTAACCATCCCCACTTGCCCCAGCCCCCACTACCCTTCCCAGCCTATGGTAATCATCCTTCTACTCTCTATTTCCATGGATTCAACTGTTTTAATTTTTAACTCCCACAAATAAATGAGAACGTTTGAAGTTTGTCTTTCTGTTCCTGGCTCATTTCACTTAACATAAAGACCTCCAGTTCCATCCATTTGTTGCAAATGACAGGATCCTGTTCTTTTTATGGCTGAATAGTAAGTACTCCATTGTATATATGTACCACATTTTCTTTATCCATTCATCTGTCGATGGACACTTACGTTGCTTCCAAATCTTGGCTATTGTGAACAGTGCTGCAACAAACATGAAAATGCAGATATCTCTTTGATGTACTGATTTCCTTTCTTTTGGGTCTCTACCTAGGAGTGGGATTGCTGGATCATATGGTAGCTCTAGTTTTAGTTTTTTGAGGAACCTCCTAACTGTTTTCCATAGTGGTTGTACTAATTTACATTCCCACCAACAGTGTACGAGGGTTCTCTTTTCTCCGCATCCTCACCAGCGTTTGCTATTGCCAGTCTTTTGGATAAAAGCCATTTTGACTGGGGGAAGATGATATCCCATTGTAGTTTTGATTTGCCTTTCTCTGATGATCCATGATGTTAAGCACCTTTTCATATGCCTGTTTGCCATTTGTATGTCTTCTTTTGAGAAATGTCTATTTAGACTTTTTGCCCATTTTTAAACTAGATTATTATATTTTTTCCTATAGAGTTGTTTGAGTTCCTTATATATTCCGGTTATTAATCCCTTGTCAGATGGGTAGTTTGCAAATATTTTTTCCCATTCTGTGGGTTGTCTCTTCACTTTGTTGATTGTTTCCTTTACTGTGCAGAAGGTTGTTCACTTGACATGATCCCATTTGTCCTTTTTATTTTTTAATTTTTTTTTTTTTTTGGAGACAGAGTCTTGCTCTGTCACCCAGGCTGGAGTGCAGTGGTGCTATCTTGGTTCACTGCAGCCTCCGCCTCTTGGGCTCAAGTGATTCTTGTGCCTCACCCTCCTGAGTAGCTGGGACTAAAGGCATGTGCCACGATGCCTAGCTAATTTTTTTTTTTTGAGACAGAGTCTCGCTTGGTTGTCCAGGCTGGAGTGCAGTGGTGCAATCTCGGCTCTCTGCAACCTCTGCCTCCCTGGTTCAAGTGATTCTCCTGCCTCAGCCTCCCGAGTAGCTGGGATTACAGGCACTCACCACCGTGCCCAGCTAATTTTTGTATTTTTAGTAAAGACAGGGTTTTGCCATGTTGGCCAGGCTGGTCTTGAACTCCTGACGTCAGCCGATCTCCTCGCCTCGGCCTCCCAAAGTGCTGGGATTACAGGCAAGAGCGACGGCACCCAGCTACCATTTGTTCATTTTTGCTGTGGTTGCCTGTGCTTGTGGGGTAGTACTCAAGATATCTTTGCTGAAGTGGGAGGATTGCTTGAGCCTAAGAGTTCAAGGGCTGCAGTGAGCCCTGATCATGCCACTGCACTCCAGCTTGGGCAACAGAGTGAGACCCTGTCTTAAAAAATAGATAAATAAATGAAAATGAAAATAAATTTAAAAAGCGCTGCTTTTGTGATTTCTTGATCGGAAAGTTTCTCCTAATAGCACTTTCTTTTTTTTTTTTTGAGATAGGATCTTGCTCTGTTGCCTAGGCTGGTGTGCAGTGGCAGGATCAGGGCTCACTGCAGCCTCAACTTCCTAGGCTCAAGCCATCCTCCCACCTCAGCCTCTGGAGTAGCTGGGACTACAGGTGTGAGCCACCTCACCTGGCTAATTTTTCGTATTTTTTGTTGTAACAGGGTTTTGCCATGTTGCCCAGGTTGGTCTAAAACTCCTGGGCTCAAGGGATCCCCCCACCTCGGCCTCCCAAACTGCTGGGATTACAGGCATGAGCCACTGTGCCTGGTGCACTTTCTAGGTTTTAATAAATAGTAGTGTAATAGAGGGTGCCGCTTGACCATCCACATGGCTTGAACTTTTCGCTGTGCCCAGCACAATAGTATTAAGTGTCTGACAGTTCTGATTCCTCTTGTGGTAAGCCTTGCTGCTGGGGACTTATCCTGGGAACAGCCCTCAGATGAATGACTCTCCAGAGTTAGTGAATAAATAGCTCAGCTCCCTCACCCAAGACAGGATAATTCTGAGATGTGTTTCCCCCAGGGATTTCCTTCTCCAGGGTGGAAGCTGGTGTAATAGCACAGTCTTGTGGGCCGCCTTTCCTTCCTGTACCACTTTGCCACCCCTCCATGGGTGTTATCTGAATCTCTCCAATTAACTACTTTCACTCCCAGTTTAGGGCAGTGTTTTTAGTGTCTCTCAACCTTTTTTTTTTCATTATCACCCCCCTAAAGAGCCTATTTTAGACATTTATTTGTTTATTTATTTATTTTTGAGACAGGGTCTCACTCTGTCGCTCAGGCCGCAGTGCAGTGGCGCGATCACGCCTCACTGCAACCTCTGCCTCCCAGGTTCAAGGGATCTTCCTACCTTAGCCTCCCAAGTAGCTGGGACTATAGGCATGTGCTACCATCCCCGGCTAATTTTTTTTGTATTTTTGATAAAGATGAGATTTCACCATATTGTCCAGGCTGGTCTGGAACTCCTGGCCTGAAGTGATCCGCCTGCTCTGGCCCCCCAAAGTGCTGGGATTATAGGCGTGAGTCATGGTGCCTGGCCAGATCTTTTTGTTTTGAAAAGATAGGGGCCACACAGATTTCACATTGGGACTTCTTTTTCCTAGTTATGCCCCTGGGAAGAGGAATAGAAAATGAAGAAAGTTATGGAACATTGAAAGTAGATGGTGGCAGAGGCCGGGCATGATGACTCACACCTGTAATCCCAGCACTTTGGGAGGCTGAGGTGGGCAGATCACCTGAGGTCAGGAGTTCGAGACCAGCCTGGCAAACATGGTGAAACCTCATCTCTACTAAAACTACAAAAAATTAGTCAGGCATGGTGGTGCACACCTGTAGTCCCAGATGCTAGGGAGGCTGAGGTACAGGAATTGCTTGAACCCAGGAGGCAAAGGCTGCAGTGAGCCAAGATTGTATCGCTTCACTCCAGCCTGGGCAACAGAGCGAGACTTGGTCTCAAAAAATAAAAATAAATAAAGTCAATAAGGGCCAGGTGTGGTGGCTCATGCCTGTAATCCCAGCACTTTGGGAGGCCGAGGTGGGTGGATCACCTGAAGTCAGGAGTTTGAGATCAGCCTGGCCAATGCGGTGAAATCCCGTCTCTACTAAAAATACAAAAATTAGCCAGGTGTGGTGGCAGGTGCCTGTTGTCTGTGAGTCCCAGTTACTTGGGAGGCTGAAGCAGGAGAATCACTTGAACCTGGGAGGCGGAGGTTGCAGCGAGCCAAGATCACACCACTACACTCTAGCCTGGGTGACAAGAGCAAAACTCCATCTCAAAAAAAAAAAGTAGATGTCAGTAAAGAGTACTGGCTTCCTTAAAGAGCTATCTCACTGAAAACAACTATAAATGCTAGATAAAATATATCAAAATACTTGTAAAAAGACATCATGGAGCTGCAAAGAGAGTAAAGAATATGTGGATGTGGGCGGAGAATTACTCAAGTGCCAAGGCAAGAGGCTGAAGGCACAAATTGTTTCAGTATAATAAAAAAAGTTAAAATAAAAATGGTTATGATACAAATTAGATATAGAGATGATCATGGACATTATCAATCATTAGTACAAAGATTATTAATCGTTAGCTTTTAATATTACTCTTTGTTGTATTACTAATATAACCAAAAAATAACCAGCAGGTATAGAGTCAGGTGCTGAAGGGACATTGTAAGAAGTAACCAAGAAAGCAAGAGGTGAGCCCTCTGTTACGCCCACATAAGGGCCGCTTGAGGGCTCCTTGGTCAAGCGGTAATGCTAGTGCCTGGGAAGGCACCCGTTACTTAGTAGACCGTGAAAGGGAGTCTCCTTTCCTTGGAGGAGTCAGGAAACACTCTGCTCCACCAGCTTCTTGTGGGAGGTTGGATATTATCCAGGCCTGCCCACAGTCATCCAGAGGCTTAAACCCCTCCCTGTGGTGCTGTGCTTCAGTGGTCACGCTCCTTGTCCACTTTCATGCTCCTCCCATACTCCTGGTTCCTCTTTAAAGTTCTTAGAAGGTAGCGGTAGAAAAAATAGTGAAAGTCTTAAGTGCATAGAAGAAAACACTGACGTATGCTGCCTTCCCTCTCTGCTTCAGCTACCTATAAGGGAAGGGTCCCCTGTCCTATAACCACGTGACTTACTTGACCTTATCAATCACTTGGACGACTCACCCTCCTTACCCTGCCCCCTTGTCTTGTATACAATAAATATCAGTGCACCCAGCCATTCAAGGCCACTACGTCTCCACGTCTTGGTGGTAGTGGTCCCCCAGGCCCAGCTGCTTTCTCTTTATCTCTTTGTCTTGTGTCTTTCTTACGATCTCTCGTCTCTGCACATGGGGAAAATACCCGCTAAGCCCCGTAGGGCTAGACCCTACATGTGGAGATCAAAAAAAAAAAAATTTTTTTTTTTGAGACGGAGTCTTGCTCTGTTACCCAGGCTGGAGTGTAGTGGCACAATCTCAGCTTGCTGCAACCTCCACCTCCCGGGTTCAAGCGATTCTCCTATCTCAGCCTCTGGAGTAACTGGGACTACAGGCATGCGCCATCATGCTCGGCTAATTTTGTATTTTTAGTAGAAACGGGGTTTCACCATGTTGGTCAGGCTGGTCTCGAACTCCTGACCTCAGGTGATCCACCTGCCTTGACTTCCCAAAGGGCTGGGATTACAGGTGTGAGCCACCACACCCGGTGGAGATCAAAATTAATCCAGAGATGTGAGCTAATTCTTTTTTTTTTTTTTTTTTTTGAGGCAGAGTTTTGCTCTTGTTGCCCAGGCTGGAGTGCAATGCCACGATCTTGGCTCACCGCAACCTCTGCCTCCCAGGTTCAAGCGATTCTTCTGCCTCAGCCTCCTGAGTAGCTGGGATTACAGGCACGCGCCACTGTGCCTGGCTAATTTTGTAGTTTTAGTAGAGACGGGGTTTCTCCATGTTGGTCAGGCTGGTCTCAAGCTCCTGACCTCAGGTGATCCATCCGCCTCAGCCTCCCAAAGCACTGGGATTACAGGCGTGAGCCACTGCGCCCGGCCAATGTGAACTAATTCTAAAACTGACTTTGTTGTGGGGCTGGGAGGTCTCTTGAACTCTTGTAACCTTGAGTTTCATTTTAACGGCACTGGAGAGAGGAGACAAGAAGGCAGACAGAAGCCAAAATCTGAGGCTTCCAAAGGGTGGAGTCTACTGAGCCCATCTTCAGTGTAAAAGTATGCTGTGGTCTGAATGTCTGTGTTCCTCGCTGTGGTGTTACGATATTTGTTGGTTTTCATCCGCGTTCCTGGCTCATAACTCCCACAGCCCTTGTTCTGGTCTTTCGTTATAATGTTGGGTGTGTTGGGCCTCAGGGGCAAGCCTCCGACCTTCTCCTGCCCACCTTCCACTCGAATGTCTCCCTACCTTTCTGATTGTGGGTCTTAAGACCTTCCAAAGAGAGGGTCCTGCACTGTACCGTGGGGGAAGGAATACTGTTGTCATGAAGCTTCCAAAAAAACCCCAAAAAGGCCCAGCAGCCCTGGAGTCAAAGCTGGTTCCCGGCCCAGTCCCATCCTGAAGCAGCCTGCCTCCCCTTTCCTTTCAACATGACAGATGCTGCCGTGTCCTTTGCCAAGGACTTCCTGGCAGGTGGAGTGACCACAGCCATCTCCAAGATGGCGGTAGTGCCCATCAAGCTTTTAAAATTTATTTTTGTTATTTTATTTTATTTATTTATTTATTTTTGCTCACTGTAACCTCTGCCTCCCAGGTTCAAGCCATTCTCCTGCCTCAGCCTCCCAAGTAGCTGGCATTACAGATGTGCACCACCATGCCAGCTAATTTTTGTATTTTTAGTAGAGACAGGGTTTCACCATGTTGGCCAGGCTGGTCTCAAACTCCTGATCTCAGGTGATCCACCTCCCTGGACCTCCCAATGTGCTGGGATTACAGGCGTGAGTCACTGCTTACCACCTGACTTCTTAATGATGACAATGAGAGCTGGAAAACAATGGAATAATAGTCTCAGCTGGGCGTGGTGGCTCATACTGTAATTTCAGCACCTTGGCAGGCTGAGGTATCGGATCACTTTAGGTCAGGAGTTCCAGACCAGCCTGGCGAACACTGTGAAACCCTGTCTCTACTAAAAATACAAAAATTAGGCCAGGCACGGTGGCTCACACCTGTAATCCCAGCACTTTGGGAGGCCGAGGCGGGTGGATCATGAGGTCAGGAGATCGAGGCTATCCTGGCTAACACGGTGAAACCTTGTTTCTACTAAAAATACAAAAAATCAGCCAGTCGTGGTGGCGGGTGCCTGTAGTCCCAGCTACTTGGGAGGCTGAGGCAGGAGAATGGCGTGAACCCAGGAGGTGGAGCTTGCAGTGAGCCAAGATCAGGCCACTGCATTCCAGCCTTGGTGACAGAGTGAGACTCTGTCTCAAAACAAAACAAAACAAAAATTAGCCGGGCATGGTGGCACACATCTGTAATACCAGCTACTCGGGAGGCTGAGGCAGGATAATCGCTTGAATCCTGGAGGTGGAGGTTGCAGTGAGCCAAGATCGTGCCACTGTACTCCAGCCTGGGGAACAAGAGGGAAACTCTGTCTCAAAAAAAAAAAAAAGAAAAAAAGAAACATTTGAAGAACACAGTGATATATTTTAAAAAGAGCATTGGCCTGGCGCAATGGCTTATGCCTGTAATCTTAGTGCTTTGGGAGGCCGAGGTGGGCAGATCACCTGAGGTCAGGAGTTCGAGACCAGCCTGCCGAAGATGATGAAACCGCATGTCTAATAAAAATACAAAAATTAGTTGGGCACCTGTAATCCCAGCTACTCGGGAGACTGGGCAGGATAATTGCTTGAACCTAGGTAGTAGAGGTTGTAGTGAGCCAAGCATGCTACTGAATTCTAGCCTGGGTGACAGAGTGAGACTGTCTACAAAAAAAAAAAAAAAAAAAAAGATCATTGCACCCAATTATTACATAAGACACACTTTTATCCCCCGCAAACACATGTGGAATATTGACCACAGGACAACTGGCCACAAACTAGGTCACAGAGCAAATCTCAAAGATTTTTTTTCTAGATTTGATATTGTACATGTTATGTTCTCTTACTACAATGTAACTTTTTTAGATTTATATTTTTTATTTCTGTATTTTTGTTTTGTTTTTATAGAAACAGGGTCTCACTGTGTTGCTCAGGCTGGTCTCGAACTTCTTAGGGTTATACCCTAGAGAAACTTCTGCATAATGAAAGATACACACAAATGTGTTTTTTGTTGTTGTTGTTTTGAGATGAGGTCTTACTCTGTCATCCAGGCTTGAGTGCAGTGGCTCAATCACTGCTCACAGCAGCCTCAATCTCCCAGGCTCAAACGATCCTCATGCCTCAGTCATGAGTAGCTGGGACCACAGGTGCACACCACCACGCGAGGCTAATTTTTGTATTTTTTGTAGAGGCAAAGTTTCACCATGTTGCCTAGGCTGGTCTTGAACTCCTGGGCTCAAGTGATCCTGCCTTGGCCTCCTAAATTGCTGCGATTACAGTTGTGAGCCACTGCATCCAGCCACAAATGTTGAAAGAGCTCTATGCATGAAAGTTTAACTCTAGAAATCACCCATATATCTCCTGGCAGAAGAATGTATACTATGTATATTCTATACATGACAATGAACTATAGCTACATGTAACATGTGTGTCTCTTAAAACATGTTGACTGAAAAAGAAGCAGATCCCTGGAGACCATCTACACAGTAACATACAATTGTTGTAAATCTCAAAAACATCAAAAATTTGTTTGTAGGAAAGCACTTAATGATTTTTATATGAAAAAGAAAAAGCTGGCTGGGCACAGTGGCTCACGCCTGTAATCCCAGCACTTTGGGAGGCTGAGGTGGGCGGATCACTTGAGGTCAGGAGTTCAAGACCATCCTGGCCAACATGGTGAAACCCTGTCTCTACTAAAAAATTAGCTGGGTATGGTGGCAGACACCTGTAATCCCAGCTACTCAGGAGGCTGAGGCAGGAGAATCGCTTGAACCTGGGAGGTGGAGGTTTCAGTGAGCCGAGATCGCGCCATTGCACTCCAGCCTGGGCAACAAGAGCCAAACTCGGTCTCAAAAAAAAAAAAAAAAAAAAAAGGAAAAGAAAAAAAAAGAAAACGCTAAGGTGTTCAGATTACTGGTGACCTCTTGAGTGGGAGGGAGAGTGCATTAGTCAGCTCTGGCTGCTATGACAGAATTCCATAGACTGGGCAGCTCGAGCAACAGGCATTTACTTTCTCACAGTTCTGGAGACTAAAGTCCAAGATGAAGGTGCCAGCAGGGTTGGTTTCTGGTAAGGCCTCTCTCCCTGGCTTGCAGATGGGTCTTCTCACTGTGTCCTCACATGGCCTTTCCTCAGTACTGGCTTGGGGAGAGCTCTAGTCTCTTCCTTTCCTTTTATTTTTATTTTTATTTTGAGACAGGGTCTTGCTCTGTCACTCAGGCTGGAGTGCAGTGGCAAAGTCTCAGCTAACTGCAACCTCCATCTCCCAGGCTCAAGCAATCCTCCCATATCAGCTTCCCAAGTAGCTGGGACTACAGGCATTCGCCACCATGCCTGTCTAATTTTGTATTTTTTGTAGAGAGAGGGTTTTGCCATGTTGCCCAGGAAGGTCTCAAACTCCTGAGCTCAAGTAATCCCCCCGACCTCGGCCTCCCAAAGTGCTGGGATTACAGGTGTGAGCCACTGCACCTGGCCCCTTTTCTCTTTTTCTTTTCTCTTCTTTCTTTTCTTTTCTTTCTTTCTTTTATTTTTCTTTCTTTCTTTCCTTTTTCTTTCTTTCTTTCTCTCTCGCTCTCTCTTTCTTTCTCCTTCCTTCCCTCCCTCTTTCCCTTTCTTTCTTTCTCTCTTTCTCTTTCTTTTCTTTCTGTTTTTTTTTTTTTTGAGATGGAGTCTTGCTTTGTCGCCCCAGGCTGGAGTTCTGTGGTGCAATCTCAGCTCACTGCAACTTCCACCTCCCAGGTTCAAGCAATTCTCCTGTCTCAGGCTCCTGAGTAGCCGAGACTACAGGTGTGCACCACCATGCCCAGCTAGTTTTTTTGTATCTTTGGTAGAGACAGGGTTTCACCATGTTGGCCAGGCTGGTCTCGAACTCCTGACCTCAGGTGATCTATCCGCCTTGGTCTCCCAAAGTGCTAGGATTACAGGCGTGAGCCATCGTGCCCAGCCCCTCTCTTTCCTTCCTTCCTTCCTTCCTTCCTTCCTTCCTTCCTTCCTTCCTTCCTTCCTTCCTTCCTTCTTTCCCTCCCTCCCTCCCTCTCTCTCTTGCTTTCTTGCTTTTCTTTCTTTCTTTTTTTGTTTTGAGACAGTGTCTTGCTCTGTCACCCCAGGCTAGAGTGCAGTGGCGTAATCTCGGCTGATTGCAACCTCCGCCTCCCGGGTTCAAGCAATTCTCCCATCTCAGCCTCCTGAGTAGCTGGGACTACGGGCATGCGCCACCATGCCCAGCTAATTTTTTTGTATTTTTAGTATAGACAGGGTTTCACCATATTGGTCAGGCTGGCCTCGAACTCCTGACCTCAGGTGATCTGCCCGCCTCCGCCTCCCAAAGTGCTGGGATTACAGGTGTGAGCCATCCCGCCCAGCCTCTCTCTCTCTCTCTCTTTCCCTCCCTCCCTCCCTCCCTTCCTTCTCTCTCTCTCTCTTTCTTTCTTTCCAGGTTGGGGTGCAGTGGCATGATCTTGGCTCACTGCAACCTCCACCGCCTGGATTCAAGCAATTCTTGTGCTTCAGCCTCCCGAGTAGCTGGGATTACAGGCGCCTGCCACCACACTGGCTGATTTTTGTAATTTTTGTAGAGACGAGGTTTCACCATGTTGGCCAGGCTGATCTCGAACTCCTGACCTCATGCGATCCTCCCACCTTGGCCTCCCAAAGTGCTGGGATTACAGGAGTGGGCCACCACACCTGGCCAAGAAAAACGGTATAATTTCGTTATTATAATAGCATTAATGGTCATTTCTTTTTTTTCCCCCCAAATCCGAGAACTTTATTGGACAGAGCTCCGTGCAGGGCCAAGGGCCCGGTGGCGAGGGCAGCTCCATCCAGGAGGTCTCAGCAACAGGAGCCCACAAGGCCACACTCTAGCTAAGGTTATAGACAGCTGGGAGACCAGGGCCTCTCCGCAGACGCGGGAACAGGCCAGATCTTTATAAATAAACATCCAGTGAAGAGAAATGACAACTCTAAGTCATCCGAATACACAGAGCACTCTAGGGGGTGGGGCACCGGGGGCCTGGAGGGGCGATGAGTGGACCCAGATGTCCATGGCACGGGGCGGCGTGGGGGGTGGGGTGGGGGCAAGGCCAGGGCAACAGACAACCGGCACTAGGACGCTGCGCTGCGCATGTACAAGATCAACTACTGGGGGCCGCGGTCCCGTGCGTGTGTGTCAGGCTCTTCGTTCTGGAATGAGGAGGGGTGGTTTTTACATCATATTCGGTGGCTGGTGGGCTCGGAGAGGGGCTACTCTGTGGAGAGGATGAGGGCAACGACGAGACCGTACAGGCCGAGCACCTCGGGGAAGATGAGGATCAGGATCATGCCCATGAATAGTCGGGGCTGCTGGGCCGTGGCTCGCACACCGGCGTCCCCCAAGATGTCTATGGCAAAGCCGGCTGCCAGGCCGCTCAGGCCCACGCTCAGGCCGGCGCTAGCTGGAGGCAGCTCCTGTAGAGGCTGATGTCGTCATTCGGGGAGCTGGCGATGAGGACTGTCACCACCAGGCCATAGATGGCGATGATGCCAGCCGTGACCACCGGGATGATGGACTTCATGATCAGCTCCGGCCGCATGACAGACATGGCCGCGATGCCGGCACCGGTCTTGACCGTGCCATAGGCAGCGCGCGGGGCGCTGAAGACCATGGCGGCCGAGGCTGCCATGACGGCGAAAAACGAAGCATACTCGGGGCCGTTCTTGGACTCGGACATTGTCTGCGGGTGGGGAGGGGGCAAGCTCTGCGGCCGAGGCGGAGGCGAAGACCGGGGCGAGGCCGGGCCGGGCGCGAAGGCGAGCACGCAGGCGGCGGCGAAGACGATCAGCATTAATGGTATTTCTAAAGAAGAAAAGTGAACCATCCTTGGTTCCGCTAACCTCTTCTATTATCTCTATAATAGATGTCTCGCATCTAGACTCACATCCAACATGGTCCGGAAGCAGGAAGGAGCCCTCCCTTCTCTGACAGATTAATTACTGCTTCCTTTGCAGTCCACTTTTCTCTGCTTGTTCATCGCCATATCTTGCCTTGATTCGTACTTGAAAGGTTTGGCCAGAGACATTTCTGATGTGTCTGTTCTTTTTCTCTTACTTTTCTGGGTAATTTAACGTGCTGGGGATGCGAGCACGTTAAATTTCCATCCATTGAAGCCATTCTATTTAGGGCCACCAGGGGGCATCCACAGACTTGCTATGGGCTCAGCACCGCCCTCCTCGTCGTATTTACAACCTCAAGGTCATTTGAGGAGAAAGAGGTGCCTGACTAATCGGGTTACCCTTGTAGAGCTATTTTTAAATTTTTGTTTCTGGTTTCTACATTAAATCTTTCTTCCTCTTCTTCCCTCTGATTTTCTCTTGTCTGCACGTGTGCTTCTAAGAGGCTCTCTGTGATAGCGTCACAGTCATCTACATCCTATTTCCTGCAGGACAATTGTCTTCCAATTTTTATTTTACTTTTTGTAGGAGGTATGAGTCCTCTGGTTGTCTGAACATCCTCTTTTGGAAAAAGCAAAACAAAAGGAAACAACTTCAAAAGTGGCAGCAATTCTTTTCAATGTCCTTGATGATAAAGAGTTGAAATCCTTTCATAATCCAAAGCTATTATAAGCCAACACTGGCTGTTAGAAGAGTGATCACTTTGGGTAATATTGTTTTTGACCCAAAATGCTGTGTGACTATAGTATAACAAGAATGTTTCCCCATATGGCTCAGGACCTGGCTTTTGAAATCACTCCCATTTGGAGTCCAGACTTGAGCTGAGCAATGGAATAAGTGCTTTGTTTTCCAAGGTGATTGTTGGATGGGAAAACTCATGTCTTGTTGCTTAGTTCTTACACCTCCTCTGCCTGTGGAGACTATTCCTCTGATTTACATAATGATTTGGAGACCTTGAAGAGGAGTGTGTGGGTAGTGAGTCTAGTGTAGGGGAATCAATGCACATAAGGGAAGAAAGGAGATTCTGGATTAGAGTTTTGACCCACTTGCCACCAAGAGCTCACAGGCTTCATATTCTAATCATGAAACCCTTTTTGGTATTAGGTGGACAGGAATTTGATGACAAGATTGGTTTGTTCTTTTTTTTTTTTTTTGAGATGGAGTCTTGCTCTGTCGCCCAGGCTGGAGTACAGTGGTGTGATCTCAGCTCACTGCAACCTCTGCTTCCTGGGTTCAAGTGGTTCTTATGCCTCAGCCAGCCTCTGGGAGTATAGCTGGGGTTACAGGTGCCTGCCACCATGCCCAGCTATTTTTTTTTTTTTTGTATTTTTAGTAGAGATGGGGCTTCACCATGTTGGCCAGGCTTGTCTTGAACTCCTGACTTCAAGTGGTCCACTTGCCTTGGCCTCCCAAAGTGCTGGAATTACAGGCATGAACCACCACACATGGCCTTGGTTTGTTCTTAAAAGCCCTTGTACTTATGCACAGGCTGTTCTGAGAAGTAAGATTATTGGATCTTTGGGAATTTTAATGCATTTTAAATTTTAGGGTGGGTGAGGTGGCTCACACCTGTAATCTCAGCAATTTGGGAGGTTGAGGCAGAAGGATTGCTTGAGCCCAAGGAGTTTGAGACTAACCTAGGCAACACAGCAAGACTCCGTCGCTAAAATTTTTTTTTGAAAATTGTAATAGGTATAGCTAAATTGCCCTTCCAAAGGGCTGTAAAACTTTACACTCTAAAGAAAACAAACAACATTATTAAAAAGTGAGCATGCTGGGCATTGTGGCAGGTACCTGTAATCCCAGCTTCTCAGGAGGCTGAGGTGGGAGGATTGCTTGAGAATAGTAGTTGGAGACCAGCCTGGACAACATAGATAGATCCTGACTCAAAAAGAAATAAAAGCAGGCAAAAGTGCTGAACAGACACTTCACCAAAGAAGATATGCAGATGGCAAATAAGCACATGACACATGAAAAGATCAAATGTCATTAGGGCACTGCAAATTCAAACAAGATGCAGCTACACACCTATTACAGTGGTTAAAATCTGAAACACTGACAATATCAAATGTTGGCAAGGACATGAAGTAAAAATTGCTGGTAGGAATGCAAAATTGTACAGTCACTTTGCAAGACAGATTGGCAGTTTCTTACAAAGTTAAACATAGTCTTACTATGTAATCTAGCCATTGTGCTCCTAGATATTTACCCAGATGAATGGAAAATTTTTCAGCAAAAACCTGCACGTGGATGTTTATAGCAGTTTTATTCATAATTGTCAAAAACTGGAATCAACCAGGATATTCTCTGATAGGTGAAGGAATAAACCGTGGTACATCCATGTGATGAAACGTTATTCAGTGATAAGAAGAAATGAGCTATTAAGCCGTGAAAAGATACAGAGAATCATTAATCACATATATTGCTAAGGGAAAGAAGCCAGTCTGAAAAGGCTACATGTTGTATGATTCCAACTGTAAGATATTCTAGATAAGGCAAAACTATAGATCTAGACGGTGGTTGCCCAGGGCTGAGGAGTGAGGGAAGGAGGAATGAATAGGCAGAACATGGCAGGTTATTAGAGTAGTGGAAGTATTCTGTATGATACAATAATGATGAATACATGACATTATGCATTTGGCAAAAGTGACAGAATTATATGCACAAAGACTGAACCTTAATGTAAACTATAGACTTTAGTTAATAATAGTGCATCAATATTGGTTCATTAATTGTAACAAATGTACCACATTAATGCAAGATATTAATTAGAGGAGAAACTGGTTGGGGAGATGGAGAATAATGGGAACTCCCTGTATTTTCTGTTCAATTTTTTTGTAAACCTAAAACTACTGTAAGAAATAATCCATTAATTAATAATAATAATAAATGTACAGATTCACCAAGAGTGTACACTTCTACTTCCACTCTCTTTGTTGATGTATGGTGACAGAATTTTGACATACATTCAATTTGATGGATCGAGTTTGGTCTTTTTCTTTTTTTGAGACGTCATTTCACTCTTGTCACCCAGGCTGGAGTGCAATGGCGCAATCTTGGCTCACTGCAACCTCCACTTCCCGGGTTCAATTGATGCTCCTTCCTCAGCCTCACAAGTAACTGGGATTACAGGTGCCTGTCACCATACCCAGACAATTTTTGTATTTTTAGTAGAGACAGGGTTTCACCATGTTGGCCAGGCTGGTCTTGAATGCCTGACCTCAAGTGATCCACCCACCTTGGCCTTCCAAACTGCTGGGATTACAGGTGTGAACCACTGTGCCCGGCCAAGTTTGGTATTTTATTGTTGTTTGGATTTGCATTTTCCTGCTTATTACCCAAGTTGAGATCTTTTCCAGATTATTGGACTTTTCAAGTTTCCTAATTATGAATTGTCTGTTCCTGGTTTTTGCCTATTTTTCCAGTTGATTATTGGTCTTTTGATTGTGAATTTTTGTTTATTGTGAATTTGTGAGACTTAAAACATTTTTGCATATTAATTCTTTTTTTTTTTTTTCCAGACAGAGTCTCACTGTCACCCAGGCTGGAGTGCAATGTGGGGATCTCAGTTCAGTGCAACCTCCACCTCCTGGGCTCAAGCGATCCACCTGCCTTGGCCTCCCAAAGTACTGGGATTACAGGCATAAGCCACCATGCCTGGCCACTGTATATTACTTTTTAATTTTACAAGTTGCAAATGTTTTCTCACGATCTGTCACTTTCTTTCTTTCCTTCCTTCTTCTCTTCTTTTCTTTGTCTTTTTAAAATTTGAGACAGGGCCTCACTCTGTCACCCAGGCTGGAGTGCAGTGGCACGATCATGGCTCAGTGCAGCCTTGAACTCCCCAGGCTCAGGTGATCTTGCCACCTCAGCCTCCAGAGTAGCTGGGAGAACTACAGGTGCATGCCACCATACCCAGCTAATTTTTTTTTTTTTTTTTTTGTGTGTGTGTGTGTGTGTGTGGAGATGGGGTCTTCCTATGTAGCCCAGGCTGGTCTTGAACTCCTGGGCTCAAGTGATCCACCCAACTTGGTCTCCCAAAGTGCTGGGATTATAGGCGTGATCCACTGTGCCTGGCCCTGTCATTTCTTTTCTCAGAGAGGATAACAATTTATTTGTCCTACAGAAAGTTTTAAATGTTGAAGGAGATTGGCCTGGAAATATGCTTTTGGGGAGCAACACGGTCTGAGCCAGACATCCAGATACAGCCCATTCTTCTGGCCAGTCTTGCCCTTTGCTCCTGATTCTCCAAGCTGTACCCAGAGCTTTCTGGTTCAGCATGTACCTGGAGGCTGCTTTTGACCATGTTTTGAGAGTGGCATGGCTTTATCTAATGGGATGAACCTGGCTAAAGAGATTAGCAAAATGTCTTGTGGATCCCACTTTTAATCTGCAGCGTTCAGGCTGCCCCTTCTTGGCTGGGAAGGGCGCTGAAGAAACAACGCCCAGGACCAGGACTATCCCCTGCTCAAGCTGTGATTCCGAGACCCCTGCCACCACTACTGCATTCACGGGGATCCCAGGCTAGTGGGACTCGACATGGGTAGCCCCCAGGGCAGCTCCCTACAGCTTGGGCCATCTGCACTTTTCCCAAGGCCCTAAGTCTCCGCCTCTGGGCTCGTTAAGGTTTGGGGTGGGAGCTGTGCTGTGGGAAGCAACCCGGACTACACTTGGCAAGCATGGCGCTACTGAAAGTCAAGTTTGACCAGAAGAAGCGGGTCAAGTTGGCCCAAGGGCTCTGGCTCATGAACTGGTTCTCCGTGTTGGCTGGCATCATCATCTTCAGCCTAGGACTGTTCCTGAAGATTGAACTCCGAAAGAGGAGCGATGTGATGAATAATTCTGAGAGCCATTTTGTGCCCAACTCATTGATAGGGATGGGGGTGCTATCCTGTGTCTTCAACTCGCTGGCTGGGAAGATCTGCTACGACGCCCTGGACCCAGCCAAGTATGCCAGATGGAAGCCCTGGCTGAAGCCGTACCTGGCTATCTGTGTTCTCTTCAACATCATCCTCTTCCTTGTGGCTCTCTGCTGCTTTCTGCTTCGGGGCTCGCTGGAGAACACCCTGGGCCAAGGGCTCAAGAACGGCATGAAGTACTACCGGGACACAGACACCCCTGGCAGGTGTTTCATGAAGAAGACCATCGACATGCTGCAGATCGAGTTCAAATGCTGCGGCAACAACGGTTTTCGGGACTGGTTTGAGATTCAGTGGATCAGCAATCGCTACCTGGACTTTTCCTCCAAAGAAGTCAAAGAGTGAGTGGCTTCCAGTCCTGGGGTCAGAGCTATGAATATATTGGGGACACTGAGGCTCAGGCCTCTGACCAGCCCCTCTCCCCGCACCCAGTGCCTTTTCCTCTCCATCGGGTGCACAACTTATTGCTGCGTATGTGAGGGTGTATCAGGTGGAACCATATGAAATTGCTAATATTCTACCTCTTTGACCCATAAAAAATGACAACTTCATAGGGTTCAACCTAACATTGGCTAAGGTGGTAGGAAGGTATCAATTTATATAAGCTGTTTGGATAGGAGCCCCTTGGGATGAAGAGCCAGGCAGCAATGTGTGTCCACTTTATACAGAGGGATGGAAGTCATTCATAGATCACAAACACTGAGGTACTATTTGGCTATTTGTCCCATTCATTCAAAGTAGATGGATTCAGTCCCAGAAGTTTAAATTTCCTAGTTAGTTCCCTTGTTTTCCAACCTTTCAACCCTGAGCATCCATTCCCAAGATGTTTGTCTGGATATGTTGGAAAGAGCATAGGAAGGGGAAGTCATGAGATCTAGGGTGAAGTTTTGGTTCTGTTGTTCAAGGTCTTGTGACCTTGGGCAGGTCACTAGTCACTCTGCGCTTTGGCTTGCCCATCTTTTAAATGAGCACTGGAATAGAATAGGTAATTTTGGAAGTCACCTCCTAGCCCTGCCTGGTAGCTGGCATGCAGCAGGTACTCATTAAATGCTTGCTGGTGTTTACTTAGCGAGTCATGATAGTGCAATGTGATAAAGCATTTCTAAAGTATTCTTGGCATATGTAAAAGTAAAATGCTGCGATGGGCTGTGGGAGGTGCTGGTGAGAGAGAGACTCTCGACCACTGTGTCGGAGGGAACAGCCTGTGCACTGGCTCCAGCGGGCTGCTCTTCCCAACACACCCACCAACCTGGGGCTCGAGTGACTTTTCAGGGAAAGGGCAGCCTGCCTTGAGGCAGCCGCTTTCCCTCACCTCTTCTTTCTGTCTGACTCGACCCTACCTGGCTGAGGTTAGGGGTTCAGTTATTCCTAAGGGTGGTTTTTTTTTCTTCCCAGTGAGGCTGGCAAGTCCAAAGGGAACTTGAACTCAGGGCATTGGCACCAGCAGCAGGACATGTTTGAAGCCCAAAACAACATTAATGACGCCCAAATAGCTAGCTTATATCTGCCCTGCAGATGGAAGGGACGTCCAAGTGAAGGTCACTTCTTGGGATTTTATTTTCTTGTGGATGGAGATTACTGCTGCAAATCCCCAGTCAGGAGAGGATTGTAAAGGGCTGTGCCCTTCCCAGGTGACAGGTCTGCAGGGGCAGCACAAGATGCCACGATTTACATAAATCTCCCGAGGAGGGCATGAAGCCAGGGGGACAAGCAGAATTCTGGGGAGTGGGAGAGGCCGATGGTAGAACCAGCCTCTGTGAGCAGAGGCTCACAGAGAAGGGGCTTTTCATCTTTTCCTCTATCATTTCCCTTGATTGTCTCCTGCATAGAGTCAGTTCTTGGACAGATGTATTCAAATCTCTCGGTAACTCCAAATCCCCTTTTGTATCAGAGTGAAGGAATTATCTAGGTCACTCCACTCTCAATGGTCAATGGATCCAAAATTTCAGGCAAATATTTAGCTGAATCAAAACTCCTTCAATGTCCCATACCAACTTGTTGGTGGGAAATTTTCCTAACTCCACTGACTTGGAAAAATTCTTCTATTACACGCACAAAAAATACAGCAGTAATATTAAAAGAAGCCAAAATAGGAAAACAAATTCAAGCTAGCTTCTCACCCATAACTTGATTAATGCCTTTAGTTTTTCTACATTTCAGTTTCAGTCTAGTCTTGTTAACATTTACATAATCATACAGTGTAATGATAGTATAAAGACAATTTAGGGCCGGGTGCGGTAGCTCACACCTGTAATCCCAGCACTTTGGGAGGCCGAGGCGGGCGGATCACCTGAGTTCAGGAGTTCGAGACCAGCCTGACCAACACGGAGAAACCCCGTCTCTACTAAAAATACAAAATTAGCCGGGCATGGTGATGCATGCCTGTAATCCCAGCTACTCAGGAGGCTGAGGCGGGAGAACGCTTGAACCAGGGAGGCAGAGATTGTGGTGAGCTGAGATCTCGCCATTGCACTCCAGCCTGGGCAACAAGAGCAAAACTCTGTCTCAAAAAAAAAAAAAAAAAAAAGACAATTTAGTGTTCCATTTTGTAATCTGATAGTATAACATTTGCATAATATCCACAATGATCATGTTTAATGGTTGCATAAGAAGTCCACTGAAGCCAGGTGCAGTGGCTCACGCCTGTAATCCCAACACTTTGGGAGGCCAAGGTAGGTGGATCACGAGGTCAGGAGTTCGAAACCAGCCTGACCAAAATAGTGAAACCTCATCTCTACTAAAAATACAGAAAATTAGCTGGGTGTGGTGGCATGCCTGTAATCTCAGCTACTCGGGAGGCTGAGGCAGGAGAATTGCTTGAACCAGAGAAGCAGGGAGGCGGGGGTTGCAGTGAGCCGAGATCTTGCCACTGTACTCCAGCCCGGGAGACAGTGTGAGACTCGATCTCAAAGAAAAAAAAAAAAAAAGGAAGTCCACTGAATGAAAGTACATGCTTAGGCAAGCATTCAGATTTTTATTTACCTCTATTATAAGTAACACTGGAATGGGCATCTTTGAGCATTTTGCTTCTCTCTGTCTCTGTCTTTTATTTCCCTTAGGCTAAATTTCCCTGAGAAAAATGGACCTTTGGCTTTAACTTTCCACAAAGTTTGTCTAAAGACACAATTAGGGCTGGGATCAGTGGCGCACGCCTATAATCCCAGCTCTTTGGGAGGCTGAGGTGGGAGGATCACTTGAGCTCAGGAGTTCAAGACCAGCCTGGGCAACATGATGAAACCCTGACTCTTAAAAAAAAAGCCCAAAACATAAAAACATTAGCCAGGAGTGGTGGCTTGCACCTGTGGTCCTAGCTACTCAGGAGGCTGAGGCAGGAGGATAATTTATTTGAGCCCAGGAGGCAGAGGTTGTAGTGAGCTAAGATCATGCCACTGCACTTCAGCCTAGGTGACAGAGTAAGACCCTATCTCAGAAAAAAAAAAAATATATGAATTAGCACACAAATTTCTTAGAACTGAAATGCTTTTATCCTTTTCAAAACCTCCAGTGACCTCATACTGCAGTGGGCTACGTGTTCTTCCAAGGGTGCAGTCTGATAGGGCCACCTTTGCAGAGAGACTTTCCCACAGACTTTTATTTTTATTTAATTAATTAATTAATAATTATTTTGAGGCAGGGTCTCACTCTATTGCCCAGGCTGGAGTGCAGTGGCACAATCTTGGCTCACTGCAACCATCACCTCCAGGGTTCAAGCTATTCTTATGCCTCAGCCTCCCAAGCAGCTGAGATTATATAGGTGTGTGGCACCATGCTGGGCTAATTTTTTTTTTTTTTTTTGAGACAGGGTCTCACTCTCTTGAGATGGTCTCACTCTCCAGGCTCACTGCAACTCCCACCTCCCAGGCTCAAGTGATTCTCCCACCTCAGCCTCCCGAGTACCTGGGACTACAGACGTGAGCCACCACATCTGGCTAATTTTCTGTATTTTTGGTAGAGACAGGGTTTCGCCATGTTGCCCTCAGGCTGGTCTCAAACTCCTGAGCTCAGATGATCCACCTGCCTTGACCTCCCAAAGTGCTGGGATTACAGGCATGAGCCACCGTGCCTGGCCTCTGGCTAATTTTTCTATTTTTAGTAGAGACGGGGTTTCACCACGTTGGCCAAGCTGGTCTTTAACTTCTGGGCTCAAGTGATGCTCCCGCCTCAACCTCCCAAAGTGCTGGGATTCCAAACATGAGCCACCGCGCCCAGTCCCACAGACTTTTACATGATCACTGAACAAGGCCTGCGAGGGAAGTGAGGCTCCTGGGATTATGTTCAGAAAGCTGCTCAGAGCTGGGTTGCCTGAGGACCAGTGCCTGAGACCAGAGCACAGCCCTTATCTGTTGGTAGAAGGAATGAAAGAAGGAATGAATGAGAGACTGTGGAATGGCATTTACTCCCACCTCCAAGGAAAACTAAAAAATTTTTTCTGTTCATGTTTTCATGGCTTCATTTTGGAGGGTTTAGTGAGTTTACATGACAAAGCTGGCTCTCCAAAACCCTTCCCTGAAAAATGTAAGTTATATTTATTTATTTTTTGAGATCACAAGCACTGAGAAATGGTAAGCATTTACCTTCTGGATTATCTCGGCAGCACCCCCCGGGCTAGGATTCTGATGGCAAAGAGGTGAGGCCGGCAAAAGGGCAGGGAGAGGGAGGTTATCATCCACCAAGATCCTTTTCTTTTTGTATTTGTTGCCCAGGCTGGAGTGCCATGGTGCGATCTCAGCTCACTGCATCCTCGCCCCCCTGGTTCAATTGATTCTCCTGTCTCAGCCTCCCAAGTAGCTGGTATTACATGTGCCCGCCACCATGTCCACCTATTTATTTTTTTTTGTATTTTTAGTAGAGACTGAGTTTCACCATGTTGGCCAGGCTGGTCTTGAACTCCTAACCTCAAGTGATCCACCTTCCTTGGCCTCCCAAAGTGCTGGGATTACAGGCATGAGCCACCGCTCCTGGCCACAAAATCTTTTTAAAAGAAATTCTTGGCCAGGTGCGGGCTCATGCTTGTAATCCTAGCACTTTGGGAGGCTGAGACAGGAGGATCCCTTGAGGCCAGGAGTTCAAGACCAGCCTGGGCAACACAATGAGACTTCACCTCTACCAAAAAAAAAAAAAAAAAAAAAAAAGAAAAGAAAGAAAGAAAAGAAAAGAAAAAAAGAAAAGAAAAAAGGCCCGGTGAGGTGGCTCATGCCTGTAATCCTAGCACTTTGGGAGGCTGAGGCGGGTGGATCACTTGAGGTCAGGAGTTTGAGAACAGCCTGACCAACTTGGTGAAACTCTGTCTCTACTGAAAATACAAAATTAACCAGGTGTAGTGGCACACACCTATAATCCCAGCTACTTGGGAGGCTGAGGCAGGAGAATTGCTTCAATCTGGGAGGCGGAGATTGCAGTGAGCTGAGATGGCACCATTCTACTACAGCCTGGGCAACAAGAGCGAAACTTCATCTCAAAAAAAAAAAAAAAAAAAAAAAAACCAACCAAACCAAACCAAACAAAAAAAATTAGCTAGGGCACAGTGGCATGCACCTGTGGTCCCTGCTACTTGGGAAGCTGAGGTGGGAGAATCCGTTGAGCCTGGGAGGTCAAGGCTGCAGTGAGCCAAGATTGTGCCACTGCACTCCAGCCTGGGTGACAGAGTGAGACCCTGCCTTAAAAAAAAGAAAAAAAATTCTTTTCTTAAAAAAAAAAAATAGAGATAGGGTCTTACTCTGTTGCTTAGGCTGGTCTTGAACTCCTGGTTTCAAGCAACCATCCCACCTCAGCCTCCAGAGTACCTGGGATTATAGGCACCCACCACCATGCCAGGCAGAATTCTCCTTTTTTTTGTTTCCCCTCTCCCCATCAAATTTGGATGAGCCAACAAAGAGGTTCGGGTGAGCCTCTTTCTCCTACTTGACCTGAGGACTGTGGGGAAGCGATCCCAGGAGAATGAGCTGGTCTGAGCATGGGTAGCCTGGAGAAAATCCACAGGGATCCTCCTCTGACACAGACTGGGCATGGGCGGTGTCTGGTGACAGTGATTTCCAGGCATTTCTGCAGGCTCTGTTCCTGGAATAACTTTCCATTCTGTGCAGTGGGCACTTCACCGGACTGGGCTAGAGAAAGTTGAGGTCCTCACTTTCTGGCATCTTCAGTCCAGTTCCTGAGAGGAGGAGCTGGGTGCTTGCATTCTGGCCTCCCTAGGACCTCCCCACTTGTGCCCCTCCTTGGGGCCCCCCAGAAACCTGAGGATAGAGTGCATTGCCTCAGTAAGCATGGAGGGGCGGGCAGGTTTTGGAGATTTCTCAGGGGAATCTTTAAGATCCAGGACTGGCTCCTGAAGATTCCTGATCTAATGAATAAGATCAGGCAGAAACAATTCCATATTTTTATGGGAATTTACAAGAGTTTTTTGTTTTGTTTTGTTTTGTTTTTTGAAATGGAGTCTCACTCTGTCACCCAGGCTGAAGTGCAGTGGCACGATCTCAGCTTGCTGCAACCTCCACCTCCTGGGTTCAAGAGATTCTCCTGCCTCAGCCACCCAAGTAGCTGGGATTACAGGCGTGCACCTCCACACCTGGCTAATTTTTGTATTTTTAGTAGAGACGGGGTTTCACCATGTTGGTCAGGCTGGCCTCGAACTTCTGACCTCAAGTGATCCGCCTGCCTCGGCCTCCCAAATTGCTGGGATTACAGGTGTGAGCCACTGCACCTGAGTTTTGGCTGCTCTGTCTTAGGGGAGTAGCCCAGTGACTGCACCCCATCCCCAACCTGCCTATGACCGTGTTGCCAAGTCATTTGGGAGGGGGAAATGACCCACATTTATCCTGCACAAAACTCCTCCTGGGAAGTTTTTGTCTTAATCTTTTTTAGTTTTTGTTTGTTTGTTTGTTTTTTTGAGACAGAGTCTTGCCCCGTCACCCAGGCTGGAGTGCAGTGGCACGATCTCGACTCACTGCAACCTCCGCCTCCCGGGTTCAAGCGATTCTCCTGCCTCAACTTCCTGAGTAGCTGGGATTACAGACATGTGCCAGCACGCCTGGCTAATTTTTGTATTTTTAGTGAAGATGGGGTTTCACCATTTGGTCAGGCTGCTCTCGAACTCCTGACCTCAAGTGATCCACCCACCTCAGCCCCAAAGTGCTGGGATTATAGGCGTGAGCCACTGCACCCAGCTGGTATTATTAGCTCCATTTTATATATGAGAAATCTGAGGCCCAAGAGGTTAAGGGACATGTCTAAGATCACACAATAGGAAGTGGGGGAGACAAAAAAAGAAAATCAGCTTCGGCCACATGTGGTGGCTCACACCTGTAATCCCAGCACTTTGGGAGGTTGAAGTGGATGGATCACTTGAGCCCAGGGGTTCGATACCAGCATGGGCAACATAGTGAAACCCCATCTCTACAAAAAAATACAAAAATTAGCTAGGTGTGGTGGTGTGTGCCTATAGTCTCAGCTACTTGGGAGGCTAAGGTGGGAGGATCACCTGAGCCCAAGAAATTGAGGCAGCAGTGAGCTGAGATTGCACCACTGCACTCCAGCCTGGGCAGCAGAGTGAGACCCTGTCTCAAACAAAAAGAAAAAACAGCTTTATTGAGATATAATTCACTCACTATACAATGTACCCATTAAAAGTATGCAATTCAATGGTTTTTAGTATATTCACAGTCGGACAACCAGCATTACAATCAATTTTAGAACATTTTCATCACTTCTAAGGGAAACCTTACACCATTTAGCTTTCACTCCCTAGCCTTCCCTCCCCCTAGCCCTAAGTAACCACTCGTTTACTTTCTGTATCTATAGATTTCCCTGTTCTGGACATTTCATATGAATGAGTCATATAACATTTGTCCTTTTGTGTCTGCCTTCTTTCACTTAGCATAGTGTTTTCAAAATTAATCCATGTTGTAGCGTATATCAGAACTTAATTCCTTTATATGGTGAAATAATATTCCATTATATGGCATGTCAGATTTTAATTCTGCTCTTTTCACCTTACTCTCCTGTTTCCCAGCGATGTTAAAGTACCTCTTGCATACATTCGGCATTAAATGAATGTTTGCTCACTGAGTGACAGAAACCTCAAATTATCCAGGCTGCTTGGGGTACGGGAAGTCTTGCTTTTCTCCCTCTTCTCCCTGTCTTTCCCTGTCTTTTTTTTTTTTTTTTTTTTTTTTTTTTGAGATGGAGTCTTGCTCAGTCACCCAGGCTGGAGTGTAGTGGTGTGATCTTGGCTCACTGCAACCTTCGCCTCCCGGGTTCAAGCGATTCTCCTGCCTCAGCCTCCTGAGTAGCTGGGATTACAGACACCCACCATCACGCCCAGCTAATTTTTGTAATTTTCTAGAGACGGGGTTTCTCCATGTTGGCCAGGCTGGTCTCAAATTCCTGACCTCAGGTGATCTTCCTGCCTCGGCCTCCCAGAGTGCTGAGATTACAGGTGTGAGCCACCGCTCCCGGCCTTTCCCTGTCTTCTTCTTCTCCATTTCCTCTCCAAGAAGGACAGGGAAAGGGGTGGGCAGAGATGATGCAGGGTTGGAAAACATGGATGGATTAGGTTCGGATTCCAGTGCTTCTGTGCCAACGTCTCAGATAATAACGAGGTGGCCCCACAGAAACTAGAAACACCATTCCGGGCTCTGCGGCGCCTGTGGTAAATGGGGCTGTCACTGGGCTTCAACCTCCCACATCTCCCTCCCCTGGCCTGGTGGTCCTGGGTGGGCCAGGAAGAGGGGGACACACTTCCTGCTACACTTGGAGGAGGCTCTCAGAGGGAGGAGCCAAGTCCAGGAATGCTGTCTCCCTCACTGACTCTGTCTTTTCAGAGCAAGGTATCAGTGAAAGAGATTTGTAGTTCTTTCTCTTTTTTTTTTTTTGAGATGGAGTTTCACTCTGTCGTCCAGGCTGGAGTGCAGTGGCACCATGTCGGCTCACTGCAACCTCTGTCTCCAGGGTTCAAGCAATTCTCCTGCCTCAGCCTCCCAAGTAGCTGGGATTACAGGTGCCCACCATCATACCTGGCTAATTTTTATATTTTTAGTAGAGACAGGGTTTCACCATGTTGGCCAGGCTGGTCTCGAACTCCTGACCTCAGGTGATCCACCCACCTTGGCCTCCCAAAGTGCTGGGATTACAGGCATGAGCCACTGTGCCAGGCCTGTAGTTCTCAACTGATGCTCTTTTATCTTATTTTATTGCATTTCCGACTTCTATTATAGAAAAAACTCAAGCTTTCACAAAATTAGAGAGTTCATTATAATTAATTCTCATGTAGCCATCACCTAGCCAGGTGTGGTGGCAACACACCTGTAACTCCAGCTACTTGGAGGCTGAGGTGGGAGGATCACTTGAGCACAAGGTCTCTAAAAAAAAAAGGAAAAAACAGGCTGGGCACAGTGGCTCATGCCTGTAATCCCAGCACTTTGGGAAGCTGAGGCGGGTGGATCACCTGAGGTCAGGAGTTCAAGACCAGCCTGGCCAACATGGTGAAACCCCGTCCCTATCACCTAGCCATCACCTAGGAACAAATATCAATATTTTGCCTGTTTCATCTATACTACCCTCCCCCAAACACATTTTCCCCTTCTGAATATCCTAAAGCAAATCCTGGACATACTTTCCTTTTACCTGTAAATACTTTAATAGGCATCTCCAACAGATAAAGAGGCTTTAGTTGTTTTTTGCCCTTTTGTTTCTGCTGAACATAAGCACAAGACCAGTCATAGTCAACAGATTTAATGGCAATATCAATCAATACCCAGTCTATGTTCAGTTTTCCCTGATAGTCTCGGAATGCTTTTTACAGTTGGTCAATTCAGGATCCAAACCAAGTCCATGCTTTGCATTTGGTTGTTTGGTTTCCTGTCTGTTTTACTAGAAAACTGTCCCCTTTTTCATACCATATGTGTGAGAGAAACTGGGCCACGTGTCCTGCAGAATCCCCCATAGTTTGGAGTTGGGCAATTGCAGCCAAATGGTGTTGTCTAACTTGTTCTTCTGTCCCCTGTATTTCCTCATAAACCAGTAGTCTGGGTCGAGGTATGGTTGGATCAGGCTCAGTTGTGGCAAGAACATTTCCTACAGTGCCGCTCTGTGTATCTTACCGTAGCACATGAGGAAGGACATGAGGTCTTCAGTCAGTTTACAACACTTCTTTTAAAGGTTGCAGGATGAGCAGAGCTGCAGTGTCTTGGGGTGAGAGGTAGAACATGCGGGAGCTCAGACATTTTGGAACCAGGAACTACCAGCCAGGAAGGCCCAGCCTGGGGTCCCCAGTCTGAGGGAGAAGCTGGCACCAAGCTCTTGCTCTTCACCATTCTTCCCAGGGAACCCACAGACTACAGGTACCTGCTTGCTCTTCTTAAACAATTCGTAGACATCTCAAGGAGAAGATTAGAACTTGACTCTATGGGGTTTCTCCCCTCTCAGACGGGAACTCTTTGAAGAGAGCTGTGTCTCCCCTTCAAATTGGGGCTTCCTGAGGGCTGGGCTATGTCTCCCCTCAGACCAGGGCTCCCTGAGGATGGGGCTGTGTCCCCCTCAGACCGGGGCTCCCTGAGGATGGGGCTGTGTTTCCCTCAAACTAGGGTCCCCTGAAGACAGGGCTGCATCTCCCCTCAGACTGGGGCTCCCTGAGGACAGGGCTGCATTCCCCCCTCAGACTGGGGCTGCCTGAGGACGGGGCTGTGTCTCCTCCTCATGTCACCCCTCACCGTCTAGTACCTCACACTCAGTGACTTATTTTCTTACTTCACTGTGAGCTGCTATAACAGAATACCTGAGTCTGGATAATTGATAAAGAGTAGAGATTTATTTCTTACTGTTCTGGAGGCTGGGAAGTCCAAGGTGGAGGGGCCCGCATCTGCTGAGGGGCCCGATTTCATCCTTTTCCTCAGGAACCCACTCCCATGATAATGGCATTAATCTACTCATGAGGGCAGAGCGCTTGTAATCCAGTCACCTCTCAAAGGTCCCATCTCTCACCACTGTCATGCTGGGCCTCACGTTTCCAACACAGGAACTTTGGGGGACACATTCAAACCACAGCACTACACAAAAAAGCAATCATCAAAGCATACTAAGCACATAGTGTGTACCAAATGCTCCACGTGTATGATCCCATTTAATTTCCACCATCCCCTGTCGAGTGTTTAAAATGTCATTTCTTAGATGAGAAAACTCAGGCTCAGAGAGGTTAGGCCAGTTCTCAAGGTCTCACAGGTGTCCCTCAGCCAGCGTTCTGCTTGGCATGACCCACTGTCAGGTATACCCCTGCTCATTGCCCTATGGCTGGCTTTACTAATTTGATTCACTTACTAAATTATGTTGGTTTTTCTGGAAAAACTCAGACGTGATCATTTTCCCAGGCTCTTTGTGCCTTGCTTATGGGAGAGTGGCCTAGAACATAGTTCTTATCTTAATCAAGACCCTTTCAAACCCTAGTGACTCCTCCTCCACCGCCCCCGGCCCCTTCCGCGCAGAGTGAAATTCGTAGCCTGGGAAACACGCTGTGATATAAATAGCCGGCTCACCACTAAGGCGCTCTCCTCTGCCTGGCTTTGTCTTAAGAGGGTGAGAGGAGCCTTAATCTGTGGTTGGAATGAGGGCAAGCACTGAGTAAACAAGATGATGTTTGGAGTGGGGGAGGGATAGCTCCAGAAGTGAGAGACCCCAGGAGTTCCCAGGCTGGTGACCCAGGCAGGTCCCAACGTTCACCAAGCTTGGCCTTTTCCCCCAGGCTGACCTGGATGTTGCCCCTGGGAATACACTGGGAAGTTCCCAGTATGAGGGAGACGCAGCCCTGTCTTTAGGAAGCCCCAGTTTGAGGGGAGACAGCCCCATCTTCAGGGGGCCCCAGTCTGAGGGGAGACACAGCCCCGTCCTCAGGGAACCCCAGTCTGATGGGGAGACACAGCCCCGTCTTCAGGGAGCCCCAGTCTGAGGGGGAGACACAGCCCTGACTCAGGGAGCCCCAGTGTGAGGGGAGACAGCCTGGTGGAGACCATTAGGGTGACTTGTCTGGGGGCTCAGGGAGGCGAGGTGGGGAGACGGGGAATGTCCGCAAGCCCAGCCTGCAGACTGAGGGTGGCTCAGAGCCTCTGCTGGCCTCAGCCCACACAGTTTTAGGCCTGACCCTCACATCACAGACACCTTAGTGTGCATGAGGCGGGTGTGCAAGGTTTGCTCCACCTTAGGGCCACCTGGTAGGTACCTGAGGGTAGGTGGTGGTGGCTAGGAAAGGACTCCTGGGACAGGGAAGAGGGGAGAAAACACACAGTTTTCCAGGAAATTTAACTTCCAGGCCTGGAAACACCTGGCTGGAAAGGGCCTTGGCCACCAGTGACCTGTAAGGGGGAGATGAGGTTGGTGAGGGAGCTGGGGTGTCACCAATGGCAGCCAGATGCTCGTCCATCAACGGCTCCCATCCTGCTGCTCCTCCTACCCTCCAGGCATGACCCCAAGGAAGGGCCTGGCCCCACAGAGTGGTTGGGTGAATTTCTATATTCCCTATTGACTTGGTCTTGGATTACCATCTACCTCAACCCTCTAGGCCATAAGATCGAGGAAGGCAGGGGCATTTATTCACTGCTCTGTCTTCAGCGCCTAGAATAGCAGCTGGCAGGTAGCAGGTGCACAGCAAATATTTATCAAGTGAGTGAATGAATGAAAGGTCAAGTCAGGAGGGACAAGGGAGGTGGGGAACTCCAATGGGACCAGTGGGCAACTGCTGTGGGCTGGACCCAAGTTTTTTTTTTTTTTTTTTTTTAATTTGAGACAGAGTCTCACTCTGTTGCCCAGGCTGGAGTGCAATGGCATGATCTCAGCTCACTGCAATCTCCACCTCCCTGGTTCAAGTGATTCTTCTGCCTCAGCCTCCCCAGTAGCTAGGATTACAGGCGCCCGCCACCACGCCCGGCTAATTTTTTGTATTTTTAGTAGAGACGGGGTTTCACCACGTTGGCCAGGATGGTCTCGAACTCCTGACCTCATGATCTGCCCACCTCAGCCTCCCAAAGTGCTAGGATTACAGGCGTGAGCCACCGCGCCCGGCTGGACCCCGACTTCTTGTGTGGCTTTGGGCGAGGCCTTGCCCTCCTCTGGGCCCCACTTGCTCCTCTGTAGGACAATCCGATGGTTTTCCAGGTCTTATCCAATGGCTCTAAGCGGAAGGAGGGACAACATTTTCTGAGGCCTCCAGCATGTCCAGCCTGTGTCAAATGCGTGACTCGAATTGTCTCATTTATATCCCCCATAACCCCTGAGAGGCAGCTGCTATCACTCCCAGCTCACGCAGGTCCACAGAGTTTAAGCTCCATGGCTCCCAAATACATATTTAGGACTCAGTGGTGTGCTTTCAATCACCCCCACCCTGTCCACAGGACACTGGCAATGGCTCAGCTGGGACACTGTACTGAGGGGAAGGCTCCAGGGACAGCCTGTAGGTCAGGAGGTGGGACAGACAGCATTTGGGTTGGGAGGCCCCTAGCCTTGAGGAGGACACTTTGGGGAAGGTCTTGGGGGAAGAAGGGAGAGACCACTGCAGAGATGCCATCTGCTCAGTGTGTCCAGGGCTACTGGCCCCTCCAGAGGGCCAGTAGAGGGGAGCGGGAGGCCCGAGCTGAAGGCCCCCCTCACACTGCTCCAGCTTGTCTTCCCACCCCTGCCCCACTTCCGTCACCAACAGCCCGGTGCCCAGAGAGGGGCTGCAGAAGGACAGCTGAGCAAGACACAGTTTCTGCCTTCCCCACGCACATGGCTGGAGTGGGGCTTTGAGTGGTGGGCAGGCAGTGCCAGCGGGCAGGTGCTCCGTGTCAGGCCCACCATGGAGGGTGGCCCGCACGATCCTGCCCTCAAGGAGCTGACAGCTTCTTTGCCACAGCTGGTAGAACCTGCACGGCCAACTCCCCAGGGAGGGCTCTCCCATGATATGATATGGCGTGGTGGGCTCTGTTCTTACAACCTGATGTCAGCTCCCAGGTGCTCAGAGTACCACCCCTGATGGCTCTTGCTCGGCCACCTGCCCAGTGAGGTGGCTTTTGCTCACAGCGCATGGCTACTATGTATTAATACCAGCACTCTTCAAGCACTCTTACATGTATCACTTCATGTAATCCTTTGTTTCAAATATAAGGAAGCAGAGGCAGGGAGAGGTTAAGGAACTTGTCCAGAGGGATGGAGCTGGCATGTGGGCGAGCCAGGAGTAAACCCAGGCTGTCCGGCTCTTGTCACCGATCTGTGCTGCCCATGCCACCCAGGGCCATGTGGTCTCTGGGCAGTGTGTTCTGCCCACGAAGTAGAGGGCAGGGATTACAGGGCGTGTGGAAACATGGTTGCCATGACCCAGGCCACCTCATGCAGCCCTTCTAGAAAGTCTTAATCATAATAGGCGGAAGTCAACATGGTTCATGGAAATGGAACCACCAGTGGCCCTTGAGCACACCAAAAGACGCTCAACTTCACTCATAATGAGAAAAATGGAAATGAAAACAACTCTGAGATACTGTTTTTCAAAGATTAGGTTGGCAAAGATCAAAAGTCTGACCTGTGTGGATGTGGCTGTGGAGGACAGGTTCTCCTGAGCATGGCTGGTTGGGCTTTGTGAACCGCGCCCCCACCTCAGCCCCCAGCAGGAGAGACCAGAGGAGAAAAATGGCAGGTATCTGGCAAGATCACCCTTTGATGCAAGGATCCATCTTCAAGGAATTTACCTGCTCCATATAGTCACAATATGCAAAATGACTGATGTCCATGTTTGTATTAACGAGAGACTGGGAAAAACCCAAACTTCCATCAGTCTGGAACTGGCTAGGACCCATGTGCCATCCACGCAATGGGAATACCATGCAGCTCATTAACAAACAAAAATCCAGGACACTCCACAGACAGATACGAAAATATCTCAGCCGAGCGCAGTGGCTCATACCTGTAATCCCAGCACTTTGGGAGGCTGAGGCAGGTGGATCACTCGAGATCAGGAGTTCCAGAGCAGCCTGGCCAATATGACAAAACCCCATCTCTACTGAAAATACAAAAGTTAGCTGGGCATGGTGGCACACCACTGCACTCCAGCCTGGGTGACAGAGCAAGACTCCATCCCCCATCCATGCCAAAAAAAAAAAAAAAAAGATCTCCAAGATATTGCTAAGGGAAAAAAGAAAGGTTCAAGACAGTATGTATATAATGTTCTAATTTGCAGTAATAAAAAAAGAACAGGAAAAATGAAAACATGTTTGCTTGTCCATGCATGAAGCCTCTCTCTGGTGGAACTGGCCATAGCGGTCAGGACCTGGAGGCTGAGAGATGAGGAGTGAGAGGCATTTTATATTAAAGAGATTTTATTTAGAAGCAAAAGATGGACATCTTTTAAGAGATTCGTGACCAATTCAATGAACATTGTTTAAAATAATCTCTATTGGAAACAGTTATGCTTTCTATTATGTTCTAAAAGTCTATTATGTAACGCATTCTTCGCGTGCAATTTTTTTTTCTTTTTCCTTTCTTTCTTTTTTTTTTGTTTTTTGAGACAGAGTCTCACTGGCGTGATCTCGGCTCACTGCAACCTCTGCGTCTCGGGCTCAAGTGATTCTCGTGCCTCAGCCTCCCGAATAGCTGGGACTACAGGCATGCACCACAACGCCTGGCTAATTTTTTTGTATTTTTATTTTTATTTTTTTATTTTTTATTTTTATTTTTTTTGAGACAGAGTCTCACTGTGTCGCCCAGGCTGGAGTACAATGGCGTGATCTCGGCTCACTGCAAGCTCCGCCCCCTGGGTTCACGCCATTCTCCTGCCTCAGCCTCCCGAGTATCTGGGACTACAAGAGCCCGCCACAACGCCCAGCTAATTTTTTGTATATTTAGTAGAGACGGGGTTTCACCGTGTTAGCCAGGATGGTCTCGATCTCCTGACCTCGTGATCCACCCGCCTCAGCCTCCCAAAGTGCTGGGATTACAGGCTTGAGCCACCGTGCCCGGCCTGTATTTTTATTAATTGTAGAGATGAGGTTTCACCATGTTGCCCAGGCTGGTCTTGAACTCCTGACCTCAGGTCGTCTGCCCACCTGGGCCTCCCAAAGTGCTGAGATTACAGGTGTGAGCCACTGCACTTGGCCTACATGCAACTTTTTCTTTTTTTTTTTTTTGAGACGGGGTCTCACTGTATCGTACGGGCTGGAGTGCAGTGGTGTGATCTTGGCTCACTGCAACCTCTTCCTCCCGGGTTCAAGTGATTCTCGTGCCTCAGCCTCCCGAGTAGCTGGGACTACAGGCGCGTGCCACCACGCCCAGATAATTTTTGTATTTTTAGTAGAGACGGGGTTTCACCATATTGGCCAGGATGGTCTCGATCTCTTGACCTTGATGAAGATCTGCCCATCTTCGTCTCCCAAAGTGCTGGGATTACAGGCGTGAGCCACCGCGCCTGGCTGCAACTTTTTATTTAGATGACAAGCACCCAGTCAAGTGCACAAATATATATATATATATATATATATATATATATTTTTTTTTTTTTTTTTTTTTTTTTTAGAGAAAGTCTTGTTCTGTTGCCCAGGCTGAGAGCAGTGGTGTGATCATAGCTCACTGCTGCCTTGAACTCCTGGGCTCCCGCCTCGGCCTTACAAAGTGCTGGGATTACAGACATGAGCCACCATGCCCAGCCAAATGCACGGATCTTAAGTGTGCAGCTCAGGGAGTTTTGACCATAAAACACCTGGGTAATCACCCCCAGGCCAGGTAGAACATACCCAGCCTGCCTGAGGGGAAGGGGAGACTTTTCACTGTAAAGATCCCTTTTGAATTCTGAACCTGTGTGAATGTATGGTAAGCGCTAAACAAATACACACAAAAATATAGAAGTGCAGAAGATATGCTGGGAGCCCCGCCCATCAGCCTGGAGAACCTGCTTGCAGCTGTGTCCCTTAGGTGAGTCAGGAGCTCCCACCTGGCTGGGGGTGGAGTCCTCCGAGGGCAAGGACTGTGCCTGCCTCGGGTCTCCATCCCCTGCCTCTGCACAGGCCCTGGGACTGAGCAGGCCTTCTGGAAACACCTGGCTGGAAAGGGCCTTGGCCACCAGTGACCTGTAAGGGGGAGATGAGGTTGGTGAGGGAGCTGTGGGCATCACCAGTGGCAGCCAGATGCTTGTCCATCAACAGCTCCCATCCTGCTGCTCCTCCTACCCACCTATGCACCAGGCATGGCCCCAAGAAAGCGCCTGGCAGCACAGAGTGGTTGGGTGAATTTCTATACTCCCTATTGACTTGGGTCTTGGATTACCGTCTACCTCAAGGTCGAGGAAGGCAGGGGCATTTATTCATTTTTTTGTCTTCAGCGCCTAGAACAGTGACTGGCACGTAGCGGGCGCACAGCAAATATATACCAAGTGTGCGAGTGAATGACTATTCTAGGTTTCCAGAGGCAGGGGTTGGGAGGAAGTGGCCCCTGTTGAGAAGCCCGGGAAGCCCATCTCCAGCTGTCTGTTTCCCTTTAAGTCGAATCAAGAGCAACGTGGATGGGCGGTACCTGGTGGACGGCGTCCCTTTCAGCTGCTGCAATCCTAGCTCGCCACGGCCCTGCATCCAGTATCAGATCACCAACAACTCAGCACACTACAGTTACGACCACCAGACGGAGGAGCTCAACCTGTGGGTGCGTGGCTGCAGGGCTGCCCTGCTGAGCTACTACAGCAGCCTCATGAACTCCATGGGTGTCGTCACGCTCCTCATTTGGCTCTTCGAGGTAGGCCCTGGGCCAGCTGGGGGTAGAGGGTAAGGAGAGCCTCCGGTCCCATTTGGGTCTAATGGGGGCGGAGCCAGGCTTGGAGAGCATGCCTCCCTCTTTGGAAACAGCCTTCAGTGGAGCTGTGGGTCAGATCAGTCTGGGCTTGAACCCCACCCAGGGCCTCCACCTTTTGTATTTATTTATTTATTTATTTATTCATTTATTTCTTTTTTGGTTTCTTTCCCACCACTTAAATTTATTTTTTTTATTTTTTTTTTATTTTGAGGCTGAGTCTCTCTGTGTTGCCCAGGCTGGAGTGCAGTGGCATGATCTCAGCTCACTGCAACCTCCCTCTCCTGGGTTCAAGGGATCCTTCTGCCTCAGCCTCCCGATAGCTGGGACTACAGGCATGTGCCACCATGCCCGGCTAATTTTTTATATTTGTAGTAGAGACAGGTTTTCACTGCATTAGCCAGGATGGTCTCGATCTCCTGACCTCGTGATCTGCCTGCCTCGGCCTCCCGAAGTCTGGGTTTACAGGTGTGAGCACTGCACCCGACCGACAATTGTTTTTTTAATTGAGGTGAGATTTATAAAAGGTAAACAATTTGGTGTCATCTAGTTGATTTACAATGTTGTGCAAGCACCTCTACCTAGTTCCAAAAGACTTCCATCAGCCCCCAAGAAAATCTCACACCCATGAAGCAGTCACCACCTCCCAACCTGCCCTCCAGCCCCTGGCAACTGTTCTCTGGATTTATGTATTTTGGACATTTCATATAAATGGACCCATATTACGTTTGGCTTCTTTTAGTTAGCATGTTTTGGAGGTTCATCCTGTGTCCCCACTTTTTGGTACCGAGGTCTTAGTCATTTAACCTCTCTGTTATATGGGGTGACAGCACTTAGCTTTGGGGACTATTGGGAGGCAACATGAACAGCATGTGCAGGTGTTCAGGAAATGGGTACTGTTTGGATTTGTGCTTCTTGGGATGCTGGTCCTCATTTACCTGTTAGTCTAGTTATGTGTGGGTTCATCTTATCTGCAACGCTCAGTTTCTCTGTAGCTATAGGGCTTGCAATGTAAGCAAATCCTCGGTGAGTGTGCTGAATTCGCTCTTTGGTTAAAGAGATATTCATTTTTTATTTTTATTATTTTAAATTGTTTATTATTATTTTTTTTAGAGACAAGAAGAAAAATTCACCTGTCACCCAGGCTGGAGTGCAGGGGCATGATCGTAGCTCACTGCAGCCTTGAACTCCTGGGCTCAGGGCTCTTCCCACCTCAGCCTTCTGAGTAGCTAGGACTATAGGCACATGCAGAGTAGCTGAAAACAGGTGCCCTGAGTCATACTCCGTAGAGTCTTCTGTAGAAATGGGGTCTTGCTATGTTGCCCAGGCTGCTCTCTAACTCCTGGCTTCAAGCAATCCTCTTACCTTGGTCCCCCAAAGTGCTGGGATTACAGGTGTGTGCCACTGCATCTGGCCAAGAGATATTTCTTTCTTTTTTTTTGAGATGAAGTCTTGCTCTGTCACCCAGGCTGGAGTGCAATGGCACGATCTCAGCTCACTGCAAGCTCCACCTCCCAGGTTCAAGCAATTCTCCTGTCTCAGCCTCCCAAGTAGCTGTGATTACAGGCGTGCACCACCACGCCTAGCCAGTTTTTGTATTTTTAGTAGAGATGGGGTTTTACCATGTTGGCCAAGCTGGTCTTGAACTCCTGACCTCAAATAATCCACCAGCCTCGGCCTCGGCCTCCCAAAGTGCTGGGATTACAGGCGTGAGCCACCACACGTGGTCAGAGATATTTCTTAAACATGTACCCATATGCCAGGCACAGCTCAGGTGTTGAATGAGAGCCTGTTAGTAAATGAGGTGGCATGGTGACTCAGGGTAGCTGCTTTGAGCTACCTTGAGAGCAGAAAATCCAAACTTCAAAATCCCAATGTACAAAGCCAGGAAGATTTGGTGAGGAAGCTTTTTCCATTGAGGAGATTCCCAAAGATTCCTTTAAATGAGTCACTGTCCTAATGCTATCAGCCAGTGCATCCTGCCTGTGGCTGATAAACACCTCCTCTAACTCACCACATGAAACTAAAGGGTGACTGTATGTCCAGGAAGCCGCCTTTTTTTTTTTTTAAGACAGAGTTTCACTCTTGTTGCCCAGGCTGGAGTGCAGTGGCGCGATCTCAGCTCACGGCAACCTCAGACTCCTGGGTTCAAGTGATTCTTCTGCCTCAGCCCCTTCCAAATAGCTGGGATTACAGGCGCCCACCACCACGCCTGGCTGATTTTGTATTTTTAGTAGAGACGAGGTTTGACCATGTTGGCTGGGCTGGTCTTGAATTCCTGACCACAGGTGATCCCCCAACCTCGGCCTCCTAAAGTGCTGGGATTACAGGCGTGAGCCACTGCGCCCAGCCGAAGCCTTCTTTTAATGCTGAGGCAAACACAGCATATTCATGACTATTTATTGGTCGCTGACTCCTTGACACAGAGTCTTGGGTGGGTAGAATGAGGAGAGGAACATACTGCTGGAAATTTAGATGGCCACATTCCCTGAAAACACACAAAAAGAAGACTGAATATAAAAGAAGTCATAAAAGTTCACTAGCATTGAGCTCAGGAGTTCAAGACCAGCCTGGGCAACATAGTGAGCCCTCATCTCTACTAAAAAAAAAAAAAAAAAAAAAAAAAAATTGCTGGACGTGGTGGCGCATGCCTATAGTCTCAGCTACTCAGGTACTCGGATGGCCAAGATGGGAGGATCTCATGAGCCCCAGAGATGGAGGCATAAAAGAAGTCAGCGGAGCCAGGAGCGGTGGCTCACACCTGTAATCCTAGCAGGCATTAGCTAGGATTTGGGAGGCTAAGGCAGGAGGATCAATTGAGCCCAGGAGTTTAGACCAGCCCAGGCAACATAGCAAGATCTCATCTCTACAAAAAACACAAAAATGACGGCCAGGCGCGGTGGCTTATGCCTGTAATCTCAGCACTTTGGGAGGCCGAGGCGGGGGATCACCTGAGGTTGGGAGTTTGCAACCAGCCTGACCAACATGGAGAAACCCTGTCTCTACCTAAAAATACAAGATTAGCCGGGCCTAATGGTGCATGCCTGTAATCCCAGCTACTTGGGGGCTGAGGCAGGAGAATTGCTTGAACCTGGGAGGTGGAGGTTGTGGTGAGCCGAGATCACGCCATTGCACTCCAGCTTGAGCAACAAAAACAAAAACATAAAAATTAGCTTTGTGTGGTGGTGCACACATGTAGTCCTGGATCCTCCTGGCTCAGGCAGGAGGATCACCTGAGCCCTGGAGGTCAAGGCTGCTGTAAGCCATGATCTCAACACTGCACTCTAACAGAGCCAGACTCTATCTCCAAAAAAAAAAAAAAAGAAAGAAAAGTCAGTGGGAAAATGAATGGGGTTCCATTGGCAGCCTCTTAGTGGCCCCACCTTTACAGGAATCTAGTGGACTGCATTAGACAAGAATCAGCTTATTGGGAAGAGGGCATTCAAATGCCCCTTTTACTTGGGGCCTTTAATGGACAGAGGTCTGATGGGCCAAGGGTGGCTGAGCATAATGTTAGGAGTCTGATCTTGGCTGTGCCTGCCTAGGCTTCACAATCCAGTCAGGAGATGATGTCTAATTTATGAGCCAAAGGGAGGATCACTACCAAGTGCAAAACTCACAGTGCAGAGAGCCTCCTTCAGGAAAGCAGGAGGGGATCAGAGTGGACGCGTTCACATCAAGAGGACTTCATGGAGGAGGTGACTTTTTCTGCTGTAAAAATATTTATTCAACTTCCAGTTGACAATAGCAGTAACATAAATCTAAAACTCTATCAGTTATTATTATCTACTGCCATAATTATAAAATGTCCCAGAGCATTCATTCAAAAGAGATTTACTGAGGCCCTCCCCCTACCTGGTACTGTTCTAGGTGCTGGGATTCTGAGTGAGCCAGATGAGTCAGGGCCATCCCTGCCCTCAGGGAGCAGCTTCATCCTCTTGTAGAGTTTGCTATGCCATACAAAGAAGTGGAGGAGAGCAAGCCGGGAATTTGTACAGAAACAAGTGGCTAACGGAATATACGGAATATATTATAGAAAAATGAAAACAGGGTGTGGTGGCTCACGCCTGTAATCCCAGCACTTTGGGAGGCTGAGGCGGGCAGATCACCTGAGGTCAGGAGTTTGAGACCAGCCTGGCCAACATGGCGAAACCTTGTCTCTACAAAAAATATAAAAATTAGCCAGGCGTGGTGCCAAGTTTTTGACGCCTGTAATCCCAGCTACTCGGGAGGCTGAGGTAGGAGACTTGCTTGAACCCGGGAGGCGGAGATTGCAGTGAGCCAAGATCGTGCCACTGCACTCCAGCCTGGGTGACAGAGCGAGACTCCATCTCAAAAAAAAAAAAAAGTGAAAACAATAAGCTAATTATCAGCTACAGCTGACTCTTCTGCTCTTCTGTTGGTCCTTACTGTGCACTAGGTACAGTGGTGGTGTTTGCTGGAGTGCAGTGGTGGAGTCATGGCTCACTGCAGCCTCCATCTCTGGGGCTCATGAGATCCTCCCATCTTGGCTACCCAAGTACCCGGGTAGCTGGGACTACAGGCACGCGCCACCACACCCGGCAATTATTTTTATTTTTATTTTTAGTAGAGATGAGGTCTCGCTATGTTGCCCAGGCTGGTCTCGAACTCCTGAGCTCAAGCAATCCTCCCTCCACCTTGGCCTCCCAAAGTGCCGGGATTACAGGCATGCACCATTGCACTTGGCCTGTGTGTTTTACACATATTAAAGTGGCACAGTATCCACACGGGGTGGGCACCACTTCATCTGAAAATCTGCAAACCGGATGAATAAAGTGAGGTTTCCTGGTCACACGGCTGGCTAAGTGCCCGGGTTTGAACCCAGGCATTTTGGCACCAAGTCTGCCACACAGTGAATGCTAGTGAACAAATCCAAATTATTTTTTACCAGCATCCATTCATCACTGTGCTCATCAAAATAATGGAAGGGCTGGGCATGGTGGCTCGCACCTGTAATCCCAGCACTTTGGGAGGTCGAGGCGGGTGGATCTTGAGGCCAGGAGTTCGAGGCCAGCTGGCAACATGGGGAAACCACATATCTACAACAATAACAACAAAAAAATACAAAAATTAGTCAGGTATGGTGGCAGGCACCTGCAACGTTAGCTATTCAAGAGGCTGATGCATGAGAATTCCTTGAACACAGGAGATAGAGTTTGTAGTGAGCTGAGACCACGCCACTGCACTCCAGCATGGGTGACAGAGTAAGACTTGTCTCAAAAAAAAAAAAAAAAAAAAAAAAGAAGTACCACACATCAGATGCAGAAAAGGAGGTGACCTCTTAATTCCACCCAAGGCAGTTACTGAACTACCCAATATGTGCCAAGCAATGGGGTGTAGAGGTGAAGGCACCCAGGAATAATGCACCTGGGATGGGGGCGACCCGAGGGGATGGGGAGGGAGGATGAGCTGCCGGGGAGCTCACCAAGGGCTGAAGATGAATTAACAGATGAACGTGGAGAGGAGCAAGGTTCTAGGCAGAGAGCATAGCAGATGGTAAAGACCTAGAGGGGAGAAAGTAGGGGGCATGGGCGAATCCGAAGCAGCCCAGGATGGCTGGAAAGGGAGGAGGAGAGGGGTCTGACATGAGGCTGGAGAAGAGTCAGGTGTGTTGAGCACTGAGGACAGGGCAGCGTGGGGCAGGCTGTCACCAACCCACACTCCACAGTGCTCAGGTTGAGTCCTCTCTGGGACCCTCAATTTGAGGCTCCTGTGGTTTCCTAATGGTCCAGCTCCCAGCGATTCTCCCAGATTGCCTCTAAATCTCCTCTCCCACCACCAGGTGACCATTACAATTGGGCTGCGCTACCTACAGACGTCGCTGGATGGTGTGTCCAACCCCGAGGAATCTGAGAGCGAGAGCCAGGGCTGGCTGCTGGAGAGGAGCGTGCCGGAGACCTGGAAGGCCTTTCTGGAGAGTGTGAAGAAGCTGGGCAAGGGCAACCAGGTGGAAGCCGAGGGCGCAGACGCAGGCCAGGCCCCAGAGGCTGGCTGAGGGCCCTGGGGCCCCTCCCCTCCCGAACACTGAGAAATAGTGCACTCCAAGAAACGTGGATCTCCCCCTCATCCAACTCCGAAAGTCTGAATCTCCCAAGGAGGGCACCATCTTACAGAGACTCTCCCTGACGGTGGAATTTAAGTTTAGGGTCCCTAAAAGCATTTGACACACAGTTGTTGAATGACTGACCCAAAATGTGAATGAAGCTAATGTGAATGTGAGTGAAGCTCCCTTCAGGCCCGCTGCCCTAGGATATGCCCTCCTGGTGACTCGGGGGCTGTCTCAGACGACTAGCCCAGGACCCATCTTTCTCACACGGATTTAGTCCCACCCTATGGCCACTGGCCGTATCTGAGGGCTGCTCCCCTTTTAGAATTTACCTCTTATGAGCTCCATGTTGCTTCACTCTATCCAAAGTGTCACTTGGTGCATAAGCACAGAAATCTGAAAAATGGCCATGTTGTCTTTTTTTTTTTTTTTTAATGCCAAGATTGACAGGTTGGCCGTTTGCTTAATGCCAGAAGTTGGGGGAAAGTTACGCTTTTCTAAGAATAATGGACTCTTAAGGCATTGAGGGCTCTAAACAGGATTCTTTAATCATGGAGCAAGAGAATTTCAAGGCAGGGGATTTTATCCCCCACCAAAAACACAGTGAAAGGCCTGCTTTTGTGTCCCATTCACATGCCCTCGGTCACTGAGTCTGGAGTGAACCACGGGTTGAGGAAGTCAGGCTGTTGGCGTGTCCCAGCACCACACCACCCCTAAAGTGCCAGGTGATCTCCTGTGGCTCATCGGTGGAAGCAGTGGGGTAGGCTGCTGCCCTGCTGTGGAAGAGGAGCAACAATCAGACATGAGTCCACCCTTTGGAGACCAGGCCTCAGCTCTTGGTGGGCCCAGGGACACCCACACAGGTGGCCATCACAGCCCCATGGACAACACTAATTGTCCACAGCAAAGGGCAAGGAATCCTCTGGGAGCTTCTTCCGTTTCTTCCCCCCAGATACCCATCTTGAAAAACACTATTTCTGGAATGCTTCTGCATCAAAGGAGATTCTTTGAGATAGCCCATCTTCCTGAGCTAGCAAATACAGGAGTTTTCACTTTCTTTAGGAAAGAGAAGCTTTCAGGGGAAGGAGAGAATGATTTTGCTGACTTCCCAAGCCCTGGTGACCAGACCAAGGCAGGGCCCAGCATAATTCCTCCAGTTGGATGAACATTCAAGAGAGCTCGTTCCTACCTGGCTGGAGACCGAGGCCAGAAGGCAAAAACCAGAAAGGGAACAGTCCATAACTTACCTCTGCTTCTGACCGATGGTGTTTGGGAATAGGTTACTTTGGACTGAGTTTGGGTTCTCTGCTGTCCTAAGAACTTCAGTGTAGAGAAAATAAGACTTCTGGTGCTGCTGGGGTATGTTCTGGGCTTAATTCCCCCAAGCAGAAGACCAGATCCAAGATGTTTGGACACCCTGTCAGACGTTGGTCCCAAGTTTAATTAGATTTCTGAATCTCGTTGAGGCCAAGGAATGATCCATACTGAAAAAATGCTGAGCCAGCCATCTTTGGCAAAGGTCCCTGAGCTCTTGCTATCTCTCAAGAGTGCTGAGAACCACGGTGAAAGTGCTGCTCTAGGCCCACAAGTGTAACTATGCTGTTAACAGCTGTCAATAGATAATTAAAATTCATACTGTATGAAAATCACTTTTGTTAAATGACTGTTTAAGCCCATTCAACAACATATATCAGAATCCCCTACTACCGCTAGTATTTGCCAAAAAAGAAAAGAAACCCACCCTAAGGGAAGCATTGGTAACAATCGTTGTTATAAACATGGCTTGGGTATCACATCTCTCCATCTTGCCATCTCTTACCTGTAAGAACGGTGACTATTACAACAGTGACTATTATTATATCCAAATAATCTCAGCATTTGCTGGAGTTTGAACCAGAGCTGAATACATGGAATTTTAATGTAGAAATTTAGGCAAAACTCCAAGCCATTTTTTCTTCTCCTCTGGCCAAAACGTTATTTCCTCAAACAGGGAAATATGAGTCTCTATGGGGCCAGGTTATAGGAGCAAATGTGAACAACCTGAGAATCTGAAGGTTGTTGAGAGGACCAAGAGTGCATTGACTCTACAATAAATCTCACTCATTGGTTCGGAGCAGGCTTAGGGTTAACTGCATTTTAACAGGTCTTCTCAGGTAGCCGGTAGTTGCGAGAGAAACCTGGACCATCCCTTTTGGTCACCTACCAGTGCCCAGGAAGTCTCTGCTATCAGGTTTTTGCTTGTGTGTAACTTCAGTCTTTCCTTGGGCTGGTGTAAATCCTTTTCTCCTGAGGGACCCAGCCTACTTTTTTTTTTTTTTTTTCAAATATGGAGTTTTGCTCTTGTTGCCCAGGCTGGAGTGCAATGGCATGATCTCAGCTCACTGCAACCTCCGCCTCCTGGGTTCAAGTGATTCTCCTGCCTCAGCCTCCCTACTAGCTGGGATTACAGGCGTTTGCCACCACGCCCGGCTAATTTTTGTATTTTTATTAGAGATGAGATTTCACCATGTTGGCCAGGCTGGTCTCGAACTCCTGTCCTTAGGTGATCTGCCCGCCTTGGCCTCCCAAAGTGCTGGGATTATAGGAGTGAGCCACCTGGCCCAGCTAGCTTTTAAAGTTCTGCCAGCATAGCCCCGGGATGGGGTGGGGGTAGACAGGGCCTTAGGACTTTCATTTTTAAAATGCTCACTCCACGGTGAAGAAACAGGTGATGACTATCCTGAATATTTGGGAAGCTGTGTCCTAGAATTTTTGGCCTCAGTTCCAGAACCCACAGCTTCTTTACAACATGCTTCAAGCCTGGGACTGAGCTGCCAGTAAATAAACCCCTAGTAACCTTAATATGGGTTAATAAGATTAGGTGCCCGCTCTGCACGCTCCCCTGCCCCTCCTCGTCCGGGCACCTGTTACACTAGGCCAGCATGTTTGCAGCTTAGCCAGGGAAAATCGTGGACCAAGACAGGGCTTTTCATCCACGACTGGCTAAAAAGATGGCTCTCAATGACAGCGCAGGCAGGCAGCACCACTGTGTTAGGAAGAGAAAAGTGTCTGTCCAATACTATGAAAGTCCAGGGAAGAGACAAGTGCCTTCCCAGGTCACAATGGATAGATTGGCTGGAAGGGGAAAAACATGTCAGTTCTTAACTCCTGACAGCATTTTATCCTGTCCATCACAGAGGACTGTAAACAGCAAAGTTACAGATTAGAGAATGCTGAGCTCTCAGGATGGCATCAAATGGAGGATTAAGATGTAAGGGACAACTTCTAGCTATTTACCTGAGGGAAGTGAAAATTCAGGTTTGTACAAAAACCCATCCATGAATGTTTGTAGCAGTAATCACCAAAACAATCACCCAAACTCACCCAAATGCCCTTCATCTGGCAACTGCCCAGAAGTCTGTACAACGGAATGCTACTCAGCAATCCAAAGGAACAGGGAGGACCCGAATGCATTCTTCTTTAGTGAGAAGCCAGACTCAAAATGCTACATATGATACAATTCCATTTATATAACATTCGGGAAGAGACAAAACAAAGGGAGAGAAAAACACTGGTAGCTGAAAGCCAGGATGAGGCAAGAAGCTGACTACAAAGGGGACTTTTGGGGAAGATGGAATTGTTCTATTTCTCGATTGTGGTTGTTTAACTGTATGCATTTGTTAAAATGTATAAAACTGTACACTAAAAAGAGTTAATCTGTTTGTAAAATATACCTCAATAAATGTGACTTAAAAAACAAGAGTAGGAACAGGCCAGGCACAGTGGTTCACACCTATAATCCTAGCATTTGGGAGGCTGAGGCGGGAGAATCATTTGAGCCCAAGGGTTCAAGACCAGCCTGGGCAACATAGCGCGGCTGTATCTACAAAAAAAATACAAAAATTAGCCAGGTGTGGTGGCATGTGCCTCTATAGTACCAGCTACTGGGAGGCTGAGGTGGGAGGATTGCTCGAGCCCAGAAGGTTGAGGCTGCAGTGAACCAAGGCTGTGCCACTGCACTCCAGCCTGTGGGACAAAGCAAGACCCTGTCTCTTTAAAAAAACCAAACCAAACCACCACCACACCAAAATCAAGAGTAGGAAGACAGGGAGGAGCATGTCAGAAGGGGCTTCATGAGTTCCTGGAACTAAAGACAAGAGTGGTGAAGGCAGTAGGCTGGGAGCAGTGTTACTGACCAGGAGGCAGGGTGAGTGCAATGGAAACCTTGCTGTTTTAGTTTGATGCTCTCAAGAGGATTTCAAAAAAAACAGAATTCTCATGGGCAATGACTCCCCTAGGAAGACAGTGTAGCTGCCTTTCTATGTCTCTCTCTCAAAAGCAGGAAGTGGTCATAAAAAAAAGAAAAAAAAAACCTCCAACAGCCCTGAAAAACCAGCCAGCACACTAGGGGAGTGTGTAAGGACAAGGACCTTGAGATCACCAGGTAAGGATGAACAAGAGTTTAAACCCAGACACAGGTCTTGGAGTGCCCTGTTTCCCAGTGATTTGAGTTCCAAAATGGTCCACAAAGGTCACACGCTGTCATGGCTAATGAATATGAAACTTAATCAGCTGAAATGATGATCACACTTTCTCTGAGAAGGTCAAGATAGTTTGGCTAGTGGCCATAATAATATAACCCTCTTAAATTTAAAGCTAATACAGATATCCCACTATATTTGTAGCAAGGTGACACGGGCACCTTGCTGTGGCAGGTAAATGTGTAAAATGAAACAGAAAGATATATGCTAACCAAAAGTAATGCCAACACCTAAAGCATTTATTTGGATATCTTTAAACTTTTTACATATGATACATTCCAAATTTTACAAGTTGTCCACAGATATTAAAGTTATAGCCAATTTATTAAACAGATATGATTTTCCCTGATATGGAAAGCGTATGTTATATAAACATTTCTACAATAAACATAAAACATGCGGAACAAATCATAAAACTAACATGATTTGTAAGGTAGGAAAGACAACTAGCTTAACACCAGAAAATAAAAAGGTGTGTATGTTGCAATTTCATGTAAATTCATCTTCTCCCAGGCTCTGTGATATTCTCAGAGAATGAAATCCAGAGACAACCTTTGCTAACTCCAGGCTCCTAGGAAGTCGGACCGGAAAGCTGGAGTATTGTTATGATTTGGTGAAAATGTTTATAATCCACTTGTACAGAGAGAAACCTGGTCTTATTATTTTAAATTTTAGCTTGGTGAACATATGAAAAAAAGCCAAAAGAAGCTTACCTTAAAAGCTAAAGAAACTGGATGTGACAGAGGCCAAAATAAACATGAATTATGCCACCTACAGCCCAAACAACCAGATCTTATGAATGAAGGCCAGAAAAAGGGGGAGAGAGGTGGACTCAAATGTGAATTTTCTTTCTATTGGTCCTCCTCTCAGCTGGGTGAGTCAGTCCCACGCAAGAATGGCGACGGTCATCCTCCTGTCAAGAGGGGGCGGTTCTTTCACACACTACCTTGGAGAGGAATGTGGCTTCTACATCCTCACTTCTTTTAGCTTCAGTTCCAGATTTCTGACCTTCTTCCTGTGATACTGTGGAGCATGCCTAGTTGACTGGTAGCTGAGTGGAACAAAACTTGTAGATGTAATTCAAAGAAAACTGATTGAAAGGGTCAGTTGCATTGGTTAAAAAAATCCAAGAGCCTCTTATTACTCATCTGTTCCTTAGCCCCACCTTAGACAGGCTCAGAATTTATTCCTCTACTAAGTCTTCAGTCACTCTCTGCATGTATTCAAGCTCTCAGCAGTCATACATCAAACAATAGTAGTTGTGTGGTACATAATAATTATAAGCTATTTTGTAAGTGGCTCTTGTTCTAGGAAGGCACCTCAGTAAGAACAATGATCAAAAAGAATAAAAAGCCTGGGTGCCAGACCATCCCAGGAATGCACTAAGTGAGCCAGCAAGGAAGCAGCAGCTTGTCTGTTCCAGGAAATGCTGGCTGGGTGGGAGTGGGTTCTCACCTTCTTCAGTGTTTGGCTTTAGATGATATACTCTGCCAATTTAGCCTTAGAAATAACAAGAGAATATCACTGTCTGAAACATTAGGGTATTCTAAAAGAATACAGATAAGAAAATTAGGATACTCTTTTAGAATACCTATTATTTTAAACTTAAGCTTGGTGAACATCTGAAAAAAAGCCAAAAGAAGCTTACCTTAAAAGCTCAAGAAACTGGATGTGACAGAGGCCAAAATAAATATCACTTATGCCAACCACAGCCCAAACAACCAGATCTTATGAAGGAAGGCCTCTCATCTAGATATTAGGATATCTAAAAGAATATCCTAAATTTTTAATCCATATTCTTTTAGAATATCCTAATTTTTCTTCCTAATTCTAAAAGAATATCCTAATTTTTTAGACCATCCTAAGTTTTTGGAAAGCCCTCTAAGTGAGTTTTCTCAAAGCCAAAAGTCTTGCCATAAAAAAAAAAAGAAAAAAAAAAAACCTCTAACAGCCCTGAAAAACCAGCCAGCACACCAGGAATCCACCTTCTCCCCACGGGCTTCTTCTGCATGTGTGTCCCCCAACTCTCTCATAGTCAATGGAGAGAAGGGAACACTGCCTTCAAAATCAACCACTTTGCTCCTAGGAGTAGGGTCCTGTCAGCAGAGGGGACACCAACCCAGTCCCAGTGTTGGGCCACTCAGTGGAACCAGGAAGTATGACCCAACAGACCACAGAGACTTTGTTCCCTGCCTCCGTTGAGTCAGCTTCGGACCCACGGTTCACTATCATCAATAACGTGAAATATCACATAATGGCTGGGACTATGCAGTCAGACCCCCACAAAGGGGCTGGGATCCAATCTAGGAAGAGAAGCTCCTTGCTCGATCTTAAAACCCAAGACATTATATTTGAGGGGCACAGCAAACAGTGCAAGAAAATCTGCTGATGGAAGATGATTTTCATCAGTCCTCAGAACCAGAAACTATAAAACTGGGAAGGAAAGTTTAAATAAAGAATTTATTTCCAAATTCAGCAGAACTTCTTTCTTTCTTAAAAAGCCAACTGGGTTAAAAAAATCCAAGTTTGTGTTTTTTGGTGGTGCAATAATTATAAATGTTGCCAGTCAATGCCAACCAGTGTCTGATTGGCTTCCTGTGCATGTCCAATTTCCTCTGTGACACTGTGTTGGTGCCAGAGCTTCTGAATCTTCTTGAATCGCTCTTTGCATAAATGTAAAGGATTTCCCCGTCTAGAAAGAGAAGACACATGTCACTCAGAATGTGTTCTGTTTATTCCTCTATTATAACCCAACCCTTCCTGATTTAGGCAAGGTTACAAGTTATTGGTTTTAGACTCCCTGCAACATTTCTGTCTGGCAGGTGACTGTGGCTATTAACAAAAACATCAGCTCTGACCCTTTGCCAAGAGCAGGTAAAAGGGAATAAGTGCTGAAATGAGGAAGGAAAGGTACACAAACCAGACTTACCCAGAGTGAGGTGAGGGAATAGAGGTTGCGGGGGATAAGGAGGGTCTGGGTTGAGAGGCTAAAACTACCAATTCATTGCCCATTTTGTTGGTAACGTGTAAAAAGGGAAGAGGGCAGAGGAGAACACAAAAGAAGAATTATAGGAGTAAAAATATTCCTCACAGATTTTACTAAGAGTGCAAAGAAAAAAGAAAAGAAAAGAAAAGAAAAACATTCCTCAGATGCAATCTTTCAGCCACAGTCTCAGTGAAGCAATCAAATGTGAGTAACTTCCAGGTCTAATTTAAACACAAGTGCAAGCTTTGGTGGGTTCCTGCCTGGGACCAGTGCCCTGAGCCAGGCACCTCTGCTCCTGTTTCTGAGCACAGCCATCCTCTCACTCACTAATCAGACTCTCCTCCTCCTAACAGCCCACGCTGAGAACAGTGGGAAGCACCAGCACTGGGTGGCATATGGGCATAGCCTCGCAGTCCAGCGCCTGGGGCAGCTCATCTACTTACCTTGCTTGGGTTTCTAGGCCTTTAACATCTGCTACTTAAGGCTGGACAGGCATATCTATGGCGGTTAAAACTTATACCTCCTTTAGACAAAAGAGATGGTCTGAAAGAAGTTCTTTAATAGTGCTTGGGGGAATTGTTAGCTTACAATATACTAAAGCTACCAGAGTAGAAGTAACTTAGCCTCAAATATTGTTATATTGTTCTTTATGTTTTAAATCTTTGTCCCCCAGATTTTAATGTAATAAGCACATTTGTTAGCAATTAAGATTTTCTCAAACACTGGGCTTCCTCTATACAAGGCCATACAAGTCAGAGTGGGCCATCCCTGGAGTGCTCTGAGCTGGGATGCTATATGGCAATTCAAACAGTTCTTTGGAGTGATAAATGGAATAAAGTTGCACTCTGTCCTATTCTCTTCCCTTACCTATCCTGATGTTCCTCATGGCATTCTGAAGGCTGGGAAAAGAACACCAAACCAGGCTGACAGGGCACCCTCCTTGGAAGACTCCACAGATAACACAGCCACCTCTTCCAGAACCACCTCAGCCCTCCACCCTCAGGACGTCACCACATACGGAAGGGCGCTGCAGGCCCTGAGTTAGCTAACTCAGGATGGGTTCTTACCTGAGTCCCTGGTCGGTCTCCCCATAGTCATCAAGGTAAGGAGGAGAATAAAAACAGCCTTTGGTTTTGCCAGCTAAAAATAGCACCTGACATTCCCGTACTCTGTAGAGAGATCAGTCATACGTTACACATTTACACATTAGTAACCAACATTTGTATTCAGTTCCAAATAGAATGAAGTCTTATAGTACTGATATTTAAACCACTATTAGGAGGAAGTTATCCATTAAAAAATTGTGCACAAACTAGGAAATAGGTTGAATCGAGTCAAATTTGTGTCCCCTGATCCCTTTGAGACATTTGCCTTTTTCTGGCATTAATAGTACAGCACAATTAAACAGACATTTATTGAGGACCTAATACGTATAAGAAATTATCAAGGTACTGGGGGGATGACTAAGCTATGGATACAACCTATGCTCCAGAGGAGCCCACACTCATGTCATGCCTCTGCTTCAAACCCTGAAATGGCTTACACCTTGCCCAGAGATGTCACCAGCACACAGCAGGCCCCTGGATTCTCTCACCTGTGCACAACACTCCAGTGACACGCGCCTCCTTGCCTTGAGCAGACAGGCACATTTCTACCCCAGGAACTGTGCAGAATGTTCTGAGTAGAATGTTCTCCCACTTCTTTAGGTCTTTACTCAGAAGTCATGTTCTTAGGAAGCCTTCCCTGATCTACTAAAATTAAATCTCAAATTTAGCTCCATAGCTGCCATTTCATATTCCCCTTCCCTGCTTTATTTTTTCTCCTTAGCCTATATCACTATCTAAATTCTTGTCAGTCTTGCTTGTCCTCTCTCTCATACAAAACAAGCTCCATCCATAAGGGCAGAGATCTTTGCACTGTGGACTACTGCATCCTCAATGCCTGGTACATAGTAGTCACTAATCACAAGCTGGCATGTAGAGTTGTGATAATATGTATAAGTGGAGGTAAAATCCAAAAGCCATGAGGACATAACAGAAAGAGTAATTCTGACTGGATTTGTTCAGAAAATCAGAGAAGTTTCACATTAGTGGGAGACATGGAGAAAGTAGAACAGAACTGTCACCTATGGTTGAGGGAAGAGGAGTGGGAATGGTAACAATAAAAGAACCAACACAGAGTTGGCATGGACCAGATGTGAGATGTGAGGCGACAAGGAGCTCCACGTTTCTGGAATGAATCACACGGAACAGTAGTCTCAAAATTCCTGGCAATATAGTAGTTTCCTGTGACACCCTAACAGTCAGATACTGAGGCAGATCCAAAGCTAAAAAGCCCCTGCAGGTCCTTACCTCAGGAAGATGCCCACTCCAGAGCCACAGGAGTAGGTGTGAGCTGTGCAGGCTCCTACATCCTCCCCTTCCAGTTCAGTCTGGCAGCAGTAACTCTGGGAGCACAGCAGAGATCCGCACACAAGGCACAGAGTTGGGGCTCTGCTCTTATCACCACCTGATTTCGGGCACCTCCAAGGGATAAAAAACCCACAAGTCATTGATCTAAAGAGTGGCTAAAGAGCTAGTGATGAAAAAACCAGCCCAGAAAAGAATTCTGCAATATCAAGTAAAGCCAAAGAAGTGTATATCCTACAGTCTATGCAAGTTTATTCCTAGAATCTGGAATAGGAAACATCTTGCACATATATACAAAGACCATGTACTGGAAACACTCAAAAGAATCAGTAACTGGAGAAAAAAAAATAAATAAAATCATCAATAGGAGAAAAAGATAAACGGTACCACTGCCATATAATAAAATACTATGGAGCAATGAAAAATCAATAAAGTTATAAACGTCAATACAGATAAATCTTAGAAACAATGCTGAATGAATGCAAAATTGGCTGGGTGCAGTGGCTCACGCCTGTAATCCCAGCACTTTGGGAGGCAAAGGTGGGTGGATCAACTGAGGTCAGGAGTTTGAGACCAGCCTGACCAATATGGTGAAACCCCGTCTCTACTAAAAATACAAAAATTAGCCAGGCATGGTGGTGTGCACCTGTAGTCCCAGCTACTTTGGAGGCTGAGACTGGAGAATCACTTGAACCTGGGAGGCGGAGGTTGCTGTGAGCCAAGATCACACCACTGCACTCCAGCCTGGGCAACAGAGTGAGACCCTGTCTCAATAAATAAATAAATAAATAAATAAATAAAATAAAATACAACATACAGCTCTCCCTCTCCCTCTCTTCTCTCCCTCTCCCCTTTGCACAGTCTCCCTCTGATGCCGAGCCGAGGCTGGACTGTACTGCCGCCATCTTGGCTCACTGCAACCTCCCTGCCTGATTCTCCTGTCTCAGCCTGCCCAGTGCCTGGGATTGCAGGCGCGCGCCGCCACGCCTGACTGGTTTTTGTATTTTTTGGTGGAGACGGGGTTTCGCCGTGTTGGCCGGGCTGGTCTCCAGCTCCTGACGGCGAGTGATCTGCCAGCCTCGGCCTCCCGAGGTGCCAGGATTGCAGAGGGAGTCTTGCTCACTCAGTGCTCAATGTTGCCCAGGCTGGAGTGCAGTGGCGCGATCTCGGCTCGCTACAACCTCCACCTCCCAGCCGCCTGCCTTGGCCTCCCAAAGTGCGGAGATTGCAGCCTCTGCCCGGCCGCCACCCCGTCTAGGAAGTGACGAGCGTCTCTGCCCGGCCGCCCAGTCTGAGAAGTGAGGAGCCCCTCTTCCTGGCCGTCATCCCGTCTAGGAAGTGAGGAGCGTCTCTGCCCGGCCGCCCATCGTCTGGGATGTGGGGAGCGCCTCTGCCCCGCCGCCCCGTCTGGGATGTGAGGAGCGCCTCTGCCCGGCCGCGACCCTGTCTGGGAGGTGAGGAGTGTCTCCGACCGGCTGCCCCGTCTGAGAAGTGAGGAGCCCCTCCGCCCGGCAGCCGCCCCGTCTGGGAAGTGAGGAGCGTCTCCGCCCAGCAGCCGCCCAGTCCGGGAGGTGGGGGGCAGCCCCTACCCGGCCAGCTGCCCCGTCCGGGAGGTGGGGGGCAGCTCCCACCCGGCCAGCCGCCCCGTCCGGGAGGTGGGGGGCGCCTCTGCCCGGCTGCCCCGTCTGGGAAGTGAGGAGCCTCTCTACCTGGCCGCCACCCCATCTGGGAGGTGCAACCAACAGCTCATTGACAACAGGCCGTGATGACGATGGCGGTTTTGTCGAATAGAAAAGGGGGAAATGTGGGGAAAAGAAAGAGAGATCAGATTGTTACTGTGTCTGTGTAGAAAGAAGTAGACATAGGAGACTCCATTTTGTTCTGTACTAAGAAAAATTCTTCTGCCTTGGGATGCTGTTAATCTATAACCTTACCCCCAACCCCGTGCTCTCTGAAACATGTGCTGTGTCCACTAAGGGTTAAATGGATTAAGGGCGGTGCAAGATGTGCTTTGTTAAACAGATGCTTGAAGGCAGCATGCTCGTTAAGAGTCATCACCACTCCCTAATCTCAAGTACCCAGGGACACAAACACTGCGGAAGGCCGCAGGGACCTCTGCCTAGGAAAACCAGAGACCTTTGTTCACATCTTTATCTGCTGACCTTCCCTCCACTATTGTCCTATGACCCTGCCAAATCCCCCCCTCCGAGAAACACCCAAGAATGATCAATAAATACTAATTAAAAAAAAAACATACAAAATAACAATACATGCTGCTCAAGAATAGAAACTTATATAGTTAATGTATAGGAATGGAATGCTTAATATTCCATTTAGAATAGTAGGTATCTTCAGAGGGAGGAGAAAGAGGCAACAGAGAAGAGACAGCTGGGGAGCTTCAACTGTCTAGGTAATGTTTAAGCTCTTACATTATTATATTCTTCTTTTTTTTTTTGAGACAAGGTCTCGCTGTCACCCAGGCTAGAGTGCAGTGGCACGATCATGACTAACTGCAGCCTCCATCTCCTGGGCTCGAGTGATACTCCCACCTCAGCCTCCCCTATTATATTATTCTTTATGCTGCTTGTATGTTAAATATTTGATACTATATTAAAAATTACTGCCGGGTGTAGTGGCTCATGCCTGTAATCCCAGCACTTTGGGAGGCTGAGGTGATACTAAAAATACAAAAAAAAAATTAGCTGGGCGTTGTGGTGCATGCCTGTAATCCCAGCTACTCAGGAGGCTGAGGTACAAGAATCACTAGCATCTGGGAGGCGGAGGTTGCAGCGAGCCAAGGTTGCACCACTGCACTCCATCCTGGGCAACAGAGCGAGACTCGTCTCAAAAAAAAAAAAAAATTACTAAGGGCTGTTATTACTTTAAGTGCAATTATTAAACATTCATGAATCAAATTTGCTTCTCCTACTCCCATTCCATGTCTTATTCTGAAACATAGTGAAATGATGCTTTTATAAGTTATGTAGTATAGAGTACTACAGATGTTATTCATTTTTTGAGACAGAGTTTTGCTTTTGTCACCCAGGCTGGAGTGTAATTGCTCAATCTTGGCTCACTACAACCTCTGCCTCTCAGGTTCAAGTGATTCTCCTGCCTCAGCCTCCCGAGTAGCTGCGATTACAGGCGCCTGCCACCATGCCCCGCTAATTCTGTATTTTTAGTAGAGACAGGGTTTCACCAAGGGTTTGGCCAGGCTGGAACTCCTGACCTCAGGTGATCCACCCACCTCGGCCTCCCAAAGTGCTGGGATTACAGGCGTGAGCCACCGTGCCTCGCCAAGTTTCTTCTTTTTTTCCTTTTTTCTCCCTCTCCTCTCATAAAGGACTACAGATATGATTTCTCTACCCAAACAAAGAACAACAACAAAATCCTTCAAATTCTTTGTAGAGAGGTGTTTCCAGTGGCAGGGAATGTTCAATGCTAACAGCAAAACTTACGAGAAATTGGATGCTTGATTAATGAGGCTGCTGTAATCCTCTGGAAGGTTTATTAATTTGTTAGATTCTCTTGGATATCTGAAAAAAAGAGAAAAATTAAAGAACACTCCATTAATTTAGGTCATATTATACTATGAGGCACTTCCATGTGCACATACCTGCCTAGCCCGGGTAACATGGTATGGCCTTTCACTACTTTACCTATTGCCAAGACAAGAAATGGAGTTAAACTGAAGGGGGGATTATTTTAGACAGTTTTTTTTTTGTTTTTGTTTTTTGTTTTTTTTTTGAGACGGAGTCTAGCTCTGTGCCCAGGCTGGAGTGCAGTGGCGCAATCTTGGCTCACTGCAACCTCCGCCTCCCGGGTTCATGCTATTCTCCTGCCTCAGCCTCCCGAGTAGCTGGGACTACAGGCACCCGCCACCATGCCCAGCTAATTTTTTGTATTTTTTTTTTTTTAGTAGAGACAGGGTTTCACCGTATTAGCCAGGATGGTCTTGATCTCCTGACCTCGTGATCTGCCCGCCTCGGCCTCCCAAAATGCTGGGATTACAGGCGTGAGCCAATGTGCTCGGCTAGACAGTAGTTCTTAATCATATCAAAATCACTTGGGGGAATTTTGAGGGGACAGACATGCTAGGGCTTTAACTTTAGAGAAATTAGATTCAGTAGGTAGTGGCCTGAGTATTTTTTCAAAAGTTCCCAAGGTTATTCTGATGTATACTTCTAGTTGAGGATTACTGTTCCATTTATTAAGAGTTTTCTGACGTCAGGGTGGAATCACATGAAATTGTGATATTCAACCATTTTTGACTGATAAAAATTGACATTTCATGTGGTCCAAACTAATAAAATTGGGGTGTTATTTCTGGATGTGTAAAAGCAAACAAATAGGACAGATAATCTCTAGTCTTCTGACTTTTATGGACGATGTATTTACCAGAACTAAGAGATATGGGTTGAGTATCCCTTATCTGAGATGCTTGGGACCAGAAGTGCTTTGGGTTTTGAATTCTTTTAGAGTTTGGAATGTTTGCATTACTTCTGTTTGGATTCTGTAGTAAAGCATACTCTACCAGATAACAACAAATGCATTTCAATTGTTAATCCAGGTTGAGTATCTCTACTGTTAAAACCTGAAATCTGAAATGCTCCATAATTTGAAACTTTTTGAGTGCCAACATGATGCTTAAAGGAATGCTCATGGGGACATTCCAAATTTCAGATTTTTGGATTAGAGATGCGCAACTTGTATAGTAACAATTGAGACACATCTTGTTAGGATCTGGTAGAGCACACTTTACTATAGAATCAGAATAGAATGTAAAAAGAAATGAAGAAAAAATAATTATAAGAAATGACTGGCCATGATTTGACTGATAGTTATTGAAGGTGAATGACAAGTATGTGGAGCCTCATTATTTTACTCTTCACACTTCTGGAGAGTTTTCCCATAATGAAAGATAGAAAAAAATAGAGCTAAGAAAAACCTAGGAGACGTGTTATATTTTTTAAAGCAAATATCCTAAAATATAACTTTGTTATTTGCTTTCTCTGCCAAGAATGTAGTATATTTATGTTCATAATTCTGACTTTGATAGACTCTCATTAGATTAAGAAGAAAATATGAAGGCAACATATCTTAACCTTTTGGAATCACTAAAGGCTTGAGAAGTCAGTTTCTGAAGGAATATAGCACTTATATCCTGATTCCACCCTTTCTCCCACCTCAATAAAGTTTTTGAGGCTCTTTAACTTACCTTATAGCATCTCTTTCACCTTCTAGATATCTTTTAACTTCACTGTTACGGCACCAACTTTAATGTAAACAGAGGGGGAAAAACACAAAACACTTTTAAAGGGTTAGAACTAGAATTTTTTCCCCTCCATAGCCAATAAGAGGAAAATAATATTCTTGACCTAACATATTTACTTCATCAAAAGAAACCTGTAGAAATACTATTTTGCCTACAACTTTTAAAATCAGGAGAATATTTTCTAAAAGCAAGAATGCTTAAATATATACAATTTGTGACTATAAACATCATTATCTTACTAATTTGGATACTCTAGAAAAACTAGTCTATATTAATTTGTATTAATGCCAAGCTAACATTATCTGGAGCTAGAACATTCATATTAAAAATAAAACTTTTTTGGCCAGGTGCTCATGCCTGTAATCCCTGCACTTTCGGAGGCTGAGGCGGGAAGATTACTTGATCCCAGGAGTTTGAGACCAGCCTGGGCAATATGGCAAAAGCCCTTCTCTACTAAAAATACAAAAATTAGCTGGGTGTGGTGGCATGTGCCTGTAGTCGCAGCTACTTGGGAAGCTGAGGCAGGAGGAGTGCTTGAACCCAGGAGGATGAGCTGTGACTGTGCCAGTGCACTCAAGCCTGGGTGACAGAGTGAGACTTAAAAAAAAAAAAATTTTTTTTTTTAGTGTGGTAAAATATATATAACATAAAAATGACCATGTTAACCACTTCAAAGTCTAATGTTCTGTAGCATTAAGTACCTTCATATTGTTGTGCAACCAGCACCACCATCCATCTCCAGAACATTTTCATCTTTCCCAACTGAAACTCTGTACTCATTAAATGCAAAATTCCTTCTCCCAGCCCCTGGGAACCACCATTCTACTTTCTGTTTCTATAAATTTGACTACTCTAGGTACCTCAGTGAAGTGGAATCATACAGTATTTATCCTTTTGTGACTGGCTTATTTCACTTAGCACACGTCCTCAAGGTTCATCCACGTTGTAGCATGTGTGAGAATTTTCTTTACTTTTCTTTTTGAGACAGAGTCTTGCTCTGTCACTCAGGCTGGAGTGCAGTGGCGTAATCTTGGCTCACTGCAACCTCCGCCTCCCAGGTTCAAGTGATTCTCCTGCCTCAGCCTCCCGAGTAGCTGGGACTACAGGCGTGCACCACCACACCTGGCCTACTTTTAAGACTGAATAATAGTCCATTGTGTGTGTGTACACACCACATTTTGTGCATCCATTCATCTGTTGAACATCTGAGTTGGTTCCATTTTTTGGCTATCATGAATAATGCTGCTATAAATGTGGGTGTATAATATTGATCTGAGTTCCTGCTTTCAGTTATTTTGTAATCTGTACCTAGAAGTGGAATTGCTGAATCATAAGGTAACTTTATGTTTATCTTTTTGAGGAACTGTCATGCTGTCTTCCGTAGTGGCTCTATCATTTTCTATATCCCATGCACAAGGATACCAGTATACCAGTTTTTCCACATCCTTGTAAACATTTGTAATTTTCTTTTTTTAAAAAAGTAATAGCTCACCTAATGGGTGTGAAGTGGTATGTCAGTGTGATTTCCCCAGTGACTAGTGATGTTGAGCATCTTTTCGTATGCTTTTTTGGCTATTTATCTTCTTTGGAGAAATGCCTATTTAAGCCCTTTACCTATTTTTTAATTGGGTTTTATTTTTGTTGTTGTTGTAGGAATTCTGGATATATATAGTCTGGATTTTTTCTTTTGATACAGGGTCTTGATCTGTCATCCAGGCTGGAGTGGAATGGCATGCAGCTCACTGTAGCCTCGACCTCCAGGGCTCAAGTGATCCTCCCACTTCAGCCTCCTGACAGGTACATGTCAGCATGCCTAATGTTTAAATTTTTTGTAGAGATGGGGTTTCGCCATGTTACCCAGGCTGGTCTTTCTTTTTTTTTTTTTTTTTTTTGAGACGGAGTCTCGCTTTGTCCCCCAGGCTGGAGTGCAGTGGCATGATCTCGGCTCACTGCAAGCTCCGCCTCCCGGGTTCACGCCATTCTCCTGCCTCAGCCTCCCGAGTAGCTGGGATTACAGGCACCTACCAACACACCTGGCTAATTTTTTGTATTTTTAGTAGAGACGGGGTTTCATCGTGTTAGCCAGGATGGTCTCGATCTCCTGACCTCGTGATCCGCCCGTCTGGGCCTCCCAAAGTGCTGCGGATTACAGGCGTGAGCCACCGCGCCCCCGCCCCAGGCTGGTCTTGAACTTCTGGGCTCAAGTGATCCTCCCACTTCTGCCTCCCAAAGTGCTGGGATTACAGGGGTGAGCCACTGTGCCCGGCCTATTCTGGATGTTAATCCCTTATCAGATATGTAGTTTGCAAATATTTTCCCCCGTTTTGTGGACAGAACAGCCATATATTTAACTCAGTCACTAACTTGACATGATTGACAGGCCAATTTCTCTAGACTTCACTTTTCTCAAATATAAAGTTGAGGGTATTGGACTAGATAGCCTTAAGGGTTCTTTCAGCTTTAAAAATCTATGAAAAGCTGAGTGTGATGGCATGTGCCTGCAGTCCCAGCTACTCAGGAGGCTGAGGTGGGAGGAATGTCTCAGCCCAGGAGTTCAAAGGCAGTCTGGAAAAAATGGCAAAACCCCATCTCTTAAAAACAAAAACAAGAAAAAACCTATGGAAGAGAGTCCTTAACAAGTAAGTTCATGTAAAGAAATCAACATTTCTACCACTATTCCCCTTCCATGCAAATTTGTTTATGCTATTCACTAGCTTGGCAAAAAGTTTACTGAAAAGCCAGATCCTTAGCTAAAAAGGCCTACTCATAGGCCAGGTGCGGTGGCTCACACCTGTAATCCCAGCACTTTGGAAGGCCGAGGTGGGTGAATCATTTGAGGTCAGGAGTTCGAGACCAGCCTGACCAACATGGTGGTCAAAGAACTAGCCAGGCATGGTGGTGTATGCCTGTAACCCCAGCTACTTGGGAGGCCGAGGCAGGAGAATCCCCTGAACCCAGGAGGTGGAGGTTGCAGTGAGCCAAGATCATGCCACTGCACTCCAGCCTGGGTGACAGAGCAAGACTCAGTCTCAAAACAAAAACAAAAACAAAAACAAAACAAAACAAAACAAACAACAACAAAAGGCCCACCCATTATAGTTTGAATTATTTGTGTTGAATTCTACCAGGGTCATTACTTGAGAATTTTGCTACATATGTGATAACTAAAGTTTGGTTCCATAGAGCTATTTAATACAACAAAGAAAAGTATATAATCATTACCTTTCAATCAGTGAATTCATTATCTCACTATTTTCTTGAAAAAGGCAAATGAGGTTGTTTGGTAGGGAAAGATAGCTACATAAATGTTCAAAATGGCTTGTTCCAGGAACTGCAAATGAAGAACAAGAAAAGAGTGCATATAACAACTAAGGGCATATTCTGCATGAGAGTTAAGCAATAGCAGAGTTTAAAAAAAAAGGATGAAAGACTTCCAATTTGCCAGGTACGTAACTTGTAGGAAGTTAACAGAATGGCACATGGAAGGAATCCATGGAAAATGACGCAATGCGTCAAGTGCAGTCAGGCGACTCCTACATCAAACTGGTCCCAATGTCCTGGTGTCTCGGCTTTATCATTTGCAAAATGGTGTGCCTGCACAATCTACTGCACAGGGTTATTGTGAACATTAAATGATAAAAATGTATGGGTGCTCTGGAAAAGGATCAACCAATACAGAAATACAAGATGGTTTTACCACGAGACACAGATTTAAATACCAACTCTAATCATCACTGCAAATAATCTGGAAGACTAAACTCTTTTATATGGTTCCTAGGCAACTAGCTAAATGGAAATGCCAGTGGACAAACTTTCAGAGAGTAGCACTGCATGCAGGTACTCTACGGCCAGTGCCAGGCACTGTGGGATACAGAGATACAGTCAAGTCCACATTCATACTACTTTTATGAAATGAATCAAAACAGAACATGGAAAACAACTATGAAAGAGCAAATCAATTCCCAGATTAAAATCAGATTTATGTGCAATTATGGGTATTCTAAATTTTAATGCTATGCATGTTTCAAGTTAAAAATCACTTGAAATTGTCAGTTTTCACCTTTTCAAATCTGAGGAACCTTGTTTATGAATAATACATAACTGAACATTTTAACATCTGAAAGCAAAACTATGATCTTTACGGGAGAAGGGCTTTGCAGGTGTAAAAACATTTACACAGAAGTTTAACAGTCATTTACTGAGATCCAAATAAATGGAGACATATGCATAAACATACATTTTATGCTATAAATGTGTACATCACCATAGTCAATAAGCTATTCTTTGAACTTTTAGTCAATTTTCATTTTTGCAAGTGATCTTTATATTTGCTGGAGTAAAGGATTACTAACTCTCCCTACGTTTTGAAAGAAAGTATAAATTACCTTGAATGTCGGGTGGGGAAGGAACTCCATTTAAGTAATGAAAAAATAAAGCAGAACACTTCAGGAAAGGCATGATTCCAGCTCTGACACTCCTCCACAGATGCCAGCCGGATGGTATTTCTTTCAAGGCACTAAAAAAGAAAAAAAAGATTATTGGGAAATCTACTAAGAAAAGGTCACTGTACTTATAGTGTGAAAACAGACTTGACTGTCATTTGGAACTGATGGCATGTATGCTTAAAAGTTGTGAGTTAACAGGCAAGTGGGTGTGTGTTATTATAGGATGCCAGGTGTAAGTGGTGACACAGCCTCCAATGCTGTTATTAAATTTTTTGAGACGGAGTCTCGCTCTGTCGCCCAGGCTGGAGTGCAGTGGCACAATCTCGGCTCACTGCAAGCTCTGCCTCCTGGGTTCACGCCATTCTCCTGCCTCAGCCTCCTGAGTAGCTGGGACTACAGGTGCCTGCCACCACGCCCGGCTAATTTTTTGTATTTTTAGTAGAGACGGGGTTTCGCTGTGTTAGCCAGGATGGTCTCGATCTCCTGATCTTGTGATCTGCCCGCCTTGGCCTCCCAAAGTGCTGGGATTACAGGTGTGATGTTATTAAAATTTATAAAAGTAACATAGTGACATAAAGAGAAAATGTGGAAAATGAAAAGTTGTCCAGGCTGGACTCAAACTACTGGGCTCCAGCAATCCTCCCACCTCAGCCTCCTGAGCAGCTGGGACTACAGGCACATGCCACTGCACCCAGCTCCTAGGAGCCATATTTTAAATAGATTTATAATATTTTGGAACACATTCATCACTATATCAAACTATTCCCCTGCAAACACTTAGATTGCTTTCAATTATTTGCTAATATAAATAATATCAGAGTGTACATCTTTTTCTTTTTGAGACAGGGTCTCACTCTTTTGTCCAGTCTGGAGTGCAGTGGTGTGATGGCTCACTGCAGCCTTCACCTGCCTGGGTGATCTGACTACCTCAACCTCCTGAGAAGATAGAACCACAGGCACATGCTACCATGCCTGGCTAATTTTTGTATTTTTTGGTAGAGACAGGGTTTCACCATGTTGGCCAGGCTGGTCTCAAATGCCTGGGCTCAAGCAATCTGCCAGCCTCATTCTCCCAAAGTGCTGGGATTATAGGGGTGAGACACCGTGCCTGGCTGGAGTGTCCATCTTTATATGCCTATATGTTTTTTTTCTATATGTTGAATTATTTTGTTAATGTAGGTTCTCAGAAATGGGATAGTCAAAAAACAGACATTTTTATAGGTTCCTGACTACAGATTCTTGACATATATACTGTTGAAAGCTAAGCAAACTACTGAATTGCTATTTGTAGCAAATCATGACTCTAACCATACATGGAATTCTAATAATTTCATTTTATTCCTGCTACTACTGAATATTACCTTAAAAATAAATTATGCCAATTTAACTTGCAGTTTTAAATTCCCATTCTGAATGAGACAACATAAGTTTTAGAGTATCAACTTTCCAAAGTACATTTGATCTATCCTCTAGTCTCTGCCAGATCCCTGAGCAAATGAAGGGTTCCACAGCCAAATAAATGTGGGAAGCTCTGCATATTATCACCTTTCTCCCAGATTTCCAATTATGTTAGTATATGAATAGTTCAGAAAGGCTCTGCAGATCACTCCACGTCTTATTTTAAAAACATGTCAACAGACAACAAATTCCCCTAATTAACAAACGAATTCCTTTCTCATGCTATCATCATCTAGCAATATTTAGGGAAATGCGTTATGTAAAGATAACTAACTCACCTTCCCGTATACTGGTGAAGTGTTTTATACAAAGCAAGAACTGCTGATTCTTCTTCACAAGGGGGATTTTCTTGATCCATGCCATTCTCTTCTGAAAGATAAGGAAATACTAGTACTCTGTATTTTCCAATTAAGTGTTATCAAAAGGACTGAAGACATTAAGCATGCAAATATATTCATAAACTCACATATAACATGAAGTATTCCTAGAAAACATGCAAAATTGTAATCCCTCAAGTGGGAGCACAGTATTGATCTCAATCAAACCAAACAGCCAGCTGGCATGTTTTAAGTAAAATCAAATAAATATAGTCTTAAAGTGTATGAAAAACAAGAATTTTGAATGCAAAACGTAATTTAATGATGAATTCATGTGGGCATTAACAAACATGTAAGTTAAAACAAAATTGGCATTCTAAAACATAAGATTCTAAAAGATTTAATTACTATTCTACACAAATATTACTGAATGTATGAAATTAAAACTAGAAACATTCACATTACTAGGAAATTTTAAGAGGAGAAAGAAATGTTTCAAAACTTTTCATATGAAGATACACAGAAAAAAACAGCCTTATTCATGTGTTATTCTCATCCAAATACCTTTTCCTCTAATACTTTTTTTAAAACTCAGAAAACTCAAGTATTTCCTTCAAGAAACTGACAAAAAGGCAAGAGTTACCTGTACATGAGGTAAGTAAGATCTGTATGATGTGTGCCATAGTAACCAGATGGAAAATGTGAAGGTCTCCAGTGCCAAGGCTGATCCCTGAAAAATCCTGACACTGCAACGCAGGAAATGCAAGCACCAAGCCCACCTAGGCACCAAACACAGGACATCAGACAGATCGCCTTTCCTTTCACAGCTAAGCAAATTTCCATCTTCTTACTTTTACTTTTATTTTGATTTTTTTTTTGAGACAGAGTCTTACTCTGTTGCCCAGGCTGGAGTGCAATGGCGCAACCTCGGTTCACTGCAACATCCACCTCCTGGGTTCAAGCGATTCTCCTGCCTCAGCCTCCTGAGTAGCTGGGATTACAGGCGTGCAACATCATGCCCGACTTTTTGTATTTTTAGTAGAGATGAGGTTTTGCCACGTTGGCCAGGCTGGTCTCGAACTCCTGACCTCAGGTAATCCGCCCACCTCGGCCTCCCAAAGTGCTGGGATTACAGGCGTGAGCCACCGCGCCTGGTCACATTTCCATTTTCTTACTGTGATCCCTCCTGAGTTCAGCTCCTCCCTTTAAGAAATCTTTGTTCTTAAAGAAAGGGCATCCATGTTGGAAAATCCAATAGGACTGGCTACATGAAATGACTTGAGTTACAGGACTCTTGATGGGCACTATGATTTCATTAATCCAGTGGGTCCTCTATACATAGCTTATTGTTAACAAAAACAGTATCTGAACTCTCTCCAGGACTGTAGGCAGTTGAAAAAACATGGGTTTTGGACCCATAAATATCTAGATATGAATCCTACCTCCTCCTCTTATGAGCTGTTTTACACAAATTAATATCTCTGATCAGGCCTCAGTTTCCCTATTGGTAAACTAAAGACAATATGTTACATGTAAATTGTAGAGATGTAAGTGTGAACGTATGTAAAAGCTGGCAGGTACACAAATGCTAGCTCTGTTGGCCTCCTGCTGTCTGCATGGCAGTATAAGTGGTGGTGGTTTTAGTTGCAGCAATGAGAACAGTAATAGCCGCATTTATTAGGAATATATTGCTCTAAGTGTGTTACATGGATTAACTCACTGAGTTCTGACATAGTCATATAAAGTAGGTACTAACCAACTTAAAGGGGCAGAATCTGAGGTCCAGAGAATAAAGGCACAGCACTCGGGGCTGCTGGGTGTGGCAGTACACTCTGTACCCTGTGCAAGGGAACCCAGTTGAGGTAGGGCTGAAATTTGGCTACCCACTATTTGGACAGCTGTGTGTCTTAGCACTAGGATGTCCTGGCTCAGAGGACATACCTTTCCCTGAATTATAAGGGGCTCTCTGCTGCTAAGTAGTGTGACCACAGGGCTGTATCTGCCAGATTTTCGAAAATGTACAAAAGCACTGTATGGGCCAGCAGCAGTGCTTCTGTTGCTGTTTTTTTTTTTTTGGATGGGGTCTTGCTCTGTCATCCAGGCTGGAGTGCAGTCATGCAATCTTGGTCACTGCAACCTCCGCCTCCTGGGTTCAAGTGATTCTCCTGTCTCACTTTCCTGAGTAGCTGAGATTACAGGCATGTGCCACCACGCCCAGCTAATTTTTTGTATTTTTAGTAGAGATAGGGTTTCACCATGTTGGCAAGGCTGCTCTCAAACTCCTGACCTCAAGTGATCTGGGGTGAGCCTCGCAAAGTGCTGGGATTACAGGCATGAGTCACCACACCTGACCCGTTGCTGGTGTTTTTATCTCTTTACAGGTTAAAAGCACAGAGAGGTTAAAATACTAACCTCAGCCATAAAGCAAAATAAGAGTCAGAGGACGTCTCGATAACCAGGTCAAGTCTCTCAACTAGGTTCCTAAATATTTTCTTTTTGAGGTTTCTCATAAAAGAATTATACTCAGAAGGGGTAAGGAAATCACATAACTCCTTCCTGTCTGCCACTACACTGCTCACCAAACCTAAGGTAAAGTTACATAGTATGACGTAGAAGTCCAAACAAACTGCACAATACCCACCAATAAATGAAACATGTCAATATCTAATATGCATGGAAGTTCCTCATGGCTGTCATTAGGCACCAGTGCTACAGATTTAAAGAGAAATACATTAGCATATTTCATATGCCAACATGTTAAAATGCATATAATCTGCTTTAAATTTATCTTCTTGCAAGACACATGAGAATTTATAAGCTAGAGCTTATATATAAGAAAACCAGTACTACTAAATATTTAATTCATTACTGAGAGAAGCTGTACCATTAAAAACAAAATTTCAGAGGATGAAAAATTACAACATGTTATAAATGTATTAATACTCACATGCAAAAAGTTTACAAAAATGTCCTTGCACCACTGAAACTGATGCCACTGTCCAGTGTGCTGCGGCAAATCTCGTCAATGACCTAAGACAGTCATCCTAAAATAAACCAACGCAATTAACAAAAAACAAAAATGCAAAGCAGTTCTCTTTCAGGAATGCTAGTTCAGAGCACAGCTGGATGCACAATGAAACTGCTCTAGATGGTATGGAACTAGATCTATGACATCTCAATGACATGCCTCTAACACAGGATAAATGGAATGGGAAATGTCTAAGTGTGTGCTGAATAAATGAAATCTATCTCTTTGCCACCATGTTGCTGGTTTTCTCTGGAAAAGAAAAGAATATAGAATATACGCATCTGACAGAAAGCAAGGGACACTCCCAAGATGCCAGTGCAGGCCGGGTGTGGTGGCTCACACCTGTAATCCCAGCTACTCGAGAGGCTGAGGAAGGAGAATCACTTGAACCCTGGAGGCAGAGGTTGCAGTGAGCTGAGATCACACCACTGCACTCCAGCCTGGAAAACAGAGCGAGACTCTATCTCAAAAAACAAATAAACAAGCCAAGATGCGGATGCAGTATTTCTCTATGTTTATCCTAAACAGATACCCTAAAACACATATCTCTTATGTTTATCCTAAAGAGATCCTCTAAAATGTGGATACTCTTCCGTAAAATGTAGAGTATCCTAAAGAGATACTCCAAATATTGGGGAAACTGTCTAAGAAGATGGTGGTACAAATGAGGGTGCCTGCAGCTATTAAAAATTGTTATGAGGACTAAGTAGCAGTAATAAGAAAACTCTTGATTTAAAGAATACAGCAGAAACAAAGCTACATGTGAGTACCAATTGTAATCAAGCATAAATATGCTAATGGAAAAAGATGGGTATGTGATAAGTTGATGACTTTTTTCTTCCTGCTTGTTTTTTCATTTTCCAAATTTTCTGTAATGTTTGGTTCAATAAATATTGAGGTCCTACTATATACACTAGGTCTTGGTTCTGAAGATCTTCAAATAAAACCCATTCTCCCCCTCCTGCTCTCAAAGAGCTTAAAGTCCTGGGGTGGGAAAGGAAGAAAGTGGGGAAGGAGGCAGGCATCACAGATGAGAGGTCTCTAACTCACAGTACATGGTTCAGAGGGCTTTCTAAGGGAAGGGAAAGCTTGAACAGCATCTGAAAGAGTAGCAGTCTGCTTAGGGTACTCTAGGCAGAGGAAATGGAATGTGCAAAGGCATGGGAACTAGCATTGAGGAACTGGCAGTGATTCTACAAGTCTGGACCACAGGGGTGGGAACTGGCAGGAGGTGATAATGGAGAAATAGGTTAAGAAGTTTGTAAAAGTATGAAGAATATGAACAGGATTGCTTTTGAGGAGCCCCTCTAATAACGTATTAGAGAAGAGTGAGATTCTGGGTAAAAACTGCTATGATAATCTAGGCAAGAAATAATATGGGGCTGAACCAAACAAGTAGAAGAAGGAATGGTGAGAATTTGTCAGACTCTGCTGACCAACTGAATGTGAATGCCCAGGCTAAAAAATGTATCTAGGCCGGGAATGGTGGCTCATGCCTGCAATCTCAGCATTTTGGGAGGCCGAGATGGGCAGATCACCTGAGGTCAGGAGTTTGAGACCAGCCTGGCCAACATGGTGAAACCCCATCTCTACTAAAAACGCAAAAATTAGCTGGGCACGGTGGCATGCACCTGTAATCCCAGCTACTCGGGAGGCTGAGACAGGAGAGTCGCTTGAACCCAGGATGCAGAGGCTGCAGTGGGCCGAGATTGTGCCATTGCACTCCAGTCTGAGCAACAGAGTGAGACTCCATCTCAAAAAAAAAAGACTTCAATTTTCTGGTTTCTCCTGGATGAATAGTGGTGAAATTAACTAAAACAGGGACTATAGGAAGAAAAATTAATTTGGATTGAATTTTAGGTATGTGTAGGAGATCCAGGTTAAAAAAATAGGCAGAGATAACCTACACCTAAGATAAAGATCTGGGTTGGAGATACACAGGTGGGGATCATTTGGATATAACTGAAATCAGAGGCATAGATGGGGCTGACCAGGGAAGAGTATTAGATGGCAGAACTCTGGAGGTTTAAAAATGACAACTGCAGGATGGAGGAGGGAGAGTGGGCTGAGAGGCAGGAGCCACAGAGGCAGAAAGAAAGCCAAGAGTGTCACAGAAATTAAGGGAAAATTGAGTTTCAGAATGAAGAAGGAATGGAGAGAAATAAAAGTTTCAGAATGAGCAATTAAGTAGAGGTTTCAAAGACAAGGGCTAAAAAATGCCCACGCAAAATGATAATCAGGAGATCATTTGGTGAACTTGGAAAGAGATATTTCATAGAAGTCAGAAAGTGTTAGAAGTGGAGCCAAACTGCAGGAGTTGAAATATGAATGGTTAGCAAGAAAGTGGAGCTAGAATATACATTCTTCTGCTTCTTCTTCTTCTTTTTTTTTTTTTTAAAGATAGGATCTTGTGCTGTTGCACAGCCTAGAGTACAGGGGCACAATCATGGCTCACTGCAGCCTCAACCTCCCCAGCTCCAGTGATCTTCCCAACTCAGCCTCTTAAGTAGTTGGGACCACAGGTACATGCCACGCCACCACTCCTAGCCAATTTTAAAATTTGTGTAGAGATGAGGTCTCACTATACTGCCAGGCTGCAATTTTTTTTTTTTTTTTTTTTTGAGATGGAGTTTCACTCTTGTTGCCCAGGCTGGAGTGCAATGGCACAATCTCAGCTCACCGCAACCTCTGCCTCCCGGGTTCAAGCGATTGTCTTGCCTCTGCCTCCTGAGTAGCTGGGACTATAGGCATGCGCCACCACGCCTGGCTAATTTTGTGTTTTTAGTAGAGACGAGGTTTCTCCATGTTGGTCAGGCTGGTCTTAAACTCCCGACCTCAGGTGATCCTCCTGCCTCGGCCTCCCAAAGTGCTGGGATTACAGGCGTGGGCCACTGCGCCCGGCCTCCTGAAGTTTATTTAAAAGAAAGATTAAACCACAAACATTACTTTTTAATATCCTTACAGAAAATGGGTTTTTACTACGAAAGAAGTGAAGGTGTAAGTAACTACTGCAGGTCCATAAGATTAAAAGCAGCAGAACCACCTAATTTCCATGCCCCACTATCATGAACTGAATAAACTGAGAACTTACCAGTCTGCAAGGTAAAGGACCAAACAATGGTTTATCTTCATCACTCAAAATTCTTTCTACAGATTAAAGATGGTTAAAATGGTAAATGTTATGTTATGTATATTTTAATATAATTTTCTTAAAAAGGTTAAAAAAACCCCAATCCTACAGAAAGTACAATATTGTCAAGTTTCAGAATCTTCAAAGTCATTTCACAAGAATTAAATTTGGTTACAAAGTAAAAACGAACAGTACATTCCTTCAACTGACAAGAAGCTATAACCACCACCACCAAGAGTTCTCTGTTGCTGTGGTTAATTTATGAACTATCAATCTAGTATTTTGTCAGTACATTACATTTCTTGCTTCTAAGTCTTTTTATTATTTCTTCACGTTGTTACCCACTTCAAACATTTCATTTAAAAACAAGATTCTATGCCTAATTCATATCAATGAATGCTTGTGACTTATAGAGAAACAGCTGTAAATCTCTTACCTATGCTTTGGATGGTGTACGCGCAGCTACCCCAACACATTATGGGAACACGAGGATCCTCTTCATTGGGATGAACCTTTAGTCCCACCTTGTAGGTAGCAGTTCCAAATGTCGTTAGCATTTCTTTTATGCTCTCAGAATAAGGGATCCTGAAGTAAACATGTATAAAATTAGCTCAGAACAATGTGCACATATCAATCAAATGGTTCGGTTTCTTAACAGCTCTTTGCTATATTGAAATTGAACCACTTAACATATATCCAGAGATAATTGTATGCAGTGATCAGAGATAATGCAAACTGCCCCTGCCCAAGAGGAGTTAGACTCTTTGACTTAGCAGGGGTGAGGCACAGGGCTGAAAACAGGGTGCTGGGCACAAGCCTACACACTACACAATGAGATCCTTGACCCTGTTTCCCATCCTGAGAACATCAGCAATGTATACCCACTTCCACAGAGATTAGTTTTTCCAGTGAACAATCCTCAGGGGAAAGTTGTTTTTACACAGACATTCGGGGGTCACCAAGCAAAAGACTGGAGGTGTCCTGATCACCTTATTGTGAGGCTTACAAGTCAGCAAGCTCCAACCTGTCCACCAGGTATCCTTATGCTCATTGCCTTATGCTTAAATAGTTATCCAAGGACTAATAAACATTTAAGGAAAGCATCAAAGAGATAAACCAAAACAAAGGAGCAGAGAAACAGAACTCAGGGAAAACAGAGACAATGTAGAAAGCAAAAAAAATCATAAGAAAATTAGGTTATCAGTTCAAGAGGGGCAACAGTGAGCTAACAGAACTACCTCAAAGAAGAAAATCCAAGAGAAAATTATTTAAGAAACAACATAAAAAATTCTCAGAAATGAAGGACATGAATGTTCAGATTCAATAGGTTTACTGAACGCCTAGCAAAATGAATAAAAAAAGATTCATATACCAAGAAATATCATAGAAAATTTCGGAACACTGAAGAGATAAAGAGAGTATCTTACAGTTTTCAGAAGTAACAGAGTTACAAGCCTGGGTGCGGTGGCTCAGCATGTAATCCTAGCACTTTGGGAGGCCAGGGTGGGTGAATCACTTGAGGTCAGGAGTTCGAGACCAGCCTGGCCAACATGGTAAAACCCTGTCTCCACTAAAAATACAAAAAATGAGTGGGACATGGTGGTGCATGCCTGTAGTCCCAGCTACTTGGAAGGCTGAGGCATGAGAATCCCTTGAACCTGGGTGGCAGAGGTTGCAGTGAGCTGAGATCGTGCCACTGCACTCCATCCTGGGTGACAAGAACAACACTCTGTCTCAAAAAAGAAAAAAAAAAAGTAGTAATAGAAAATAGAAGTAATAGTATAGTAATAGAGTTATAAAGGAACCAGGCATGGTGGCTCACACTTGTAATCCCAACTACTCAGGAGGCTGAGGCGGGAGGATCGCTTGAGCCCAGGAGTTCAAGGCCAACCTGGACAACATAGAACCTGTCTCTAAAAAAGTTAAAAAAAATGAGGCTGAGTGCAGTGGCTGATGACTGTAATTGCAGCACTTTGGGAGGCCGAGGTGGGTGGATCATCTGAGGTCAGGAGTTTGAGACCAGTCTGGCCAAGATGGGGTGAAACCCTGTCTCTACTAAAAATACAAAAATTAGCCAGGTGTGGCAGCTCATGTCTGTAATCCCAGCTACTTGGGAGGCTGAGACAGGAGAATCGCTTGAATCCGGGATGCAGAGGTTGCAGTGAACTGAGATTGTGCCACTGCACTCTAGCCTGGATGACAGAGTGAGAACCTGTCTCAAAAAAACAAAAATTTACAAAGGAACAAGAATTAGAATGGGAATAATTTCTCAATGGATTAGAATTTAGTAAAATAATGCCTTCAAAATCTAGATAAAAAGTTACTTCTACCCTAGAATTCTACACCCAAACTATCAATTGAGCATATGAATAAAATAAACATATTTTCGAACATGAAAATATACCATCCAGGTATCCTTTCTTAGGAATCTGCAAAAAGAGTCAAGTACTTAAGAAAGAGGAAGATACTCAATCCAGAAAATAAGAGGAGCAGGGCCAAGAGAAGTGACAGCTGTGCCCCCTCCTGACTGTAGGAGAACAGAGGCTGTGTAGGGGAAGGAGGGACCTAGCAACAGAAGATCATCGGACAGATCTGAGCACTTAGAAAAGTTGTTAGGAGGCCAGGTGTGGTGGCTCATGCCTGTAATCCCAGCACTTTGGGAGGCTGAGGCGGGTGGATCACCTGAGGTCAGGAGTTTGAGACCAGCCTGGGCAACATGGAGAAACCCCACCTCTACTAAAAATGCAAAAATCAGTCGGGCATGGTAGTGCATGCCTGTAATCCCAGCTACTTGGGAGGCTGAGGCAGGAGAATTGTTTGAACCCGGGAGGGGAGGCTGCAGGGAGCTGAGATCACGCCACTGCACTCCAGCCTGGGTGACAGAGTGAGACTCTGTCTCAAAAAAAAAAAAAAAGAAAAAGTTGTTAGACATTGGATAGATCTACTGCACCATTCAGAAAAAAAAAAAAAAATACATAGAAAACAAGTACATGAAAAAGACAAGGTAATTATTAACTATAAGAAAGACAAAACTGAGCCTGGGCGACAGCACGAGATTCCATCTCAAAAAAAAAAAAAAAAAAAAAAAAGACAAAACTGTACAAGAAAGGAAATATAATTCTAATACGCAACTTGTATCAGCAGAAACACAGTTATTATAATGTAAAAACTGACAACTAGATTTAACCAAAAATTGTGGAATAATTTACCAGTCAACAGTGAAGATACTGTCTAATTAGAAATATGGAAGTAAACACTAGAAGTGACAAATAAAATGACAGGACTGGGGGAGTGTGGCAGACAGAAGATTGAAGTTTTTTCTTTTTCTTTTTTTTTTTTTTGAGATAGGGTCTTGGTCTGTCGCCCAGGCTGGAGAGCAGTGGCATGATCTTGGCTCATTGCAACCTCTGCCTCCCAAGTTCAAGCGATTCTCCTGCCTCAGCCCCCCAAGTAGCTGGGATTACAAGCGTGCACCACCACGCCTGGCTAATTTTTGTATTTTTAGTAGAGACAGGGTTTCATCATGTTGGCTAGACTGGTCTTGAATTCCTGACCTCAAGTGATCTGCCCGCCATGGCCTCCCAAAGTCCTGGGATTATAGGCATGATGTTTTTTTCTATTCAAGTCTTTAGGTCTGTATTTATTGAGTTACTTGGTACATGCCAGGCACAGCTTTCAGGTAGCTCTACGTACATTATGTCACTTTATCCTAATAACACCTATGAATTATCCTCACTTGACAGATGAGGGAATTGAGGTACACAGAGGTCAAGCAATTTGCCCAAAGTTGCACAGCTAATAAGTGGTGGTGCTGGGAACTGAATCAACCAGTCTAGCTCCAGAATCTATGCTATACCTTGTAACTAACTGGCTATGGGGTAAAATAGGGTGGAAAATATTCTGGTTTTAATCCTGGGTTACTAAGAGCTTGGTTAGGTCATTAATAGAAATTTTGAAGTCAGACGGAAGTGCGGGATTCATTGGGGAGGCTGAGCAGTTTGTATTTAGAATTACTGATTAGATGTTGTCAAGGAGAGCCAGGTAAAGAAAGGGGTGTGGCAGGGGTCAGCAATGCTGACTAGGAGAGGGTGGTGAGAGTTAAACATGCCACATGGTTCTTAGATTTTTTTAATGTACTGCAATAAATACCATCAAGTAATGCTTAAACTTTTTTTGTTGTTGTTGTTGAGACAGGGTCTCACTCTGTCACCCAGACTGGAATGTAGTGGTGCAATGAAGGCTCACTGCAGCCTCCACCTCTGGGGCTCACACTATCCTCCTGTCTCAGCCTCTGCTTAAACCTTACAACTAAAGATCAGTATCCTATAACATTTTGCTCCCTCACTTGCCAAATCATATTCCTCCTAACTGCTGACTTAATCATTCATTTCAAATGGGTCAAATATTAAAGGAGTAAAATAATATACTCACTTAGGACGAAAATCAGGCCTGAACCCTTCAGGGAGCTGTAATTCATCCACATTTTCTGAATTCTTTGTAGAGGCATTATCTATAGAAACAGGCATTTTATACTATTATTCAATAGATGACAATATTCCTAAAAGTACAGCCATATAGGTCAAAGAAATCAAAAACAAAAGGAAAAAAATTCCCTAATAAAAACTGGCATAACAACCATATGAAGCATGAAAACGTTATTGCTCTAGTTGACCAAGGCCCTTTCTTAACTATGCTTTTCCTTATAGTACAGCCACTAAAACAAAAACAAGAGTAGCTATTCTGTTTCTATGAAAACCAATGATATAAATCCTGTTCATACTACGTTCCCACAAGGTCATAAGTGCAGTGCATGGTCTATGAAACTTGGGAAGCCTTTGGTAATGCCAACAGTAAGGTGAGTTAGCCCACCGAGAACTAAAGCTAGCTCTGCAACACTCAGTTACATCTCCCCCACCTCCAGAAGCTCTTCAATAAAATGGGGGAATAAGTGAGAAGTGTTTATTAGAAACTTCACATGAGCTTGTGTGTTTAAGGAATAAGGAGTAATGCAGTAAAGTCAAATTTAGTTTATTAAGACAAGGAAAATTAGAATGAGTCAAAATTTTAAATGGGAGGTTTCACTTTTAAACAACTTCTTCTGGAAATACATTTTCTGATGACCTCGGACTTTAGGGAAAAATGAAAACAGGTTACCAGAACTTACTAGGAGTACTTTCTTCTTTCCTAAGAAACTGTAATGCTTTTATTTGCTGAGATATTGTTCTAATCCACTGAGTCAGATTTGGTTGGTCTGAAAAATTTAACCTGCTAGAAAAGATTATAGAGAGTATTTAGTGTTTTATTATTGTTCCTTAAGATACAAAAGACTCCTTAAATGATCACAGGCATATTTTAGACACACTCCAAATATTAAAAACAAAAAGGATAAGGGAAAATTTGTTGCATTAAAAAAAATCAGGATATTGGCCAATGGAAAGGAATATATTATTTGTCAATATGATGGTAATAACACTGTGTATTAAAAATCTCACTCTTCAGTATTGGAATTTGCTAGAATTTCTTAAGTATCATAATCACCATCACTATTAATATCTACCAAGTGCTTATTATGTTACAAGCACTTAGTAAGGAATTTTACTGTAAATATCTTATGGTATTAGACTTAATCCTCAAAATATCCCTACATTTTGTTTCAGGTTGTATTATTATTTGCATAGGTTGTATTCCTATATTTTGTAATAGGTTTTATTATTGTCCCCATTTTACAGATGAGGAAACTGAGGTTTAGAGCTATGTAACTTGACTAAGGCCGAATAAGGGACAAAGCTAGCATTCAAACTTGGCTCTGTCAGATTCCAAAGCCTGTGTTCTTTTTATGATTGTATTCGAATATGACTAAACCATAATTGAATCTCATGGGCAAAACCCAAAAATTGGACCAATAAAGTGACAGATGAAATCCAACAAGGGTGATTTCTTCTTATACACAGTTAATCCTCCATCTAACAATAATTAATTTCTTCATCAGTTCAAATGCAGATAAGTCAGTACCACGATATTCTTTTATAATTAAAAAGCATGAGCTTACACTCAAATCTACTAATATTTTAAGAACATTTTGTGGTAGCATAGACTAAGAACACCAAAGTTTGAACTCCTAAAACTGACAAGAAAAAACTGACTTTGCTTTGAACTGAATCCAAATAACACAGAAATGGATCGTTTATACTCACATAACTTAGTATTTGTGCATGCAACGTAGATAGCATAATTCTACATTGAGAAATGAAGTTCAGATTCGAAAAGCAGACATTATCAAATTCATACTCGAAATGAGTATGTCCAATACTCGTAACTAAAAGCATCCAAAAAACTGTGAAGTTACAGAAATTTTCCATTTTCTTTTCTTATTTTTTTTTAGTCTGCTAGACAAATTCTAAAAGAGCTAAAAATATGGAACACTTCATGAATTTGTGTGTCATCCTTGTGAAAGAGCCATGCTTATCTTCTCTTTATCGTTCCAATTTTAGTATATGTGCTGCTGAAGCAAGCACTTATTTTATTTTTGAGACAGGGTCTTGCTCTGTCACTCAGGCTGAAGTGCAATGGCATGATCAAAGCTCACTGCAGCCTTGACCCAAGCGAGCCTCCCACCTGAGTCTCTGAAGTAGCTGGGACTATAGGAATATGCCGCTACATCCAGCTAACTTTTTATTTTTTGTACAGACAGGGTCTCACTATGTTGCCCAGGCTGGTCTTGAACTCCTGGGCTCAAATGATCCTTTCATCTTGGCCTCTCAAAGTGCTAGGATTATAGATGTGAGCCACAACGCCCAGCTGAGATTTTTCCATTTAAAATATACCAACAGATTTTCACTTTTTTGCCTGGTTCTTAAAACTATGAATGGCCAGTACAGCAAAAAGTTTTATTCGATTTTTAGACTGTCCTATAAAGTCAGTTTGAGTTGTTCCATCTCCCTCTACCAGTTTACTGAGCATCTCTTGAAAAGTGTATGGAAGATATTAAAAGTAGGGTCCCTAGAAATAAACCAGATACTTGGTTTTCATAAATACATAGGAATTTAATAGCTTAGAAACTGTTAAATTTTCACCTGTTCCTCTCTAAAAACTAAAATCACATTCCACAGGTCTGCTAGAAGAAAATGATTAGAGTTTGGAAAGTATCTGGAAAACACTATGCAATTGCCTAGACTAAGTTTTCCTCCTTGATTTATTATTTCATTATCTTCAAAGCAAACTATTGCTTTGTAATAGTTGTCATGAGCCAAAACTTACTTGTTAAAAATATTTCTTGGAGGAAGCAGCAGAGGAATAACAGTATTACTCAAGCATTCACAAAGGGGGCAAAGGAATTCTCCGTTTTCTACATCATAGCTCGTATGTAAGCGTAATCTCTGTTGCCTTCGCTGTTCTTTAGCTTGAACGGAATCAAAATACCTTTACAATTAGAGAACATGAGGTATCAAAACAATGGTAATTTACATAAATGACAGCCATAAGCTTCAACATTTAAAATAATTTGTTTCCACAAATAGTTCAAAAATGAAAATCTTAAACTAAATTATTTTTAACATGATTTTTGAGTGATTTTAAAAATCCAAATGGATTAAAAGTTCTAAAAGAGTAAAATAAAAAAAAAGACTGCCATGTAAAAAAGCATTCACAAAGCAGCAACAAAAATTTCTTGGTGTCATTGTTCTCTTGCCACTTCCCCAAGGCTGGTGGCTATTTGTTTTTTTTTTGTTGTTGTTGTTGTTTTTGAGATGGAGTCTTGCTCTGTCGCCCAGGCTGGAGTGCAGTTGCACAATCTTGGTTCACTGCAACCTCCACCTCCCACATTCAAGCAATTCTCCTGTCTCAGCCTCCCAAGTAGCTGGGACTACAATGTGGTGGCTAGTTGTTAGGGGTAGTTCATGATAACTGGGTGAGCATAGTTCTAGAATAATAGTATTATTGATTTGTTGGTTTTGTAGAAGCATAGGAAACACCAAGGTAGAACAAATTCAGGACATCTCATCACAGGGAGCCATTACAATTTTGGGAAGTAACAAAGCAAGTACTAACATCTATGGAATCAAAAGTTGTCCACCCTGGACCCAAAGAAAGACAACATTACCCTTCTAGAGTTTATCCTACTGTAAAAACCCTTTTCTTCATCCACAGACTGATACAGATCCACTTCCTTCTTTGGAAGATATAGAAGAGACTTGGATATAAAGCTAAATTAAAAAACATATCTGACATACACTTTACATCTATGACAAGGCAAATAACTTTTGTTATTTATTAGGCAATGATACGGATTTTTTCAACATTTTTAGTTCTTTTCCTTTTTTCTAGAATGAAATTTCCTCTATTTAAAAAATATTGAGCCCTTAGATAAACTTCTCTTGACAAATATTAAGAATATACATTACCTTTGCCAACAATGGGCATGCATAATGTGCCCACAGCTACTAGTGTGTGTTCCACAAGACAGATCAGGGTGCATGAATAATGGATCATATTTTTCTGCATTACAAAACAAAACAAAACAAAACAAAAGTGAAGCATTTAATTTTCCTATAACAAATGTGTAACTTTAAATTGTAAAATCCTTGATAAAGACTTGAAATTTGAAATGAAATGCTAGTTTATTCCTCTGAGATACCAATTTATGCAACACCTTGGATTATTTAGAAAGTAGGACTCTCTAATTTTCACCACCCACAGCAAATTAATTAAACATTCTCAAATTGTTAAACTGAAATTAGAACTATGAATTTAAATATATCCAATCTTTTGAACATTTCACACTTTCAGGGTGCTGAGATATTCCAATTCCTCCCATTGTACCCTGAGCTCCAGGTAAAAGAGCTACTCTCTTCATGGGGCTGCCTTATGTGCGTTCAGGGCAGCTGGGTTAAAATGATCGCTAATAAAAAATGTTTTGGCAGTAACGGGGCGCCCCCTAGAGGACAGACTGCCTAACAACACTCATACAGCGAATAATCACATCAGAGCCAAAGTGACAACAAAAAATCTAAGCACAGACCAGATCAGATGGGGGGAAAAAAGGTAATTCAGAGTCTTCTGTCCTGGTGCTAATTTTTATATTCAAAGGGGATGAAAAATCATGAAAAACAAGATGGATGTCTGGCTTCTTTTGGAATTTTTGAATTCTTTATATAAATTAGTATAATCTTCGAAATTTCCTAACACTCTAGAAAGAACTACTTTTAATTTGCTTTAATAGTTTTAATTTGCTTTAACACTAGAACAGTGCAAATGTCAAAGCATTAAGAAAATCCACTTATAGCCAGCTAATGCTTTTTCTTCAGAAGTAATAAGTTAAATAAAATTAGCAACTTTGTCTTTGGCCTGGAATGAAATTTATAAAGCACCTAGTTTAAATATCTTTTTTTTTTTTAAGACAGTCTCGCTTTGTCGCCCAGATTGGAGTGCAGTGGCGCGATCTCGACTCACTGCAAGCTCTGCTTCCTGGGTTCACGCCATTCTCCTGCCTCAGCCTCCCGAGTAGCAGGTAACTGCCACCACGCCTGGCTAATTTTTTTTTGTATTTTTTAGTAGAGATGGGGTTTCACTGTGTTAGCCAGGATGGTCTTGATCTCCTGACCTTGTGATCTGCCTGCCTTGGCCTCCCAGAGTGCTGGGATTACAGACATGAGCCACTGCGCCTGGCCTTTTTTTTTTTTTTTAAAAACAAACAAACAAACAAACAAAAAAACCACACAGGGTCTCGCTCCGTTGCCCAGGCTGGAGGGCAGTGGTGCAATCTCGGCTCACTGCAACCTCTGCCTCCCAGGTTCAAGCAATTCTCATGCCTCAGCCTCTTGAGTAGCTGGGACTACAGGCGCGTGCCACCAAATTTGGCTAGTTTTTTTTTTGTACTATTAGTAGAGATGGGGTTTCGCCATGTTGGCCAGGCTGGTCTTGAACTCCTGACCTCAGGTGATCCACCTGCCTCGGCCTCCCAAAGTGCTGGGATTACAGGCATGAGCCACCATACCCAGCCTAAATGACCATTTTTAAAGATGAAGCAGACCAACCTTTCATAAGTAGGATGCAAAGACTTTCTTTACAGAGAGAAGGCAACTCTAAAAGTGGGCTCTCAAACCTCCTTTCACGCTGCAGTGTGAAAGGCACTGGTTAAAGCAGTGCTCTGGGAATTCCCAAGACACAGTTCCTACTCTCAAGAAGTTTACTGGGTATCGCTGAAGCACACGCACACAGAGCACAACCTACAAGCAGAGAAATAAATGTGTCTGTGGTGGACAAAATCATGTGCGGACTGGATCTCCCTGCTTTACTCCCTCAGTTGCTGAAAGAGGGCCCTCAACTGTCCTGCACGGTAATCTGTATCCCAAGAATCTGCTTTCTGGGGAACCCGATCTGTGGTGGTATTACTATTCTAAAACAATTTGGCTCAAGGATTGCCTCTTACATAGGTAACTCTCCATCACTGTTCTCAGGAGATTCCACTCAGGCTCTATCAATAAGACAAAACAATTATTATTTCAGTGTGTCAACAAATGACCAGGACTTTGCAAGTGTACTGAAGGATGGAAAAGACTGTGAAATGCCAAAGTATGTAATGTTACATCACAAAGAAAAGCTTTTCTTTGAATCCCTGCTATTTATCAGCTATGTGATTCAGGTGCAACTTTCTGGAGTGGTTCCACATCTGCCAAGTGGGGAATTCCTGCCTAAGTTACCTGCCAAAGATACCATCCAAGTCCATGGAGTTATTTTTAGGTTTAAAAAATCTCAACGTATCACCAACCACATTAACTGGCAGTTGTTATTAAAAGGGAAGATGAGGATCTAGCTATGACTTACCTGGATCTTGAATAAATTTACTTCTGTTTTTTGATAATACAGTTGATCTCTGAACAAATGCTGCCAAGACCATTGCCCTGCTTTCCACTTTAACTTCTTGCTCCTCTTGACACAATATACATGTAACGAATTGTCTTTGTTCAGGAACCTGAGTTTGTGCGGGGCCCAGTGCTGTAAGTGTCATATCTGAAGCCACAGGGCTGCAATACAAAGGTTATGAATATAATTAATGATCCCAAAACTTTCTATATAATCACAAAATAGCAGACTACAGGTATGTGTGTGTGTGTGTAGTGTGTGTGTGTGTGTGTGTGTGTGTGTGTGTGTGTGTGTGTATATATATTTATTTATTTTTTGAGACAGAGTCTTGCTCTGTCACCCAGGCTGGGGTGAGTGGCACAATCTTGGCTCACTGCAACCTCCGCCTCGCAGGTTCAAGCAATTCTCCTGACTCAGCCTCCTGAGTAGCTGGGATTATAGGCATGCACCACCACACCCGGCTAATTTTTTTTTTTTGTATTTTTAGTAGAGATGGGGTTTCACCATGTTGGTCAGGCTGGTCTCGAACTCCTCACCTTGTGATCCGCCCGCCTTGGCCTCCCGAAGTGCTGGGATTACAGGCGTGAGCCACCACGCACAGCCAGGAATGTATATATTTAACACATGGTTTTGATAACTTGGATTGTCAAGTCTTTGGTATGTATCAAAACCATCTCCTTTAATCCTCACAGTAATCTAATCTTCAACACAGATGTCATACGCTCTAGGTAACTGAGTGTAGTGTACTCATTCTTTCATGAATGTCCAAGGTCTTCTGCAGAAAATACCCTACCAGGTGTACACAGGACTTACCATACCTACATTCAGAGACTTCTAAGATTAAATCTTCTAAATGGAGGTCACAAAATTTACCTATGAATTCTACTAAATTACTTTAGGATTAAAAGTATACTTACAAGGAGAAAACGCAACACTGCCCCTAGTTGGGAAAAACTCGTCAAGACATTAATTTTTTTTTTTTTTTTTTTTACCTATGATCAAGAACAGCAGAGGTTGAGGCATCCAGTTCTAATGTCTGCTGAAAGAGTTCTTTGTTTTCATCAATAAAATGCCGCTGCATTTCAGACATCTGAGCCATGATCTTTTCTCTGCGCAGTCTGGCAATCTCTGCTTTTCTCTTCCTCTCAGCTTTGTCTTTGTCCCTTGAACTCTGAAATTATGCTCCATTCAATTAGACAATTAGATGCTAAAACGCACATTTTTTTCCAAAGCAGAAATATCTTCACTGTAAATACCAATTAAAAAACTATTCTATAATCTCACTTATTTAAATAAGAGAAAAGACTCTTAAACTGACTTGTTTTAAAGAAAAAAAGCAGACAAAAAATTGCTACAACAAATAGAGATAAATAGTGGCATATTTCTTGGAATTTAAATGTTGTGAGTAACTGGCAACTTAATGTAGATAAATTTATTTTGTTCATACTGAACTTGCTGTAATTTTTTAGTATTATCACACTTTTTACTGTTTATACCTCTTCCATTATGGTTCCTTCTGTCTCTGCCACGGGACTGGTAGGTGAACTCTCCCTCATCTTTTTAACAGCATTAAAAGTCTACAAAAAAAAAAGTATCAGTATCCTGTATGAAATATGATCACAATGTACACATAACAAATATTCAATATTTCTCACAAAAAGCAGAGGAATGTGGAAATTTTACCTTCAATATCCACCGAATCATGTCTTTGTGGACTTCTAGGTAGGGAGCATTTTGTAGTGTTTCCAGCATAGCTAGTATGCTAGGAGAATTTTTTGGCGCTTCACCAGGTTCTACGGCAGAAAAATAAAAGGCACAATAACAATAGCTAATACTTCATAGTACTTATTCCTACGCACAGGAACATAAATGCAGTTGCTTATAACACCTATTGCCCATAATTTGATTATGGCTCTACCAAAATAGAGATTTTCAATACTTCTTGAGAATGTGACATATTTGTCTTTTACAAACAAGTTGCCAACAACTAGAATTCTTTAAGGATTCAAAAGTGACTTTTTATAGCAAATGATTATTTTAACATCCCTTTAGCAAAATTACATACAAATTCAGCTAAAAATAAGTGGTGTCTCAGATTTTACAGGTCTAAAAATAAATTAGCATTAAGAGGTGCATATATGCACAAATATGTTTATTTGCTCTGACCATTGACTTTAATAAAAACTAGATTCAGAATAAAATGAATTTCTTCTCCTAGGAATTCATAGTTTGTTTATTTGAATATAAGAGTCAAGTCCATATTTTCTATTAGTCTGTAGCCAGAAAGTTCAACTATTGATTTTCTTGATTTTGGTGCTGCCATTCTGGAAAAATGTCCCTTTTTCCTAAGAGGGGAAGAGATTGACCTGTGTGATCTTTAATATTCTATCACATCTAAAACTGTGGCATGCATTAGAGATGTGACTCTAGATAAGGGAGAGGTTTCTTTGGAAATAAATCGTGTGTCTTAATTATGTAGAATGTCTAAAGACAAGTTAAGAGTAATGTTGAGGGAAAATGATGATTGTTTAATAAGGAAAGAGAAAGTAAGAGAGAACCTAATTTTTTTTTTTTTTTTTTTTGAGACAGAGTCTCACTCTGTCGCCCAGGCTGGAGTGCAGTGGTGTAATCTCGGATCACTGCAACCTCCACCTCCTGGGTTCAAGCGATTTTCCTGCCTCAGCCTCCCGAGCAGCTGGGATTATAGGCGCCCGCCACCATGCCCGGTTAATTTTTGTATTTTTGGTAGAGACAGGGTTTCGTCATGTTGGCCAGGTTGGTCTCGAACTCTTGACCTCAGGTGATTCATCCACCTTGATCTCCCAAAGTGGTGGGATTACAGGAGTGAGCCACCATGCCTGGCCAAGAACCTAATATTTTATAGTGATGAGTGAATGAAATTAGGGAGTATTCTGTGTGGTTATTCTAAAATAAACACACCAGAAACAAAGAAAGCAAAAACAACAGTATTAATCCAAAGAAAATATGGCAGAGAAAAAGAATAGGTAAAAACTGGCATCCAAGAATAAAGTCTTCAGTGGGAAAAGGTGGTTTCTCCTCTTTCTCTCATTTACTTGGATGAGGGCAAAAAGGAAAACTAGAGATCTAGCAGCAAACAAAATTACTTCCTCCTTGTCCCCTGGTAGTATAATTCTCACAGTTATCGTTTAGGAAGAAATGGCACTGAACACAGTTACAGAAATAATCCTTTTCAATCAAAGCATTTATAAACTCCTATCATAGCACCATCAATTCATTTAAAAACACTTCAGCAAATGGCTGACTACAGGTCTGTGGCAGGGAAAGTACAAGATGAGCTTGGGCATCTTTTGGGCTGGAAAGCGAGGTGGTACTCAAATACAAATGGGGCTGGGTGAAAAGGACACAGAAGCTGACTAAATAAACTCCCACTGACCAAAATGGGCATAATTTGAGCATCAAAAGGAATACCCATTATAAGTGACTATAAAACACTGAATAAAAATCCATGAATAATATTTAAAAAAACTCTAAACAAAAAACATTCAAAATTGCCACAATTGCAGGTAACTATCAGACCAATGGCTGGTTCTGAAAATTAGTAAATGAGAAGCTTTTCTTTGAGACATGAAATATTATGTCTACAACAAATGGTTCAAGAAAGTATGTAAATATAAAAGCAAATATAGCAAACTACTGAATCTAGGGAGCAGGTATATGAATGTTTACTGGACAATTCTTTCAACTTGTCTATATGTATGAAATTTTTAAAATAAAAAGCTAGAAAAACTCCCTGGCCTTCTTTTAAAAAGTCACATTTCTTTATATGAAATGACAATCTAATCCCCTATAATTTTTTTTTATTTTCAATACTGTAGAATCTTACGTCAACCACAGCTGACTGTAACTTTGAACTTAGCCCTAGATATTTTTATAAAAATGTATCAGGGTTTAATACAGTACCTTTACTACACAGATGAGTACATATAGCCTCAAATGTTTGGATTAAATATTACCCTTTTAGAATCTATATGATCAAATAAAAGAGGTTATTAAGTGATTTCTTAAAATCATTTATATCTTGAGTTAGTTTAGTAAAAAGATATATACATACTTGATATCTTCTGAGTGAAGGTAAATGTTACTACATGCTCTTCCGTGACATTCTCTAAATGTTGTTTTTCTTCTTGTAGTGCCATGCCAATTAAATGTAACACCTTGAATAAATGTTTTGTAACTTTTAGTAAAAATTTAAAAAATCAAGTACATATTTTAATAAGAAATAGGAAAAAAGAATTATTGAAAAAGATAAATCAAACTATGAAATACTAAATGCAATTAAAAACAATTTGAAGTACTAATTTTTTTTTCTTTTTTTTTTTTTTGAGATGGAGTTTTGCCCTGTCACCCAGGCTCACTGCAACCTCTGCCTCCCAGGTTCAAGTGATTCTCCTGCCTCAGCCTCCCGAGTAGCTGGGACTACAGGCGCGTGCCACCACACCCGGCTAATTTTTGTACTTTTAGTAGAGATGGGGTTTCACCATGTTGGCCAGGCTGGTCTTGAACTCCTGACCTCAAGTGATCCGCCCACCTTGGCCTCCCAAAGTGCTGGGATTAAAGGCGTGAGCCACCATGCCCGGCCTTGAAGTACTAATTTTTATTAAATGAAAAGACTGAGGTTTATTTTCTAACAAACAATTATTGTCAAGAAAAACAAAATTTTCTACTTCAATGAGGAAGAAATTTCAATTGCAAATCCTCAGGGTAAGCTAAAATTACACCAGCTGTGACCAGCAATTCACATAATATGTAAGTTTTATTCTATACCTATACTACAGACTTAAAAAAACCTTCCAAGAATTAGTGGTCAAGTAATTATAAAGCTAAACGTATCCCCCATGTAATTATCCAGTCTATGACACTACCTAATTTCTCTAAGGACTAAATCTTCATCATCTGAGAAAGACAAACTTTTATCTCTAATGCCTTATCATTTATAAACTTTATAGTTCTTCAGTGTATCTCACAAAATATTCCTGACCAGACTTCTAGAGACTGTATCAACCTATTTGTTTTTTTACTGCTCTTATCCCATGCCCAAGTTTTTTTGTTTTTTGAGACGGAGTCTCCCTCTGTTGCCCAGGCTAGAGTGCAGTGGCACAATATTGGCTCACTGCAACCTCTGCCTCCCAGTTTCCAGTGATTCTCCTGAGCCCTCCTGAGTAGCTGGGATTATAAGCATGTGCCATGACGATTGGCTAATTTTTTTATTTTTAGTAGAGATGGGGTTTTACCATGTTGTACAGGCTGGTCTTGAACTCCCGACCCCAAGTGATCTACCCGCCTTGGCCTCCCAAAGTGTTAGGATTACAGGGGTGAGCCACTGTGCCGGGCCCACACCCCAGATTTTGAAGGAGATATGTGTGTGATGTCTCTGTATCTTTCCCTTCACATGGGATGACTGTGGTTGTCAGAGACTTGGAAGAACTAGGTGACATAAAGCAAGTGTACATGTAAGGTAAATATTGTTCACACCTCTTCTCTCCATTATTTCCCACAAATCTTTTGTTCATGTAATGCTGACAGTACACGACAGCTAGTACAGCTGTACTAGTAGTGAGCTAGTACACCACAGCTCCATGCTTTTACACTTTAAATATGCTTATAGATAAATAGGAGGGCATTATAAGAATACACACATCTTAGCCAGTGAGACAAAAAGAAAGAATGATAGCTACTCAGCCTCCCGAGGAGGGCTCCAAAATTTGAATCTGAATCCTGGTTTTACTGCTTTCAAGCTATTAATATATACCCTAAGGGAACGCCTCTGAGCCCAAGTCATCATCTTTAGCCTTGGAAAAACAAAGCTTCCCTCTAGAGTTCTGAGGATTACAAATACTGTATGCAGAGTGCTTAGCATGGCCAGGCACGGTGGCTCACGCCTTGTAATCCTAGCACTTTGGGAGGCCAAGGTGAGTGGATCACCTGACGCTGGGAGTTCGAGACTAGCCTGGCCAACGTGGTGAAACCCTGTCTCTACTAAAAATACAAAAAATTAGCTGGGCTTCGTGACAGGCACCTGTACTCCCAACTACTTGGGAGGCTGAGGCAGGAGAATTGCTTGAACCCGGGAGGCAGAAGTTGCAGTGAGCCAAGATCACACCATTGTACTCCAGCCTGGGTGACAAGAGCAAAACTGTCTCAAAAAAAAAAAAAAAAAAAAAAAAAAAAGGGCTTAGCATGGAATAAGGCATAAAGTAGGCATTCTATTTAATGAATAATTGTTATATCACTTAGTAGATTAATATGGGAAGTTAATGGAACCTCATTGAAACTTGGCTTCCTCATCTAACAATGAGAAAAAAGTTGTATCTATTCATGGGGTGTTGTGTGAATTCAATGAGATAGTGTACGAACGGCTTACATTAAAACTATAAAGTAAAATACAAACAAGGGGCTGGGCATAGTGGCTCACGCATGTAATCCCAATACTTGGGGAGGCCGAGGGGGGAGGATTGCTTGAGTCTGGGAGTTTGAGACCAGCCTGGGGAACATGGCAAAACTGTTTCTACCAAAAATACAGAAATTACGCAGATGTTGTGATGCATGCCTGTAATCCCAGGTACTTGGGATACTGAGGTGGCGGGATCACTTGAACCCAGGAGGCAGAGGTTGCAGTGAGCCAAGATTGCACCACTGCACTCCAGCTTCCTGGGTGACAAAGCTAGATCCTGTCTCAAAAACACAAAAACAAAAATAACACAAACAAGGTTCCAGACTTGCCACTTAACTAGCTATAGGACCGTAAGTCTATGAGTGTCAGTTTCTTCAACTACAAAATAAGGATATGGATGATTCAAAAAAAATTTTTGTTTTGGAAAATAATTAGATTAGAAACATATATAAAAGATAACACATTATATCAATATCAGAATACTACATATATAAAGACAAGGACCAATCTAGGAGAGAACAACTGCCCAGTGGGACTGAGGTAATAACAACCATGTGGTATAAAAAAATCTGTCTGGCACTTGTTTTTACTGTCAGACACAAAAGCAGTAACAATATATTCAAGTTAGGAAAACACAATACATTTCGGCCTAGTTTTCCTGTGTATAGATACAGACAAGAATATTTTGCTTGTACTATAAAATACTAAAATATAAATAATAAATGTCTTCAAACCTACCCTTTGCAGCATGGACTCTGACCAGGCATATCCATTATGTTCCACAGCCCATTGCAGAATTGTTCCCATGATGCACAACATGACATCTGACTGCAAAATGTTAACCAGGCTTGCAAACAGAGGGCAGAATGGAGGCAACACCGGAGGTGGGAGTGCTGAAAATACAGTTGTTATTATTGGTTTCTTTTACAGAACATGCTTTAGAAACTATCTCTTTGTTACTTTTGATAGTTTTAACTCAAAGAATATTCATTAACACACACCTTAAAGCTATTATTTTACATTCTCAAGGTCAAATGCATAAAAAGAGCCACGAAAGTAGCAGCAGTACAGAAGAAAGTCTATCTTTTCCCCTAGAAAGGTCTTAAGATCTGAGATAACATCAACCCAGAGGACTTAGCACAAACTATTTCTGTGTTAACATATTTATTATTCCTCTGAATAGGAGGTTATTCACTAGGAAAGCTTACATTTAAATATTCATTCCACCAAGGACAATCATCATAGTTAACAGAAAACAATGTTTAACAAGCAAAAAAGATGGGCAAGACATTTTCAGAAAGATTAAAAATACCTGTATCTTCTCTATTTTGTCTTTTCAATTTCCGTTGCGCTTCTTCTGCCTAATAAAAAATAAAGTTATTTGGACCGGGAATTAGTAATGCCCACCACCACACCTGGTTAATTTTTATATTTTTAGTAGAGGTGGGGTTTCACTATGTTGGCCAGGCTGGTCTTGAACTCCTGACCTTGTGATCTGCCCACCTCAACCTCCCAAAGTGCTGGGATTACAGGCATGAGCCAATGTGTCTGGCCAAGGATGAACATCTAAAATCAGAAAATAACACAACAGAGGCCGGGGCGTGGCAGCTCACACCTGTAATCCCAGCACTTTGGGAGGCCAAGACAGGTGGATCACCTGAGGTCAGGAGTTCGAGAGCAGCCTGGCCAACGCGGAGAATCCCCATCTCTACTAAAAATACAAAAATTGGCTGGGCGTGGTGGCACACACCTGTAATCCTAGCTACTCAGAAGGCTGGGGCAGGATAATTGCTTGAACCTGGGAGGCAGGGGCTCTAGTGAGCCGAGGTCTGCACTCCAGCCTGGGTAACAGAGTGAGACCCTATCTCAAAAAAAATAAAAAATAAAAAAGATATCTATCTTTAAGTTCTAGTCCTCCCCCAAACGGATACATCAAGGTTAATTTTTTTTTTTAACTAAAAGAATCTCCAAACGAGTTCTCTATTACTTTAAATTAGAAGGGAAACATGTACTTAAATAAGTACAAACTTATTTAAGTTTGAACTCTATGACTTCATCAAAAACTAAATAAAAGCTTTATGTTTAAGTTTTATTTAATGCTGTTTATTGAAAAACCATTTTAAGAGGAGACTGCTAAAAGGCAGATTTTTTTTTTTTTTTTGAGATACGGTCTCACTCCCATCATCCAAGCTGGAATGCAGTGGTGCAATCATAGCTCACTGCAGTCTTGACCTCCTGGGCTCAAGTGATCCTCCTATCTCAGCCTCCTGAGTAGCTGGGACGAGAAGTGCATGACACCATGCCTGGCTAATTTTTGTATTTTTAGTAGACATGGGATTTCAACATGTTGGCCAGGCTGATCTCGAACTCCTGAGCTCAAGCGATCTGCCCGCCTCAGCCTCCCAAAGTGCTGGGATTACATGCCCCACCAAAAAGGCAAAATTTAATTACCTAGGAATGATTAGAAAAGCTCCATGAATCTCTATGAAAAAGTGTTAAATAATACCAATTCTGAAATGTGCATAAAATGGATTAACTGATTATAATACAGGTTGAAAATTTGTTTTAAAAAACTATACCCATATACGTAAAGGTATGTATTATATAGATCGTATATACATATGTACAAAACGCTAGGGGGTAACTCCAAAATGTTAGGTGAGGGTATTTTAAGTAATTTCTACTTTCTTCTTTATATTTTATATTTTCCAAATCCCCTACAATAAAAATGTATCATTTTTCAATCTGCAAAAGCAGTAAAAAAGTTGTTTAGGAAAAAAAAATTCAAGCCAGATACAGTGGTGCATGCCTGTAATCTCATCTACTCAAGAGGCTGAGGTGGGAGAATTGCTTGAGCCCAGGAGTTTGAGGTTGCAATGCTCTATAATGGCATTGTGAATAGCCACCAAACTCTAGCCTGGGCAACATGGTGAAACCTCATCTCTTAAGAAAAACAATGCAATCCTTCCCTGCTACATTTTTAATTTTCCCAATTACCTTGGACTGTTCTGCCCTTGAAAAGTGATAGAAATACAAGTTGAACTCTTTGGCACATTCTGGTTTCAGTTCATACATGCCTCGTCCTGTTAATCCAGGTTTCCTGTGAAAGAAAGGACCTTAGAATATTATTACCAAAGCCATACACTAATTTATGAGAGATAGTCTTGGATATTAGAACAAGAAAGCAGAGCTCTCATATACTGCTGGTGGGTGTTAAGCTACAACTATTTTCAGTGGGTTGATTTGGCAGTCTAAATCCGAGTTCTACATGCATCTGTTTTATTTAGCATGCCCACTTGGAATTTATCCTAACTAGACAAGTGAACGTGATGGACACTGCAGTGGCAACAATTAAAAAGTCTAATAACGTGAAATAACAAATTACAACATCTCCAAACAACTGAACACCATTAACAGTGATAATTTCTCTATTTTCACATGTAAAGACTTCCGTGTTGTTCTATTAAGCAGAAAAAAGCAGGTACACTATTGGGGTTTAGAGAACTTTCCTAAGCAAGTTATAAAACCCAGAAGCCAATTGAGACAGAGTTTTAAAAACAGAAAGTTAAAAAACAAGGGAGACTGGAAGAAAGTACTGTGATGTATTAAATAAGAATTGACATTTCTAATATATAATACTTTCGGAACAATAAGATAGGGACAAACAACCATAAAGAAAAATGCATTAAAGTATGAAAAAATAAACGGCCAATAAACACATGAAAAGAAGCTCAACTTCACTTAGAGTAACGCAAATTAAAATAAGGTACTAAAAGACTGCTCATATTAAAGTGTTGACAAAGTTGCAGGGCACTCTTTATACACTTCTAGTCAGAGTGTAAATCGAGGACTTTTTTGGGAAGGCAATTAGGAGGTATGTACCAAAATGTAATACAAGCTTTCATTTTGATCTAGCTAATCCTCAAAGAAACACTTTCACAGTCAAAGATACATTTGTTAATGCTGTATGTACAAGGATTTTCAATATTTGTTTATAAGAGAAAATCTGGAAGCTATGTATTATAGGGAAGAGGTTAGATACATTACAGTACATGACTACAAGGAAGTGAAAAAGGGCCTGGCACCATAGCTCATGCCAGTAATCTCAGCACTTTGAGAGGCCGAGGCGGGCTGGATCATCTGAAGTTAGGAGTTTGAGACCAGCCTGGTCAACATGGTGAAACCCCATGTCTACTAAAAATACAAAAATTAGCCAGGTGTGGTGGCGGGCGCCTGTAATCCCAGCTACTTGGGAGGCTGAGGCAGGAGAATTGCTTGGACCTAGGAGGCGGAGGTTGCAGTGAGCCAAGACCGTGCCACTGCACTTGAGTCTCGCTTTGTTACCCAGGCTGAAGTGAAAAAGGATGAAGTATGCCTATATGTACTGACAAAGTATATTATGTAAAAACTAAAAAAACCCAATAAAACCAACAACCCGCCCCCCCAAAGACACAAATACATGGAAACATTCCATTATTTAATTTTTAAAAAGGTTATAGAATAGTAAATACGAAATGAACCCATTTTTTGTTATAAATATGTGTTCCAAGTATAGAAAAAAAATTTAGAAAGATATACATCTAAACATAATAGAAATCATCTGAGTGGTTGGATTACAGGTAATATTTTTTCTTTGTATTTTTCCTAAAAGCAAGTATTGTCTTTATAACCAACAAAAAATAAAGACACTATCTTCAAAAATTTATAGTGGGTTAAAAAAAATGAATACATTGTCATTGGGGTAGGAAGCAAAGAAAAAACAGGCTTAAGAAACTGCTTTAATATCTTTAAGGGTATAAACCAGTTTATTGACTGGGGGAAGACTGTGGACACTGGAGAAGGTGGCATTGAGAGGCTATCCCACAATTTAGGCAGCACATTCAAATGGAAACAAAACAGTTTTAAGAAATTACAATGCATTTACTTAGATCACTGCTGAGGTTAATTTTTACTATTTGAAACCATCAGCTATGAACACCTATTCTGAATGTGACGAAAACCCTCACAATGTCACTTTACGTTGCTGAGTACAGGGTGAGATCAGAAAAGTGAAATGTCAGTGAGAAATCTAATTCAGAGCTATAATTTGAAAATGTCTGTCAATCTCTGAAAGCTGCAACTTCATTCTCAGTTGCATCAAAGAAAACACTCTAAGAAAAATGAATGTACTGGAAAAGTAAAAAAGAATGTGAAATAATAGGAAGTAAACTCACTTGAAATGGGCAACTGCTTCGATTACACTCTCCATGCCAGTCTCCTTGTTCTCCTAAAGGTACAGGACACAAGTGTGTTTCATGTTAATAATAACTACTAGCACTCTTAGCATTGTGTTTTATCTCATTGACCCTCATAACAACCTAAGGTAGATACACCTTATCTCCATTTTTACAGATGAGGATTCCATAGCAAATACAATGATTAATACAAAACTAGACATACTTACTCGGCAAGCTGATGTTTATTCAAATTGATGTATTATTTTTAAATACATAAAATAGATAAAACTTTATGATTTTTAAAAAGTCACTGCCATATAGAATCAAGGTAAGAGCTTTCTAAAGGAATTAAATGAAAACACAAAGTATATAAAACATTTAAAAAAGTTTATGTAAAATACGTCTGGTATTTTATAAAATAGTTGCACTAATTTCTTGTCTATTTTCAGTACAACAGCACTTCCCCAATCATATCTCATTCACGATAAGATATTAATAGGAATTCTGTGAATAAATAATTCTTTAAAATGTTTGGGAAATACAGTTACAATCACTTTATTTTTTATTTTTTTGAGACAGAGTCTCACATTGTTACCCAGGCTGGAGTGCAATGGCATGATCTTGGCTCACTGCAACCTCCACCTTCCAGGTCCAAGCAATTCTCCTGCCTCAGCCTACCAAGTAGCTGGGATTACAGGCGCCTGCCACCACACCTGGCTAATTTTTTTTTTTTTTTTTTTTTTTTTTTTTAGTAGCGATGGGGTTTAACTGTGTTGGCCAGGCTGGTCTTAAACTCCTGACTTCCTGATCCGCCCACCTTGGTCTCCCAAAGTGTTGGGATTACAGGCGTGAGCCACTGTGCCCGGCCGACAATCTTAAACCACTTAAAAAATGCTTTTTGAAATTTTATTGTTCCTTAAAGCTTAGGCTAAATTATAACTGCTTCCTAATTGAACAACTTGGGATTCACTTCCTGCATTAAAGCAGTACAAGTAATTTTTATCTTGACTAGATATTTAGTGACATTAAGGAATTATTCATCATTCGGCCAGGTGTGGTGGCTTATGCCTGTAATCCCAGCACTTTGGGAGGCTGAGGTGGGCAGATCACTTGAGGCCAGGAGTTCGAGACCAGCCTGGACAACATAGAGAACCCCCATCTCTACTAAAAACACAAAAATTAGCCGGGCATGGTGGCGTGCGCCTGTAATCCCAGCTACTTGGGAGGCTGAGGCATGAGAATTGCTTGAACTCGGGAGGCAGAGGTTATAGTAAGCCAAGACCATGCCATTGTACTCCAGCCTGGGTGACCAAGCCAGACTCTATCTCTCTCTCTCTCTCTCTCTCTATATATATATATAAACATATATATATAAATTATTGTTTTTAAAAGTGTGATAACATAAAGATAGGGTTTTTAAGAGTCCTCATTTTCTAGATCAGAGTTTTTCAACCTCAGCACTACTGACATTCAGATCAGATATGTTGTAGGGGGTTGTCCTGGGTATTGTAGGATGTTTAGCAGTATCCCTGGCCTCTACCCACTAGATACCAGTAGCATTCCACATCCTGCCCTGAGTAGTAACATTCACAGATGTCCCCTGGGGGGCAAAATTGTCCTCAGTTGAGAATCACTGTTTTAGATACATATAGTCCTATTTATAGATGAAATGGTAAATATAGTATTCTCTAGGAAATAATACAGTGGGGCACAGAGGTTAGTGGTTGGGTATAGATGAAACCAGACTGGCCTCTGTTGAAGCTGGTGATGGGTTTGTTATACTACATTTTTTAATCTCTATAGATGTTTGAAATATTTATAATACAAAGTTTAAAAGTATTACTATGCAACAAAGATAAGATAGGTTGAAATCTCAGAAAAATAAATGTTAATTAAGGTTGAAGGTTTTGATCTATGTTTCAAATTAGGGCAAACATTTTGAAAAGCCTCAATGAAAATAAAGTCTCTTCTCAATTATAAGGGTTGAGTTTCTGAAAAACCCCATGGCTGAAATATAGGTTGCTGGGGAACTTATCACCCCTGGAAGGAAAAACAGTTGCAATTTAACCTATGAATGTCCTTTTCACTATTATTTTGCATTCACTAAAATGAAACAAGGGCTCGTCATTAAGAAGACTCTCTGGAGGCCAAGAAGGAAAAAGCTTAGGAAAACATTATTTATTCTACTCAGTATAGGTGAGTAGGCACTTCTGACTCCCTTCCTCAATATACTAGGTTACAAAGCATTATCCACACCCATAGCAACTTTGTACTAAAGACCCTATAATGACCTCTTTCTGTGGGGTACAAACCTTAGTTCTGAGGTTTGGGCTACTTTTTGTTTAGTGTCCTTATCTTCCTCAAGGCTTTATTGTAAAAGATTCTATTACTATTCTGTTTTCTACTCCTATTCTCTTTTTCTAATTATTCATAATAAGAGTGACCGGAATTATACACATCCCATGACAATAGATTTTACAATTGTGAGAAAGGTATACAGAAGTAAATCTATAGATACTAGACTGATAGGCAGGGAAAAGTTTCTATGGTTTTCTTTTTAGAAATGTAGGTACTTACATCTTCAGGTAAAGACTTTACCAATTCACTATGAGCCATAGGCTTGATACTCAACTGATGGATAATCTCTCGCTTGATTTCATCTGTAGCATTTACCTGTCCAACTCCAGGACTAAATCTCTCTCCTGTCAAAAATGGAAAAGTACATATACATACATTTAACATAATCACAATACTTTCGTGATATATACTTATAATTCATGCAGCATGTTATATTTCTCTAAGTCTGTCTGAGCAATGGGAAAGTAATGACTGTTCTGCAATAAGCCAGGGAGAGAGCAGCTCCTGACCATGCTTCTGTGTCTCAGACCCAAAACGTGAGGGCAGGCTTTAGGTAGTGGAGAGAGCTCTTTCTGCTGTTTTGAAAGAATGGGATCAGAAATGTGGGAAGGGATTAAATGTGGTCAAGGAAACTGCATTTACCCCATTCTCCTTGTGGCAGCAAGGAGAGAGAGCCTTCCTTTCCCCTACTATCTAGTGGCAAATAAAATATCAACTTCGGAGACTTTCTTCATTGGTATCATCTCCTGACAGTAGCCAGGATTCTCTGCTCTATGGACTGCAGGGGGTCTAAAACAGTAGTAAAGGACTGAAAATATAGGTAATAAGGGAAGAAATCCACATCTATTAGCCACAGGTCTCCTTTAGCTTGGAATTATTGTATCTGAAGTCAAGAAGATACTTTTGTACCACAAACCCATGGAGAGAAACATAGTTAAGATATAAATCAAGAGTAAATAGATCTTAAATATCCTATTCCTTGATTGCTAAATTCTCCTGTCCCCCGCTCCCCCTACCACCACCTCGCAAAATACAGTCTTCCAGTTTATTCTGCTTCAGTAGTTGTATTTTCTCCTTCTTCCAAAGCACCACGGTGCTATTACTCTCAATATTACAGTAACCAGAGGGGAGAAAAAGAGAAATATTCCAATTCTCTTCCCCTAAGACTGAGCATCCTCTCAAAACAAAGGAAACACAGGCCAGAAATTCCAAACTATTTGCTACTATAAACGTCAGTGTAATTTATTAAATGCCTCAAACAATTTAAACTTACCAACAAGCATTATAATGAGGTATAGCATTTCTTCTATTAGAGTATTGTTCTGCTGAACAACATCCTATAACAAGTGAGGGAAGATAAAGTTCAGAGATAAGAATATGCATATTGCATAATCTCAGAGGATTAACATATCCAAAAAGAAGGAAAGATGCTTCTTTAGCAATGTGTTGTGGTTTCATAAAACACGTTCTTACCTTATGGGTAATCTCAGAACTAAATCTTTTTCCATAGTCTGGAGTACTGAAAATCTGATAAAGTTCAAAGCGGCTGAGCATGATCATCAGGAAATGATTTGGATCCATCATGGAGACACCTGTCTTTTTTTTTTTTTTAATGTTTGAGATAAAGGAAAAGAGGAAGGTCAAAGGGGCCACTATTGAAACAATTAGTGAGAGATAGTTTGGCTTGCCCAAGAGAAAGCAGTTTACCAATCCTAAAAGGTTCACCAATCCCAATAAAAGATGAAAACCCATTTAACCTCAATCCTTACTTGTGGTAGCAGGCAAGTGTGGAAAGGAATCTAAATTGGTAAAACAAAATACAAACAAGCCCCAAACCTAAGCCCACCCAGCACAGTAACACAGACTATGAGTTCTCTTTCCTTCTAATGCTTTAAAATAATTGTATTCCTATGAATTCAGTGCCAAAATTTTATTTTGGGGTTCTCTGATCACCGTTTGGACTTGGAAATGTGGTATATTAAGTAACCTTCTAGTATTTTAAAAATACAGATCATATTAAACTATTATCAAGATCTCCTAACCTATTTTTTTCTGGCAAGCATTATACTGACTGAAGTGACAGCTTTTAAATATTAGTTTCAATTCTCTTTTAATTCCATTTGTATAAATTATAAATAAACCTAGATTTTATTCTGAACTAATATTTTTTTGAAATATACATTTCTTGACTTTATTTTTATTTATTTATTTTTTGAGACGGAGTCTCACTCTGTCGCCCAGGTTGGAGTCCAGTGGAGTGATCTCAGCTCATTGCAACCTCCGCCTCCCAAGTTTAAGTGATTCTCCTGTCTTGGCCTCCCAAGTAGCTGGGACTACAGGCGCATGACACCATGCCAGGCTAATTTTTGTAACTTTAGTAGAGACAGGGTTTCACCATGTTGGCCAGGCTGGACTCAAACTCCTGACGTCAGGTGATCCACACGCCTCAGCCTCCCAAAAGGCTGGGATTACAGGTGTGAGCCTCTGTGCCTAGCCAGCTTTATTTTTCTATAATGACTAAATCCATTCAGCAGTATCAGAGAACAACTACTATGTGACAAGCACTATGCAAGGCAAAAGGGACAAAAAAAGAAACAAGATATAACTGCCATGGTTTGGTGGGGTGGGGGTAGGGTGCTGAAGAGTAAACAGTAATCACAGTCCAGGGTTGTGAGTGCTACGGCAGGGTTAAATACCATGCTAGGGTCCTCACAAAAGGGACACGTAGCCAAGTTTTAGTGTGTCAGGGAAGGCTTCCTGGAGGAAGTAATGCTAAAGTAAACACAAAGACAAGCAGGAAAATAAGTTAGCTACGTAAATGGAAAAAGAAGGGGTGGGTAACTTAGGGAGCAAAAGAAATAAATACGCAGAGTTTAAGATGTATGAGAATATGGCAAATTCAGGGAACTTCAATGCAGTTAAGTATCGCAGTCCTGAAAATTAGTTTAAGGGGTTTAAACTAAGAGGTTTAACATTAGTACATTAGTTAAAGAACCAGAGGACAATGAAGAAAGGATGGCTTTCAGGTATATGACTTTAGCAACTAGGTAGACTGTGGAACAATTCACCAAGGTAGGGAAGTGAAGACAGGAAGAAGGTATGGAGGAAACATGAGGAGTTATTCTGAATACGTTTAATATGAAGTGTGTCTAGGAAATATAGATGGAAATGATCTAAAGGCTGTTAGCCATATGAGTTTGGAGCTGAGGAGACAGGGCTAGGCTGGAGTTGTAGATTTGGGAGTGATCACAAGTGACTGAATTCTATGGAAATAACAAGAAGCAAAGATTCCCCACAACCTTTAAGTTCAATGCTTTTAATTCATTACCTGAAGCATTACTACATCCTTGTCAAACATCTCACGTCTGCATTTCACATTATGGTAGTAATAAATCTAAAAAAAAAAGTAATTATATTGAGTAAATAGTTTTTATTGGCTCAGGCTCTCTCTAATCCTTCCCCAAAAGCACAAGTTTGTACAAGAATGTGTGCATGTGTGTGATGTGGTTTCTCTAACAATTAACATTATCTTAGTAAAGATTAATTAATTACAGATTTTCACATTACAGTGGTCATGATATGGTTCACATTTTGCAGCTAACTTGCTGGGTTTCTGAATAAAGTAAAAGGTTGTGGTCTCAGGAAGGTTAGGAGCTACCAAACACAGGAGAAAAACAAAATCTGTTTATGGCTATACCACCCCAAATGTGCCAGATCTTGTCTGATCTTGGAAAAAAAAAAATTCATTCCAAGCCTATGTGAGGTCTATAAAAAGTAAAACCTCAATTTTACAGCTATATTAAAAGGCCTTTTATCTTTTAATTCAATTTGATTTAAATAGATAAAATCTGGGTTTTTATTTTTTAATATCCAACTTTGTCCCAAAAAATTATTTCAAGTAAAAGTCATGACCACTGTTGTTCATTTCTACTTTTTCCATTATTTCTTGACAAACTATGAATAAAAGTTTTAAGAAACTTTTTGTTTTATCATTAATCTTTTCAAACAATTTTAATATAGATACTCAGCTTTCACTGACTAAGTCCACTGAAAATTACAACCTTCACAGAAGCCAAGAATGGAATGAAAACTCTTCATAGAATTAGAAAACACTTACCTGGTTTACTAGAGAGAACCCATTTCTTCTCCACATTCCGGCATGTACTTGGGCACACAGAACAAGACATCTAAGAGGGTGTTCTATCAACATGGGTGGGCTAAGTTCACTCTATATATACAAAAAATAAAAAAACAGAAAACAAAAAAAACACACACATAAAATCAGTTCTAAAAAGAAGTTTGGTCGATAGAGATAAATGCTTTTATAAAACACAATATAAATTATTATTATTATTATTTTTTGAGACAGAGTCTCACTCTGTCACCCAGGCTTTAGTGCAGTGGTGCGATCTCGGCCTCCCAGGTTCAAGCCATTCTCCTGCCTCAGCCTCCCGAGTAGCTGGGAGTACAGGCATAAGCCAACACGCTTGGCCAATTTTTGTATTTTTAGTAGAGATGGGGACTCGCCATGTTGGCTAGGTTGGTCTTGAACTCCTGACCTCAGGTGATCCACCCACCTCAGCTTCCCAAAGTGCTGCGATTACAGGTGTGGGCCACTGTGCCTGGCCTTATTTATTTTAATTATTTTAAGATATGTTTGTGTGATGGTTAGTTTTATATATCAACTTAGCAAGGCTATGATATCCCATTTATGGTCAACACCAATCTAATGTTGCTATGAAGGTATTTTTTACACATGATTAACATTTAAATCATAGACTGGCTGAGCATGGTAGCTCGCACCTGTAATCTCAGCACTTTGGGAGGCTGAGGCAGGTGGATCACCTGAGATCACGAGTTCCAGACCAGCCTGGGCAACATGGTGAAACCCTGTCTCTACTAAAAATACAAAAATTAGCTGGGAGTGGTGGCAGGCACCTGTATTCCAGCTTCTTGGGAGGCTGAGGCAGGAGAATTCCTTAAACCATGGAGGTAGAGGTTGCAGTGAGCCAAGATTGCGCCACTGCATTCCAGCCTGGGTGACAGAGTGAGACTCTGTCTCAAAAAAATAAAAATAAAAAAAAATCATAGACTCTGAGTAAAGCAGATTACCCTCCAAACATGGGTGGGCTTCATCAGTTCAGTTGAAGGCCTTGAGAAAAGACTGACGTCCCCCATGGAAGAAGGAATTCTGCCTTTATGACAGCCACTGTACTCAAGACTGCAGCATCAACTCTTCCCTGGGTCTCTCCAGTCTGCCAGTCTGCTAGGCTCCCCTGCATATTTCAGACTTGCCAGATTTCAGCCCCCACAATTTCATGAGCCAGTTCCTTACAACAAATCTCTGTCTCTCTCTCTCTATATATGTATCTATACACACACACACACACACACACACACACACACACACACACACACACACACACCTTACTGGTTCTGTTCCTCTGGAGAACCCAAACTAAAAATGTGTTTCAAAGTGATTCCAAATACAAAGAACATAATAAATAAGTATTCACTTTTAAATGTAAGCACCACTTACTAGAGGTAGGAGCTCTGGAAATTTATATGCCACTTCACTTTTGCTTAATAATACATGTAAACCTGCATGAAAGAACAAACAAAAAACAGTATTTCTATCAGTAAAAATCATTTAGGAAAAATACCCTAAATATTCACTCAACTTTATATCTAACTTCTTTTCTCTTTGGGAACCTATCAAATTACCAATTAAGATAGAAAATGATCTATATTCATAAGAGGCTTATTATTATTATTAATTTTTTGAGACGGAGTCTCGCTCTGTCACCCGGCTGGAGTGCAGTGGCGCGATCTTGGATCACTGCAAGCTCCGCCTCCCGGGTTCACGCCATTCTCCTGCCTCAGCCTCCCGAGTAGCTGGGACCACAGGCACCCGCCACCACACCCGGCTAATAAAAGAGGCTTTTTAATGCTTCTCATGAATCTGTTATCAAAGGCACACTTAGAACTAGTCTTAGTTGTATGTACTAATACACACCAATGACATTTTAAAAGCTATCAAAACAATTTATATACATGTTATGCCAGCTTTAAGAGTTGTATTTCACTGGGCCATGGAATTTGTTCCCATTTAAAGTATAGCAGTGAGAGATCCTTCTGGCCACTGATCGGAAAAACTGGCCCTGGAATTCACGGTCCTTACTGATACTGACCTTTGAATTAAGTTCCCCAGAACTTTTGGTTTAGGATCAAAGCCTCATTAGTTTCTAACCTCAAGGGATCTTGGCTGACTGCAACCTCTGCCTCCCAGGTTCAAGCGATTCTCCTGCCTCAGCCTCCTGAGCAGAGCAGCTGGGACTACAGGTGCACTCCACCATGCCCAGCTAATTTTTTTATTTTTAGTAGAGACGGGGTTTTGCCATGTTGGCCAGGCTGGTCTCGAACTCCTGACCTCAGGTGATCTGCTGGCCTCGGCCTCCCAAAGTGCTGGGATTACAGGCATGAGCCACCACGCCCAGCCTTCAGTTCATTCTGAATGTGTTGTTTATGCTATTGCTTAAACAGAGGACACCCTTTAAAGTCTTATCAATATATAATGGCCATTTACTCAAGCCTGGTTTGAGGCTTTCTTCATCTAGGAAAACTTGCACTACTAATGCCATTCTAATAGCTTATTCTCAACATTTACTGCTCCATTTGTAAATGTTGTAAATGCTCAACATTTACAAACTCCATTAGCACTTGCTTCAAACTGTCCATGAACTGTTTTGTGTTGGTTTACTTAGATTTCCAATTAGATTATAAGCAGTTAGGCTAAGGTTTATGAAATACCATGAAATGAATACTCAAAAATATTCACACGACAGCTTTGAGGGAGGTAAAAACCTAGGCAGAAATTAGTACATTTTTAGAGCACTGACTTTTTTCACTGTAGATAACTATCAGCATCAGCTTCCTCCCATAAAATTAGACTTTTTTTTTTTGAGACAGAGTCTCACTCTGATTTTTAAAGGCAGAAGAGATCAGTGGCTCAGTTGGAGACAGGACTCATTACTCAATTTCTTGCCTTTTTTTTTTTTAAGGGCACGTGCAGGGCATGCCACGCTGCGCCTGCGTGCTACTTCCACACGCATGCCTCACTTTCTTGCCTTCTGTCCAATACTTTTCCACAACACCATGCCATCAATTGCCTGTGTTGAGGATTGACAGTTCAGTTGCTCAAAACACTTATAAAAACAAAACTGGGCCTGAACAAGTTATAGAAATAAGAGAGATTTCTTCTTACGATCATGATTTCATTCTAGGTAATGGTCTATTGTACCATTTGATATTCATATGTCTAGGAATAACAACTTTATAAGCCTCAGAGTAAGTAATTATCTTAAATTACCATGACTTCAATAATATACCCATGGCAAGGGTCTATCAGTGGGATAATGTGATAGGTCTCAGAACAATGAAAAAAAATGCCTTCAGAATGAAAGAGGAATCATTACTACTGACCCCATGTACATTAAAAGGATAATGAAGGAATATTAACAACTCTAGGCCCACAAATCTGATAACTTAGATGAAATGGATCAATTCCCTGAAAGACACAGACTACCAAAACTCACACAAGGAGAAAAAGATAACCTAAACAGGCCCGTATCTATTAAAGAAATTGAGTCAATTATTAATAACCTTCCAAAACCTAAAGCATCAGATGAGATGACTTCACTGGTGAATTCTGTCAAACATTTAAGGAAGAAATGAAACAAACTCTCTACAATCTCCTCCAGAAAAAAACAAAACAAAACAAAAAACATACCCTCACATCACATTAAGCTACTGAGCCACAAACTTAACATAAACTACATATTTTACAATGAGTAAAAATACCTTCAAAATTTCTTTCTGTTCTCTGAGTTAAAACGGAACTAAAGAAAACAACAGTGTGCGAGCAAGAAAAGAATACCTAGAATCAAGAAATATGAAAGCTGTACTGAAATGAGTCTGCAGAGATGGATAAGTGCATATTCAAAGTCTTTGGCCACATAAGATGGCAGCTTCAGACATTCTACCAATTAATTACAAGTGGCTTGTAAATCAACTACTTGAAATTAAAAGATTATCACCCCATTATGTCCTTGTTCTTGACCTGTTGCGTAAAAAGCTATCAATAAATATATGAAACAGCTCAGAGGGAGAGGAAAAAAAGGAGAATAGAAAACCTAGGGTGGCTTCAAATGATTAGCAATTGCTTAAGTGACAGATTAATTTGAATGGTAACAACATAGACTTTGAAGCTGGATTCGATGAAATGATAAAACGTGGTATCTGTAGTTGTCTAAAGAAGCACTATGGTATAACGGCTATAAACATGGCCTCTGGTGCCAAACTTCCTCATAATGCCAACTGATTCTTTCTTGTTGTGTGACTTACTAAGCAAGTCACTCTCTATGCCTCTGTCTTCCCATCTATGAAGCAAGCTTAATAATAATACCTACTTCACAGGACGATGTGATGATTGGATAAGTTAATGATGTAGAAATCACAGAATAACATCTGGCACAAAGTAAGTATTCACAGATATTAACCACAAACAACAATTTAAAAGATAATTTTAGGGTTTTATTTTAGGGGAAATGCTTTACCTGCAAGTAAGCGAGAAACTGGGAGGTGAATGCTAACTTTTTCTTGGGAAACACAGTATCTGATAGTTTCCACTGAATGTCCACAAATGCTTAGTGTGATTGGCTGTTCACCATCAGTATAACCACCATGACACTGCATCAGTACAGCGAGACATTTCTTGTAAGCTTCGATTAACACTTTTTCCTAAAAAAGAGGGTTTTTCTGTAAGTTACTCAAAAGGTTGAGTTTTTACAACATTGAATAAGCACCTTAAATTCAGTGAGTAAGTACCTCAAATAACAATATAGGCAAAACCAAACTCAATCCTCCCTCCCAAATTTGGTCCCTCTTCCAGTGTCCCTCATCTCAGTGAATGATACATTTACTCATATAGTGCAGAAATCTAGAAGTTATTCCAATACCCTCCTTTCCCCCATTCCCCATTGTCCAATCTATTACCAAGCTGGCAACTTCATCTTCTAAGTTTCTCTCAAAACTTGCTACTTTTCTCTATCTCTAGTAACTCCAAGGCATTGCCAAGCGTCTCTCTATTAAATTCCTGCTTTGACTCTTGCCCCCTTCATCCATTCTCCATACAGAGCAATTTTAAAAAACATGTAAATTGAATCATGTCACTGTATGGAAAATGGATAAAGGGGGCAAGAGTTGAAGCAGGGAATTTAATAGAGAGATGGTAATCTCTAAAGGCTTCCCACTTCAATTCAAATAAAATGCAGGCTGAGTGTGGTGGCTCACGCTGGTAATTCCAAGACTTTGGGAGGCCGAGGCAAGCAGATCGCTTGAGCCCAGGAATTCAAGACCAGCCTGGGTAACACGGCGAAGCCCTGTCTCTACAAAAAATAGAAAAATTAGCCAGGTGTGGTGGTGTGTGCCTGTTGTCCCAGCTACTTGGGAGGCTGAGGTGGGAGGATCACCTAAGCCCAGGGAGGTTGAGGCTGCAGTGAGCCGGGATTGCACCACTGCACTCTGGCCTGGGCAACAGAGTAAGCTGTGTCTCAAAAAAAAAAAAAACAAAAAAAAAAACAACCATGGCCAAGGCCCCGAAAAATCACTCCTGTGCCCAAATCTCTGTTCTCTACTTCTGTGCTCCAACCACAGACCTTTCTATAGCTCCTAGGACTACCCTAGTCCCTGTCATCACAGACTATAATGCAGCTGTCTTCTCAGTCAGGAATATCATTTACTCATTGTTCCATTAACTTTTACAGATTGTTCAGACCTTACAGAAACCTCCCTAACCTCATAATGTATACAGGCTCTCATCTAGACTTTATCGCCAAAGGAAGGCCAAAATAATTTTAAGACACAGGACAAATGTACCAATAATAAAACTTTATTTTTGAATAAATTTAGAAACTACCATTTTTATATCCTCAAAGTCTAGAAGGGATTATGGAAAAAAAACAAAGATAGTTACATTAGGGAAGAGACAATCTGGATTATTTCTTTCTCTATTTTTCAAGTTTTTCCTCAGGCTGTAGAATTTTAAAATTTTACTGAGTTTATAGGTGGAGAAGGAAAATACGCTGTTTAATGAACTAAGTATCACCACTATTTTCTCCAGATCTCCTTGAAATTTACTTAGGATTCTGCTTATTCCTCCCTCTTCCACTTTCCTCCTATTCCCCGCACCCAGAAGAAACTCACATCTGAAGCACACCAGTCCTGCATCATTGAAATGACATGTGTTAATTTCATTTGTAGTGTGAAGGCTGCTTCCCACTCTGGTTCCATTTCAATATGTTGTCCTACTTGACGTGTAATTGGATCCATTCCCTTAACGGAAGTGAAAAAATTATATATGAATGAAAATAATAGTTGTTCTTTTATATGGAAACCTAAGAAGTAATGTAGGAGAAATATATATTGATTATAAAAACATAGAAGGTATAAGTTTTAACAGGAAACTTCAAGTACTATGAGAAATAATAGCTTTTAAAATTATGTGTTTATATAACATTCTCTAAAATATAAATTTAGAAATCCCAATAAACACATTATTTCAGAGGTATCATCTAAGATCTGTTTTAGGCAATAAAATACTTCAATATTTCACTGCAATAATCCTTCCTTTTTAGCTCTATGGTCTATAGAAAAAATTGTTAAAAGAAATGTGACAAGCTTTTAAAATGTTATTGAATTTATAACTGTATTTTATAATAAAGTTTTAATATTATGTCCTAATATGCAATTAGAAGTTTTCACAGAGCCTGAAAGAAGGCAAAACAATAAATAGCTTTTAATTAAAATTACTGTTCAGAAACTAGCCTAACTATTCTAGTATGTCAGAACTTATTAAACAATAGAGAATACAGAATACTTCAAGTATCAAAAATGACCAAAGTAGCTATTGTTTTCACAGATACATGAAAAACATAGTAGTATTATAATAAACACCCATGAACTACCACCCAACCTAGGAACTAGAATGGTAAGTCAGGCCAGACATGGTGGCCCACGCCTGTAATCCCAGCACTTTGGGAGGCCGAGGCGGGTGGATCACTTGAGGTCAGGAATTCAAGACCAGCCTGGCCAACATGGCGAAACCCTGTCTCTACTAACAATACAAAAATGAGCTAGGTGTGGTGGCGTGCACCTGTAATCCCAGCTACTCGGGAGGCTGAGGCAGAAGAATTGCTTGAACCTGGGAGGCAGAGGTTGCAGTGAGCCAAGATCGCGCCACTGCACTCCCGCCTGGGCGATAGAGCAAACCTCCACCTCCAAAATAAATAAATAAATAAAAATAAATTCAAACAAATAAAAATAAAAATGGTAAGTCAACTTTGGTCATTCCTTTTCTTAAGAAAGCCAGGTGGCTACTAAAGAAATCATAATAGTACTTGCTCAGATTTTTAGAGACGTCACCTATCTTCTTACAGTTATAACTGGTTAAATATACCTGTTCGTTTCTACTTCTAGATTCTGTTTTGTATATAGGGATGTTTCCTAAAAAGAGAATTAAACAGGGGAAAAAGGTCTACACTGTATTATATAAATACCACATGAAGGAGAGAAAAAGAAACATGGAAACATTAAAAAGCAAAATCAAAAACCACTACAGTTTCTCAAATAACTTGACTATACTTCCAAGAAAGCATATTAAAAAAATAAACTTGTAACCTCTAAAGAAAGAACATTAGTGGAAACCAAAGAAATATAAAAGTGGCTGGCGCAGTGGCTCATGCCTGTAATCCCAGCACATTGGGAGGCCGAGGTGGGCGGATCACTTGAGGTCAGCAGTTTGAAATCAGCCTGGACAACTTGGTGAAACCTCGTCTCTACTAAAAATACAAAAAATAGCCAGGCATGGTGGCAGGTGCCTGTAATCCCAGCTACTCAAAAAGCTGAGGTCAGAGAATCACTTGAACCCAGGAGGCGGAGGTTGCAGTGAGCCAGGATTGTGCCATTGTACTCCAGCCTGGGCAACAGAGTGAAAAACTATGTCTCAAACAAAACAAAACAAAACAAAACAAAAAACAAACAAAAAAACAACCCCAAAAACTGGCCAGGTGCGGTGGCTCATGCCGGTAATCCCAGCACTCTGGGAGGTTGAGGTGGGTGGATCACTTGAGGTCAGGAGTTCGAGACCAGCCTGGACAACTTGGTGAAACCCTATCTCTATTAAAAATACAAAAAATTAGCTGGTGTGGTGGTGTATACCTGTAATTCCAGCTGTTTGAGAGGCTGAGGCAGGATATTCACTTGAACTCTGGAGGTGGAGATTGCAGTGAGCTGAGATTGCGCCACTGCACTCCAGCCTGGGCGACAGAGTGAGACTCCATCTCATAAACAAAACAAAACAAAAAAAACCAACACAGAAAAAACCCAAGAGCAGTAGATGCCGGAATGTTTGCTGGGATCTCCTTTGCTCCATACCTTTCTAAGAATTTCCAATTAAAGAGGAGCTTCCTGGTCAGAATTGCAGCCATCCAAATTGATCTTTTGGAAATGTGCACGAAATGAAAAGATGCGCAGACAGAAAGCTGTTCATTTCAATGAACAACAACAACAACAACAACAACAACAACAAAGAAGCTGGGCCTGGGCCCGTGCCTGCGCCTCTAGTCCCAGGCAACTTTGGAGGCTGAGGCAGGAGAACTGCCAGAGACCAGGAGTTCAAAGGTATAGTACACTATGGTTGTGTCTATGACTAGCCACTACACTCCACCCTGGGCAACACAGTGAGACCCCCATCTCTTAAAAAGAAAAAGAAAAATTAAAAAAAAAAAAAAAAAGAGAAAAGAGAAAAAAAAAAAAGGAAAAAGAAAAGTGTAACAGTTTTTACATACCTGCATACATTTTAGTAATTCCAAAAAGGCATCAAACCCTTCTAGGAACTTCTGCCTCAGCTCATCTGACCATTCAGTTGGTTTGCTAATTAACACATACCTGAACAAGATAAAAGTGACAGTGGCAATTAACATAAACATTGACTTTCTATAAATTGCAACTGGTTTAATAATTAAATGAAAACTTACTTGAGATCTAAAATAAGGCTCTGTACTCTCCTAAATTTGAAGGCTTGTAAAGCAGTGTATCGTTCAAACTGAAATCTGCCCTGGGCATCTCGATGTCTCAAATGATCCATAAAAGTCTTAATGATAATGCTCATTAAGTTTTCTTCTGTGATGAGCATTCGAGCCTAAAAACAAAGTTTATCAGAGTGCATGGTAATCAAAAACTATGTACTAGGAAGACTAAAAAAAAAGTCACCAACATTGTTTAGCTCCTTCAGTTTAAACCTTTTTCAACACAACTATATATCATAAATGCATTACTGTGTATTTCTAAATAACAATTACTTACTCCAATTGCCATGTGTATGAAGCAACAATTATACCAGATGCCAGAAAGATGCCAGAATGTTAGAAGACAGTTCCAAGGCTCATTACTCAAAGATAAATTCAGGGTGGGGGCTCTGAATCAGGCTGCAAATTTTCCTTAACTGAGACATTTAGACACCTATAATGGTATGGTATAGTTATTCTAGGATCCAGAGGTTTACGACACAGATTCTCTAGAACTCAGTATGAAACAATATTTTCTCTTTATTTCCTTAGTTGAGATTTATTTTTTGTTTGTGTGTGTGTGCATGTGTGTACATATATATATATATATATATATTTTTTTTTTTTTTAAATAAGCAAATACATGTAAATCATACTAAATGCAACAGGGAGTCTCCTAGCTCCTGAGGTCTTCTTTCTAAAGGCAAATCTTGTTAATCGTAGTTCCTTGCATATTCTTGCAGAGATGGTATATGTATGTGTATTTTATATATATATAATTACAGAACCTGTATTTATATATATATATATATATATATATATATAAAATCAGAGTATATACTACATAATACACACACATATATAAAATGTATAAATACATAAAGTGTGTATTAAGTATACACAAGTATGTATATCTATCTTTTTCCTACAAAAGATAGCATATTATATTGTTTTGTACATTTTTTTACTTGATATGGGACAATGTCCCATATCAGTTCATACAAATGCTCGTCATTCTTTTTAACCAGGTCTACTTTTGTATCAGATTTTATTTAGCCAAGCTTTTACTGGTCAGACATTTGGGTTGTTTCCAGTTTTATGCTATTAAAAAAGATGTTGCAACAAATATCCACTGTGTATAGTTGTAGGAATATTTATAGAGTAATTTCCTAAAAGTGGAAGTAATCGGTTAAAGAGTATGCACATAATAAATTTTAATGATATCACCAAATTGTTTCCACAAAGAGGCTCAACAATTTCTCTTTCTACCTACAATGTGGGCCATGCCCTCTCATGCCCTCCATAACACAATATAACTTCAAACATTTTGCTCTTTGCCATTTTGATGGTGTTAATCTCTGCCCTAATAGAGTCAGAAAGTCTAATGTTACTTTGAATACTTCATTTTGCACTCTGATACAAAAGATCATGGATCCTCACCCTGACATTTTCCAGCCTCAACAGCTAATCTCTCCTAGGATTCTAGAGTGTTATTGATGCTGGGTGACAACTTAAACAGGCCTCGCATAAGTCAAGATTAGGTAATTAGCAACAGAAAAAGTTTCATCAAAACGTAGAACAAGGCCAGGTGCAGTAGCTCACGTCTGTAACGCCAGCACTTTGGGAGGCTGAGGCAGGCGGATTATTTGAGCCCAGTTCGAGACCAGCCTGGGCAACACAGTGAAACCCTGTCTCTATAAAAAATAAAACAATTAGCTGGGTGTGGTGGCATGTACCTGTATTCCCAGCTACCTGGGAGGCTGAGGTGGGAAAATCACCTGAGCCTGGGAGGTCAAGGCTGCAGTGAGCCATGATCACGCCACTCCAGCCTGGGCGACAGAGTGAGACCCTGTCTTAAAAACAAAAAACAAAAAAACCCCAAATAAGCAGAAACAAAAATGCAGAAGACAGAAGTCTAAGAATATATTAAAACTGTATTCTAATATAGATGTTAAATTCTAAAGTCAGCAGATAAGTAGAAAATCTGTAAATATAAAACTGAGTTTGAAAACTTCAGGACTTAAAGCAGGCAGTAAGAGGAAGTTTGGTGGAGAGACGATATTGTTAGAATGTAAACCCCCACCAAACCAAGGCACTTACTAGCATTTTTAGTTTCAGGTGAATGTTAACAGAGATGGTTCACATACTGCACAATTTTGGATTAGATTCTAATTGTCTTTAGGGGTATCAAAAAAAAAAAATAGGCTGGGTGCAGTGGCTTATGCCTGTTATCCCAGCAAGGGAGGCCGAGGTGGGTGGATCACCTAAGGTCAGGAGTTCGAGACTAGCTTGGCCAACATGGTGAAACCATATCTCTACTAAAAAACACAAAAATTAGCTGGGCGTGGTGGTGGGCTCCTGTAATCCCAGCTACTCGGGAGGCTGAGACAGGAGAACCGCTTGAACTCAGGAGGCAGAGGTTGCAGTGAACCGAGATCATGCCATTGCACTCCAGCCTAGGCGACAGAGCAAGACTCTCTCAATTAAAAAAAAAAAAAAAGTAAATAATAATAGAGTGGTTCATTACTACTACTACTACTACTACTACTACTGCTACTGCTACTACTACTACTGCTACTACTACTACGATGGTTCATTACTAATGTCCCATTAAAACAGGAAGTAGCTGGCCACAGTGGCTCCTGTCTATAGTTCCAGCTACTTGTGAGGCTGAGGTTGAGGACTGCTTGAGCTCAGGATTTCGAGGCCAGCCTGGGCAACACAGCAAGGCCTTGACTCGTAAAAACAAACGAAAACCCCAAAAACCAAAACCAAAACAAAAACCAGGGGAGTTATTCAGGCATTTCTACTTCTAAAAGATAACAAAAGAAGCACATATTTCAAAGTTACAAACAGAAAAGAAAAATAAAAGACCTTAGGTTCTCAGCTTTATCACCTTATGCTAAGAAATTGTTGCTAACCTTTCAAAGTAATTTTCAACATTAAATACCAGACATTATTTGGTATTTAGTCTTGGTATATATTTCTTGTACTTAACACTTACCCTAAAAAATTATATATATTTTTTTGAGACAGAGTTTTGCTTTGTCACCCAGGCTGGAGTGCAGTGGCATAATCTTGGCTCACTGCAATCTCCTCCTCCAGGGTTCAAGTAATCCTCCCACCTCAGCCTCCTAAGTAGCTAGGATTACAGGTGTGTGCCACCACGCTTGGCTAATTTTTTACCTATATTTAGTAGAGACAGGGTTTCACCAAGTTGTCTAGGCTGATCTTGAAGTCTTGACCTCAAGTGATCTGCCTGCCTCGGCCTCCCAAAGTGCTGGGATTACAGGTGTGCGCCACTGTGCCTGGCCTTTCTTAATTTTTATGCCTACAATTCACTTTGCTTTAAAAAGCATTACCACTATCAGCCGGGCACAGTGGCTCACGCCTGTAATCTGAGCACTTTGGGAGGCTGAGGTGGGCGGATCACTTGAGGTCAGGAGTTCCAGACCTGTCTGGCCAACATGGCGAAACCCCCTCTCTACTAAAAATTAAAAAATTACCCGGGCATGGTGGCGGGCACCTATAATCCCAGCTACTAGGGAAGCTGAGGCTGGAGAACTGCTTGAACCCAGGAGGCGGAGGTTGCAGTGAGCCCAGATCATGCCACTGCACTCCAGCGTGGATGACAAGAGCGAAACTCTATCTCAAAACAAAAACAAAAACAAAAAAACCCCTGATTATATTACAGTTTTTATTCATTTTATATGATTCATATTCAATTTTGCATTGCAAGGCTCATTACCTATTTAACAGCATATTCAAAATGGGCCAAATTCTCCCGTAAGACTCTGAAAAATACAACTGAATAATAATAATCATCTATGCTTATACTTTTAAACTAAACATGCCATAGCATACAGGGATAATGCTGACTGAACACATATTTAATAAATTAGAACAACTATCATACTCTAATCACTTGAATTATAAGCACTATTTTTTTTTTTTTTTTTTTTTGAGTCAGAGCCTCACTCTGTCGCTCAGGCTAGAGTGCAGTGGCATGATCTTGGCTCACTGCAACCTCCACCTCACAGGTTCAAGCAATTCTCCTCTCTCAGCCACCTGAGTAGCTAGGATTACCAGCACCTGCCACCATGCCCAGCTAATTTTTTGTATTTTTAGAAGAGACGGGGTTTCACCATGTTGGCCAGGCTGGTCTCGAACTCCTGACCTCAAGTGATCCTCCCACCTTTGCCTCCCAAAGTGCTGGGATTACAGGCATGAGCCACTGTGCCTGGCCAGTACTGGGTCTTGACCAAACTAAAAATGAAGACTGTGTTAATTGTAAGGTAATTGTGATTCAAAAGGTACCACTGCTGTAAAACATTCCACTAATATCTAGGGCAAGTTATTTTTAACCAGGGATGTGCATAATAATTATTAACAGAGTTTTGTTTTTTTTTTAAAGAACTATAAAAGTATTCTTTCAGTCATGATGAAGTAGCTTGAGGATGACCAACATTTCCAACAAGAACAACTAGAAACGCTTAATAAAAGTAAAAAAAAGTTTGAAATCACTAGAGAGCTGCTGAGACAAGGACTCCAGGAGATAAAACCAGGGAGAAAGGGAACTGCACAAGGAGGTGAGCCAGCATTCTGCAGCTGCTTTTCCCTCAGCATTTGTCTATTCTGGGAGTGGGGTAAGAGGGGATTTAAGATCCCAAGAAAAAAACAAAGCTACCTTTGCAAAAACTGTTAACAGTGAGAAAATTATGACAACGAAAGAGATCTGACCTAATTGACTTCATCTTGCCTTTAATCTCCAAAACTGCCCTTATTCATTCCTGGGTGCAGGCCAAACTAACTTTGGGAGGAATGTGGTTTACAGTTTAACTTTAAAACAAAGACTTTAAAGACTTTAAAACAAAGGCTGGGTGTGGTGGCTCATGCCTGTAATGCTAGTACTTTGGGAGGCTGGGGTGGGAGGATCATTTGAGCCCAGGAGTTCAAGACCAGCCCAGGCAACATAGCAAGACATTGTCTCTACTAAAAATAAGAGATAAAAAAAAAAACTTAGCCAGGTGTGTAGTGGCGCACACTTGTAGTCCCAGCTACTCAGGAAACTGAGGCAGGAGGTTGGCTTGAATTTGGGTGGTCGAGGCTGCAGTGGGCCACGATTGCACCACTGCACTCTAGCCTGGGCAACAGAGCGAGACCCTGACTCAAAAAACAAAACAAACCAAAAAAACAAACAAAGACGGTAATAGACTCTCCCTGAAACAAACTCCCTCCTTGCTTGGGAACCAGACTGCGTTTGTAAAACCAACAAATTAGCCACTAGATTAGAAATTATGGCTCAGAAGTCATGTAGCCAGAGGCCACAATATCACTAACCTCCCCCACTTGCTCCTACAGATAACATTACTATTGTAAAACCTAAGATTGGTGTTTGAGGTATTTTTCAGACCCTGCATACTGAAGGACCTGCTGGAGACACCCAGACTGGTAAACTGGCTTATCTGGTCTTATGGCCCCCACCTAGGAACTGACTCAGCACAAGTGGACAGTTTCAACTCCCTGTGATTCCACCCTGGACCCAACCAATCAGCATCCCCTATTTCCTAGCCCCCTGCCCTCCAAACCTAGGCTCTAAATTGTTGGGGTGGCTGATTTGAGTAATAATAAAGCTTTGGTCTCCCACTTGGCCAGCTCTCTGTGTACTAAACTCTTTCTCTATTGCAATTCCCTCGTCTTCATAAATCGGCTCTATCTGGGCAGCGAGCAAGGTAACCCATTGTGTGGTTACAAAATATGTACAGAACTGCTATTATTAGGGAGAAAAACTTGCTGAGACTATAGCAGTCCCAGGGTGTTGGAGAGGCCAGAATCCCAGTAAGAAAAAGAGCAGGGGGAACTGAGTTCAACGTTCTTCCAGTTTTTCCTTAAAGACATTTACAAAATTCTAAAGTTATATAAGGAAGCAAGATTAGTGTACAAGTTCCTATAGAGTGAACAAACTCGAATTCTAGGGAAGAACTCCAGGCTCTCGATTGAGAACCCCTAGGGAGTTATGTGTCAGGGGTGGGGATGAAGCAGAAGTAAGACTGAGTCTTGTCAAAACAACATGGAGACACTTAAATCCTTGACTGGACTAAAGTGATCCACCTCACTCTATCAGCTGAAGAGAACTCGAATATGCCACCCCAAAATATGCCACTTTGGCATAAGGATTATTTTGAGCGAAGGCAACTGAGGACAGCAGACACAAGAGAAGCCGTAAAAAGAGAGCATACATTTCCCTTCTGTAAAGTGTCCTCTCACTTTCCAGGAAGGCAAGGGGCATCCTTTATTACCTAAGTTCATTTGAACTTGCAAAACAAACCTTTCTAAACAACCCTCATTTGCCACAAACAAGACTGTGACATGCAGTTAAAATTATGCTTAGATGGAAACCTAAGCCTTAAATCATCAGAAAAGAAGGCTGAAAGTAAATGATCTAATAATCTATAAAGAAATTACATTGGTGGTCACGAAAGAAAAGAAACTACGCAAGAATGGCAAAATCTAAAGAAAACACAAAAAAGGAAAGAATAAAACAAAGCAAATGTATAAAAGGGGAAAAATAAGGCAGCTCACGGTGGCTCACGCCTGTAATCCCAGCACTTTGGGAGGCTGAGGCAGGCAGATCACGAGGTCAGGAGATCGAGACCATCCTGGCTAACATGGTGAAACCCCGGCTCTACTAAAAATACAAAAAAAATAGCCAGGCATGGTGGCGGGTGCCTGTAGTCCCAGCTACTTGGGAGGCTGAGGCAGGAGAATGGCGTGAACCCGGGAGGCGGAGCATGCAGTGAGCCGAGATCGCACCACTGCACTCCAACCTGGGCGACAGAGCGAGACTCCGCCTCAAAAAAAAAAAAAGGGGGGAAAAATAAATCAACGCAACTAAAGGTTGGTTCTTTGAAAAAACTAATAAACACATACATCTCTAGGCTGGGCATGGTGGCTCATGTCTGTAATCCAGCACTTTGGGAGGTTGAGGTAGGCAGATCACATGAGGCCAGGAGCTTGAGACCAGCCTGGCCAAGATGGCAAAACTCCATCTCTACTGAAAATACAAAAATTAGCCGAGTGTGGTGGTGCATGCCTGTAGTCCCAGCTACTTGGGAGACTGAGACACCAGAATTGCTTGAACCTGGGAGGTAGAGATTGCAGTGAGCTGAAATCATGCCACTGCACTCCAGCTTGGGTGACAAAGTGAGACCCTGTCCTAAAAAAAGAGTATACATCCTTAGAAAGACTGGTAAGAAAAACAGAAAAATTTAAATTTAAAAAAGGATTACAAAAAATACTACAAAACCTATAGATCTGAAATGTATTAAATAGAAAATAAGACAAATATTAGGTGTCATTTAAATCAATGTAATTGGAAATTTAAATGAAATTAGCAAAGTCCCAAGAAAAAACATGTTATTAGAAGGGAAACAAGAAACAGGAAATCTGAATAGTCCTATTAAAAATTTTAACTGGCTATAAAATCATTTCCAGAAAGAAATCTTGAGGCCCAAATGGTTACACTGGAGAATTCTTCCAAATATTTAAGTGAGTAAAGTGCCTTTGCAAAATTATGACAATAAGAGAAATCTGATATAATTGACTCCATCTTGCTTCTAACCTCCAAGCTGTCCTTGGTCATTCTGGGGTGTAGGCCAAACTAACTTTGGGAGAAATTTAATTTGTAGTTTAACCTTAAAGCAAGGAAGATAATAGCCCTTTCCAAAAGGAAACTGCCTTTATAAAACTAATGAAAGTCCACAAGGTTAAGATGATGAAAGGGGCCTGAATTATGCTAAGATGTAAGTTAAATGATAACCAGCAATCACAAGATTTGTAACTTCCACAATTACTCCTATAGATAACAACACTATTGTAGAACCTAAGAGTGGCCTTTTTGAGATGCCTTTTCAGACTTTGCATTACTTGTGATCCATAATTCAACCAGTCCTTTGACCCTCAGCCACAAGTGGACTCAGCACACACCCTAATGATGCTCTCCTCAACCAATCAGCATCACCTACTCCCTAGTTTTCTGCTCACCAAATTATACTTGAAAACCCCTAACCTCCAAGCCTTCAGGGGGAGATTTTGAGTAAAAACTCTGTCTCCCATGTTGTGTGGCCAGCCTCCTGTCAATTTAACTCTTTCTGTACTGCAATGCCGTGGTCTCAGTGAATTGATTTTATCTGTACAGTGGGCAGAAAGAATCTGTTGGGCAATTACAAAAGCAATAAGGAGTAAGTGGTTCACACCTGTAATCCCAACACTTTGGTAGGCCGAGGTGGAAGGATCACTTGAGGTCAGGAGTTCAAGACTAGCCTGGGCAACAAAGCAACACCCCCCCCACCAACTCAACAAACACTAAAAAAAAAAAAAAAATTAGCCAAGTGTGGTAGTGCATGCCTGTACTCCCAGCTACTTGGGAGGCTGAGGTGGATCACTTGCACACAGGAGGTTGAGGCTGCAGTGAGCTGAGATCGCACCACTGCACTCTGGCCTGGGTGCTAGAGTGAGAATTGGTCTCAAAAAACAAACAAAACAAAACAAAACAAACAAACAAAAAAAGAGCAATACCTATCTTACATAAAATTTTCCAGAAAACAGAATATACTTGCCAATGTAATTAATGAGTCCTCTTTAATCTTAATACCAAAACCCCAAAAGGCTATAACAAGGAAAGAAAATTATCACTTAATCTCTCTCACAAATAAGGGTGCACAAATAGAATCAAGCAATATAGAAAAAGGATAATATACCACAACCAAGTTTGGTTTATTTCCTTAAAGCAAAAGTAATAAAACATTTGAAAAAAAATTAAATAACCTTATTAACAGACAAAGGGAGAAAAAAACCACTTGATCATACCATCCAATGCCTCTCCTGAAATTCATGAAAATTAAACACATATTCATGATTTAACATAAACAAAAACCAGCCGGGTGCAGTGGCTCACGCCTGTAATCCCAGCACTTGGGGAGGCTGAGGAGGGTGGATCACGAGGTCAGGAGTTCAAGACCAGCCTGACCAACGTGGTGAAACCCCGTCTCTACTAAAAATATAAAAATTAGCTGGGCGTGGTGGTGTGCACCTGTAATCCCAGCTACTCAGGAGGCTGAGGCAGAAGAATCGCTTGAACCCGGAAGGCGGAGGTTGTAGTGAGCTGAGATCACACCACTGCACTCCAGCCTGCGCGACAGAGTGAGGCTCCGTCTCAAAAAAAACCCAAAACCAAACAAACAAAAACCAAGTTGGGCTCAGTGGTGCATGCCTATAGTCCCAGGTACTCGGGAGACTGAGATGGGAGGATTGCTTGAGCCCAGGAATTTGAGGGCAGGCTGGGCAACATCACAAGGCTCCCTCTCTTAAACAACACTACCATCTTAGAGCAAACTAGGAATAGAGAAAATTTCTCTAATCTGATAAAAGAGTATCTATAAACAATCAAACAAAAACCAAGCAAACAAAACTCCAAAGCAAAACATCATACTTTACGGTAAAATATTAAAAGTTTTCCCCCTGAGATCAGATATGAGACAAAGATTTCTGCTTTTATCTACCACTTGTATTTAACACTGTAGTTGAGGTCCCAGCCAGTATAATAAAGAAAATGAAATAAAATATATAAATATTCAAAATAAGAACTAAAACTGCTGTTATTCATGAATGACAAGTGATATGATTATGTACACAGAAAAATCCAAAAGAATCTGCAAACTGGCTGGGCACAGTGGCTCATGCCTGTAATCCCAGTACTTTGGGAGGCTGAGGCAGGATGATAGCTTGAGCCCAGGAGTTTGAGACTGGCCTGAGCATCACAGACCCCATCTTAAAAAAAAAAAAAATCTATAAACCATTAGAATAAATGAATGTGGAAAAAGTGGCTGGATACATGGCTGATATACACAAATGAATGTATTTCTATAAGCAAATACAAAGTAAAGTTAAAAAAAATTTCCCATAGAATCAAAAGCCAAAAACAGGCCAGGTGCGGTGGCTCAGGCTTGTAATCCCAGCACTTTGGGAGGCCGAGGTGGGCAGATAACCTGAGGTCAGGAGTTTGAGACCAGTCTGGCTAACATGGTGAAACACCATCTCTATGAAAAGTACAAAAAAACTAGCCAGGTGTGGTGGCACGCACCTGTAATCCCAGCTACTTGGGAGGCTGAGGCAGAAGAATCACTTTAACCTAGGAGGCGGAGGCTGCAGTGAACTGAGATTGCACCACTGCACTCCAGCGTGGGGAACAGAGTGAGGTTCTGTCTCAAAAAAAAAAAAAACCCACCAAAAAACCCAAAAACAATGTCTCCCCTCCCCCCAAAACCAAACCAAACACCTAGAAATAAATCTAACAAAAGAAGAATGGGGGCCAGGCGCAGTGGCTCACGCCTGTAATCCCAGCACTTTGGGACGCTGAGATGGGTGGATCACCTGAGGTCAGGAGTTCGACACCAGCCTGACCAATATGGTGAAACCCTGTCTCTACTAAAAATACAAAAATTAGCCAGGCGTGGTGGCAGCAGGTGTCTGTAATCCCAGCTACTCGGGAGGCTAAGACAGGAGAATTGCTTGAACCTGGGAGGCAGAGGTTGCAGTGAGCCAAGATTGTGCCACTGTGCTCTAGCCTGGGTGACAGAGCAAGACTCCATCTCAAAAAGAAAAAAAAGAAGAGTGGGAAGCCCTCTATAATGACAACTATAAAGTATTGAAAGAAATTTTTTTAAAAAACTAAATGAATGAAGGAATACATCAAGTTCACAGGGCAGAAGACTCAATATTGTAAAGATACCAATTCTTCCTAAACTGAAGGAGAGATTAATTTCAATCTCAATCAAAATATATGAAGGCTTCTTCGTGTGTATGGAAGCTGATATGCTGAATCTAAATTCATACAGAAATACAAAGGATTAAGAATGGCCAAGGCTGGCCTGGCGCGGTGGCTCACGCCTGTAATCTCAGCACTTTGGGAGCTGAGGGGGATGGATCACCTGAGGTCAGGAGTTCAAGACCAGCCTGACCAACATGGCAAAACCCCATCTCTACTAAAAATACAAAATTAGCCAGGTGTGGTGGCGCATGCCTATAATCCCAGCTACTTGGGAGGCTGAGGCAGGAGAATTGCTTGAACCCGGGAGGCGGAGGTTGCAGTGAGCCGAGATCACACCATTGCACTCCAGCCTGGGCAACAACAATGAAACTCCATCTCAAAAAAACAAACAAACAAAAAAAGAATGGCCAAGGCACTCTGAGGAATAAAGCTGGAAGATTTAACTATCAGATACTGAGACTCACAAAACTACTATAATTAAGGCAGTGTAGCTGGGGCACAAAGATAGACAAGACAGACACACACATATAAAGGTCTTGATTTATGACAAAGGTGCCCCTGAAATGCAACAGGTGAAAAAGTATCTTCAATAAACACTTCTGGGTTAATTGAATAACTATGTAGGGGGAAAAATCAAGACCTTACTTCTTAGATACACAAAAATGAATTATAGATGGATTGGGAATTTAAATGGGAAAGGCAGCTTTTAGAAAACGTGGGAGAATATCTTTGTGACCTTGGGATACACAAAGATTGTTTAAACAATATACAAAAAGTACGGCCGGGTGCGGTGGATCACCTGAGGTCAGAAGTTTGAGACCAGTCTGTCCAACATAGTGAAACCCCGTCTCTACTAAAAATACAAACAAACAAACAAACAAACAAAATAGCCAGGTATGGTCACACACGCCTGTAGCCCCAGCTACTCAGGAGGCCGAGGAAGGAGAATCGCTTGAACCCGGGAGGCAGAGGTTGCAGTGAGTGGAGATCACGCCACTGCACTACAGCCTGGGTGACAGAGCGAGACTCCGTCTAAAAAACAAACAAACAAACAAAATTAGTACATGTTATAATTATGAATTCTGGCTCATTAAGAGACACCTGGCTGGGTGCAGTGGCTCATGCCCGTAATCCCAGCACTTTGAGAGGCTGAGGCAGGCGGATCACTTGAGGCTAGGAGTTTGAGACCAGCCTGGCCAACATAGTGAAACCCCATCTCTATTATAAATACAAAAACTTAGCTGGGCACGCATGTAGTCCCAGCTACTCAGGAGGCTGAGGTTGCACTGACCCGAGATCATGCCACTGCACTCCAGCCTGGGGGACAGTGAGACTCTGTCTTAAAAAAAAACAAAAACAAAAACAAAAAAAAAAAACAACACTTAATATTCAGGAAGTAAACAAGAGTGGAAAAAATATTTGTAGTATATATACCCAACAAAGAATATGTATGCAGAATCTATGAAAAACTCTGACAAATCAGTAAGAAAAAGGCAGACAACTCAATAGATAATCAAAGGACAACTTTAACAGGGATTCACAAAGGAGTATATCCAAATGCCAATAAACATATAAAAAGGAATTCAGCTTCATCATCATCAGAAGAATGCAAATTAAAACCATAATGAGAAACCACTATGTCCCACTAGAATAGATAAAATCTTAAAAGACTGGTAAAACCAAGTGTTGGTGAGGATGTGGAGCAACTATCACTTTCATACGTTATTAACAGAAGCATGAATTGGTTTAACCATTATGGAAAAGAGTCTGGTAGAACCTATTTAATCTGAATACATACATATCCAGATAGACCAGACAGATATAAGATGGACATATAAAAATCAGTAGTTTTCCTAAATACTACCATAGCCTGTTTAAAAATATAAAAAGTTTACTACAGCATCAAAAATATAAAAAGTTTACTACAGCATCAAAAATATAAACCATATAAGCTTAATTTAAAAATGTTAAGACTAGCTGGGTGTGGTGGCATGCATCTGTGGTCCCAGCTACTTGGGAGGCTGAGACAGGAGGATTGCCTAAGCCCAGGTGGTCAAAGCTGCAGTGAGCTGTGATCGTGCCACCTCACTCCAGCCTGAGTGACAGAGCAAGAACTTTTTTTTTTTGGATACCGAATCTCGCTCTGTCGCCCAGGCTGGAGTGCAATGGCTTGATCTCAGCTCACTGCAACCTCCGCCTCTTGGGTTCAAGTGATTCTTCTGCCTCAGCCTCAGGCGTGCGCCACCACGCCTGGCTAATTTTTCTATTTTTAGTAGAGATGGGGTTTCACCATGTTGGCCAGGCTGGTCTCAGACTCCTAAGCTCAGGTGATCCACCTGCCTTGGCTAGGATTACAGAGGTGAGCCACTGCGCCCAGCAGAGATAGAGAACTAAAAAAAAAAAATATATATATATATATATATATATATATATATATATATATATGTTCATAACGAGAGAACTATGAAGTTTTTACTAAGAACATAAAATAACATTTGAATAAACAAGGACAAATTATATTCCTAGTTGGGATATTCAATATTGCAAAGATGTTAGTGCTTCCTAAATTAATCTACAAATATAAGGTCTTTTCAGTCAAAATTCTAATGTGGTTTTTGGTAACTGACAATCTGATTTTACTTCATCTTTTTGAAAAAGGCCTAAGAATAAGCGAAAACATTTTGGAAAATAATAATGAAAGGAGATTTAAGCTATCAAATGAAATGGGATTTAAGATGTCAAAATGGGATATTAAGCTATAAATAATTATTACAACTGTGGTACTGGCATGGAAATGGTTCAATGAAGGAGGGAAGCACAGATATGAATACACACAGGATCATCTCAGAGGCTTCTGGAACTCAACCCTGACTAAACTAAAAGCATCACTTTCCCTCTTTACAAATGCTAATCATTCAGCAAGTGGCACAGCATCTACTCAGCTGCAAGCCAGATGCTTGCGAATCATCCTTATGCTTCTTCAAACCCGACATCCAGTTCGTCAGCAAGTCCAACAACCCTCAAACCCACTTGGCCGGTTCTGTAGATTTCACCACCTAAAAATATCCCCCATGATTCATATCCACTTTCAGCATCCCAGTTCGAGTTACCATCAATTTTTCCCTGGGTCATTGCTTTAGCATCTGATTAGGTTTCCCACACTCACTTTTATCCTCGTCCAATTTGTTCTCCAAATTACAGACAGCATGATCTTTTAAAATCACAAATGTAATTATGTAAATACCACTTAAAATTCTTTAATGCCTTCTCATGTTTTTAAGACAAAATGCAAAAATCCTTAATTTGGCCTATCATACTAGCTCATTAATGGGTAAACAGACTCCAGTCAGCTTCCACTGTATTAGAATATATCCTTTAACATAAAAGTAATATGGTGAAAAATTCAGTTATTTTTAATATGCCTTATTAATAAAGTAACTATAAAATGCTCTTAAACCTATACAATTTCACTCCAGGTTCAAGGATCTTCAAGTGTCCTGGTTTTCCTCTATTTGCCAAGAGGTAATGCTCCACCCTACTCCTCCAGGTTTTCTCAACTGCTCATTCCTTTGTATGGACCTTCCCTCATGCCCTTGCATAAAGGCACCTTTCTTAGAAAAGCCCTGAAGTGTGGGAAAAGGACAGGTCTCTTGTTATTTTCTCTCAAACCAACGGAATTTTCATTGTGATTCTGATTATTTATGTGAGTCTTTCCCACTATGGTAAGTTTGATGAGGGAAGGGTCACATTTGTTATTGTTTACTGTTACATTCTCAAAGTCTAGAACTGTGCCCAATAAATAGGTGTTTCTTAAATTTGCTGAACAAATTAAATATGAATTTTAATTATGTATATAGCGTTAAAACATAACGATGCCTTTATGGGCAACTCGTGAAGCTCAGTAAAAGACCATCCAATCATCAGGATTCAATTGCCTTAGCTACATCTCCCCTTTTGGGAGGGAGGTGGGAGGAGGACTTCTCAAATTGTGAGACGGTGTACAATATGCTGTCTAATTCTAACGTGAAGGATAATTTGTGAAATCAATCGGCTTAATGTGAACTAATCAGTTCAAAATCTCAGGGAAGTACTATGAAAAATTGTAGATTGTTTCCCTCTCCTTTACTCTGAAGAGAAAGTATAAATTAAGTTTAAATGACTTCCCCCCTACCAGATGACTTTGATATTCAAGGTTATATTCTAGTAAAAGAATAGTGAAGGTGTTTGAAGTCTGATTACCCATTAATAAAATACTATTCTTTTCAGGAATATACAGACTTTAGTTCTCTATTATTTTAAGGCCTCTGTTAATGGAAAACAAGAAAGTTCTTCTAGTCTTTCAGTACTTACAAGTGAAGGAACCGTGAATATCTGAACCGAGAGGTCTGCGACTGAAAACTCTCTGTCGTGGTCATCTGTCACATAATCACTCTGCAAACGCTCATAGTTCTATTAAGAAGGCAAAAAAAGGCAAGGAGTGCCAGCTATCAGTTACAAAGAAAAGGCAAGCACTACTCACCAGAGTAGGTGCGGTGAAGAACTGGACAGATAGAGCAGTCACCGACACTGCTCGCTCGTGATCATCCTCCATAAAATCTCTCTGCAACTGCTGGTAATTCTAAACAACAAGGGGGAGATTCACCTCTAATCCACAATGACCAAATGTTTAAGGATTATAATGAAAAGTCAGTGCTGGAGGAAGTCAAGAAGATAACACTGCTATGAGAACAATAACTGGAATGATTTCTACCAATAGAATCCTGTATAGATATTGATTCACTATGGAAACTGTGGAATCCTGTATAAATATCGATTCTTTCTTCTGGAGCACAATGGCAGTTTACCAGCCCAAATAGGCAGTAACAGCTACTAAGCTCCCAAGATGTCATTGTATGCTGGTGGAGCTAAACCACAGCAGCATTACACTGTTTCTGATGAAATCAGACTTTCATTACTTCTGCATCATATCAGAATCATCTGATGACTCTTCCAAAGCATACATGCTTGGGCCGCCATTCTTGGTGAATCTGTTTCAGTAGATTTGAGAATGGAACACAACACATGTATTTTGAAAGAGCTCTCCAAGTGATTCTCATATACTTCGTAATTCAGGTGAATGCAAAAAAATAAGTGGTTAGCTTATGCACATGCTGCTAAAAGGGAGAACTTAACTATATTAATAACCTAGAGTTCTGAAGAGACCTTGTTTCTTAAAAAAAAAAAAAGCAAAATACATGTTTTCCTTAGCATGAAATATTTGCAATCTATTTATAAAATCAAAGTTTTCTAAATATAATTTTCTAACAAAATATACAGGCTATTTAATTTGGATCATGCCCCCCCTCCAAAAAAAAATCTATTTTTTTTTAAAGACTAAGACTGCAATGCTAATTTTAAAATGCACAAATATATTTATTAAATCATATTCATATATATGTCATTTAAACTGAGATTAGTTTCCTTATATGAATTTTAATAGAAAAAAATACCATAATTCACAATGGCATAGGTTTAAACTCTTCATTTATTATTTCATAAACATTGTATAATAGATACTCATGTTATAGGAGGTGATGAACAAGGAGTCTCACGGCTAAAATTTTATTCTATTGATAAAGAATGAAAAGATTATTTATGAAGTTTCTTAGAATTTAATATCAACACATTGACATATTACTATTAGATGTTAATTTTTTGAAGCCTAGATATAATTATGGGCATAGTTACTCTATATATAACCTATTTTCAAAATTGAAAAGCCACTTACTTTTGCAAATCGAACAGCAAATAGTTTCTTGTATTTCAAATCCATAAGCAGACTGCTCATGAACAACTGATGATATACACTCCTAGCACCTTGTAGAAAAAGATCACGGTATAAGATAAGGACACGCCCAACAATTACATTTCTCAAGTGTTATGTGATCCACAGTGGGTTTTTTTTGTTTTGTTTTGTTTTTACTTTTGAGACAGTGTCTTGCTGTGTTGCCCAGGCTGGTCTTAACTCCTGGGCTCACGCGATCCTCCTGCCTTGGCCTCCCACAGTGCTGGCATTACAAATGTGAACCACCATGCCCAGCCAACACAGCATTTTTTTTTTTTTTTAGGGTCTTGCTTTGTTGCCCAGGCTGAACTCAAACTCCTAGCTCAAGTGATCCTCTTGCCTCAGCCTCCTGTGTAGCTGAGACTACAGGCACACACCACTGAGACTGGCTTGTATTTTAAGTCTCAAAAACAAAGAAAGCCATACATGGTGGTATGTACATGTAGTCCCAGCTACTAGGGAGGCTGAGAAGGGAGGATTGCTTGAGTCCAAGAGTTGGAGGCTGCAGTGATCAATGATCATGCCACTGCACTCCTGTTGCCTGGGCAACAGAGTGAGATCCTGTCCCTTCAAAAAAGGAGCAAAATACATATTTTCCTTAGCACAAAATATTTGCAATTTGTTTATAAAACCAAGTTTTCTAAACATAATTCTGTAACAAAATATAAAGTCCATTTAAGTTGGATCATGGACCCCACCCCACCAAATCTATATTTTTCAAAGACTAAGACTGCAATGCTAATTTTAAGAAGCACAAATATATGTATTAAATATCTTCCCAAATGATAAAAACCTTTCACATCCCAATTACTTATATAGGTTCCTCTACACCTTAAAAGTAGTTAAGAGATTCACCTTTCCATAATTTGGAATCACTAAGCATCAGTCTGTCCACTAGAGAAGAGTTTTCACCATCTGGCCCTTCTTGTAAACCAACTTGACATAAAATCCGGCGAAGGCCATCTTTAAATAGAAGGAAAGGTAGAATGAGATAGCAACTTCAAATATTAAAATAGTGACATTTTAGTAGATGTTCAAATGGATCTGTAGAGTTTTAAATGTTTTCTTAAAGTTCAAATTTATTCAGAAAAGGCAAACATATTAACTGTTTTATTAATATTTTAACAAAAAGGAAATAAATTTCAAATCTCACATCACACACCATTACTCCTGAAAGTCAAAATATATGCCTATCATAAAGGCAATAACCTCTTGTGCTTTAATGAATTTAATTAAAGAGAAAAACATCCAAAAAACCACTTAATATTGTTCTTCAAGCACTTATGCTAATTAAACCAGATTACAGTGAAAGTGTTATACATTCCATAATTGAAATATAAAATGTGCTACCATTTAAAAGGAGGAATGCATGACTTCTGCATTATAATATATAGCAATGCATTTTATTAATGCTACAGAAAAAATTCTTCATTCATTAAACAAAAACTTATTGTGGACTTGGCATGTGAGACCCTGGAAAACATATTACTACAACCTTTTAAATGTAAACTTCAGAAACGTTCTTCAAATATTAATATAAGCATTAAAATAACCAAAGCTTTAACACTTATTTGTTCCATACATATATATGTACGTACATACATATATATGTACGTACGTACATACATACGTATGTATGTACGTACATACATATATACACACATACACACATATATACACACATACATACACACATACACATATACACATATATACATACCCATATACGCACATATATGTACATGCATACATATATATGTACGTGTGTGTGTATATATATGTGCGCGCGTGTGTGTGTGTGTGTGTGTGTGTGTGTATATATATATAGTTTTTTTTTTTTTTTTTTTTTTTTTTTTGGAGACAGAGTCTTACTCTGTCACCCAGGCTGCAGTGCGGTGATGTGATCTTGGCTCACTGCAACCTCTGCCTCCTGGGTTCACGCAATTCCTGTGCCTCAGCCTCCCAAGTACCTGGGATTACAGGCATGCACCACCACGCCTGGCTAATTTTTGTATTTTTAGTACAGACGGGGTTTCACACCATGTTGGCCAGGCTGGTCTTGAACTCTTGGGCTCAAGTGACCCACTTGCCTTAGCCTCTCAAAGTGCTGGGATTACCAGCATGAGCCACTGCACCTGGCCCCATACTTCATAATTTAAATCACTGTTTTCATCTTTTTCAAGCATGCAAAATTAAAAAAAAAATGGAATAACTTTCAATTATAAAAGCTGTCAAACAGAAATCCTTTAAAAGGCTAAAGACCTATGTAAGTATTAAATAGCAATATATAAATTATTAATGATTAATATCTCAAAGAAAATTTTCAGCAGGACATTACTTCCATTATACTCTTCAGTAATACTGTAGCACAACACTTGGCATGCAGGTATCCAATGGAAAACACCAAAATAAAGAACATAGGACTAAGAAAAATAACTGTAAAGATATTTATTTTCTTTTAAAAAAAATTTTAGATAGAGATGGGGTCTCCCTATATTACCCAGGCTGGTCTATGAACTCCTGGGCTCGAGGGATCGTCCCACCACAGCCTCCCAGAGTGTTATGACTAGAGGAGTGGGCCACCGTGTCAGCCTGGAAAGATAACTTTTAAATTATCTTTTAAAGTAAACGCGTTCTCTTAATCTTCCACACCTTCATATTTTCAACTCTCAGTTCTGTGTAGTAATGCTCTTTTCTAAAAGCCCTTCAATACAAATGTATTCAAATTTTTCTTTACAGTAAACATCTGAATGTCACTTATCCACAGTGTTGCCTGAAGAATAGCATAACAGCTTATATCTATCCCTGTTTTACCCTTTAGTGTTACACACCAGGCTTGTATTTTTGGTTGCAGATGTGAGGATTCTTAATTCTTACCATTACATAAAGAGAAAAATGACCGAATTTCTAGACTCTGGAATTTTTTTTTTTTTGAAACAGAGTTTCACTCTTTTGCCCAGGCTGGAGCAAAGTGGCGTGATGTTGGCTCACTGCAACCTCTGCTTCCTGGGTTCAAGTGATTCTCCTGCCTCAGCCTCCTGAGTAGCTGGGATTACAGGAACATGCCACCACGCCTGGCTAATTTTTGTATTTTTAGTAGAGATGAGGTTTTGCCATGTTGGTCAGGCTGGTCTTGAACTCCTGACCTCAGGTTATCCACCCACCTTGGCCTCCCAAAGTGCTAGGATTACAGGCATGAGCCATGGCACCTGGCCAAAAATTTTTTAAAAACGCAAATTGGTAACTTCCAATTTACAAATTTTCAGTGTTGCAAATTATTGGTAACCAAAGTTGTTGGAGTCAAATCACATAAATCAACATTAGTGTTTTATCGTTTAAACAGCTAATCACTTAGGTTTTTATTTACAGCAGCATTTTTCCAGCTTACTCAGTAGAAGAGTTCTGCAAAATGCTCCACTAAAAAAAGTTTAAAAAAAAATTGTTTGTGAAATGTACATTGCATTGCATTAGCATATTAATGTCCTTTACAATTGTTTAAACCAATGTTTCCTGAATTTATTTGAATAGAGAATCCTTTGTGTGCATATAAAAAATATCCAGTATGACCAAATTTGTTAAACATAGGTTTTCTTCTATGCATAAAGATATTTTGAAATGGTATTTTAAAATGTAAAATTAAAGCAGGAAATTATTCCAGTTGATAGTTTTCCCAAAACAGTTTTGCAACAGCATATTGAGCTCATTTTTAATAGACAATTGGCATGAACTTTTATGAACCTACCTGAATATCCAATAATACTTCCCAGCCAAGACAAAAGTTTCAAACCAAAATTCTGATGTGCGACAATAGACGAATGCATAACTTGAACTTTGAGTGGCTTTGTCTGTCTACTGGTATTTCTCTTAAAAAGAAATGGCAAGATTTAAAAATTAACTTAAAAAGCTATTCTATTGGCAGAACAAAGTTATTATTTTTACTTAATATAACCACACTATCATCATCATAGGAGACTTTTTCATGGATGTAAGAAAAACACCATTCTCCTTGCCTTACTTGATTCAGATCCTAATTTTCTAGAGGAAATCTTAGGATTCATACAAAAAAATACGAAGGTTCAGCTAGTTTATGAGTAATCTGAATCTTTTTTTTTTTTTTTTCTTTTTTTGAGGTGGAGTCTCGCTCTGTCACCCAGGCTGGAGTGCAGTGGAGCAATCTCGGCTCACCGCAACCTCCACCTCTTGGGTCCAAGTGATTCTTCTGCCCTCAGCCTCCCAAGGAGCTGGGACTACAGACATGCGCCACGACGCCTGGCTAACTGTTGTATTTTTAGTAGAGACAGGGTTTCACTATGTTAGCCAGGCTGGTCTTGAACTCCTGACCTCAAGTGATCCACCTGCCTCAGTCTCCCAAAGCACTGGGATTACAGGTGTGAGCCACTGCGCCTGACCAGTAATCTGAATCTTTAGTCCTATATTTGAAAATCTGCTGTACCAATAATAAATGATTTAAATGTTTTAGCTTGCTTTATGTCTTTAATTTCTCAATATAATTATGTACTTATTTAAATAATTTATTGCATAGATGTGATGTTATCAACTTTTTTTTTTTTTTTGAGATGGAGTCTAGCTCTGTCACCAGGCTGGAGTGCAGTAGCACAATCTCTGCTCACTGTAACCTCTGCCTCCCAGTTTCAAGCAATTCTCCTGCCTCAGCTTCCCGAGTAGCTGGGACTACAGGCATGCGCCACCACGTTTGGCTAATTTTTGTATTTTTAGTAGAAACAGGGTTTCACCATGTTGGCCAGGATGGTCTCGATCTCTTGATCTCGTGATCCCCCCACCTCGGCCTCCCAAAGTGCTGGGATTACAGGCGTGAGCCACCGCGCCCAGCCCATGTTATCAACTTTTTTTTTTTTTTTTAAATCATGGCTGGGCACGGTAGCTCACACCTGTAATCCCAGCACTTTGGAAGGCTGAGGCAGGCGGATCACCTGAGGTCAGGAGTTCGAGACCAGCCTCACCAACATGGTGAAACCCCGTCTCTACTAAAAATACAAAAATTAGCCGAGCGTGGTGGAGCATGCCTGTAATCCCAGCTACTTAGGAGGCTGAGGCAGGAGAATCGCTTCAACCTGGGAGGTGAAGGTTGCGGTGAGCTGAGATCGCGCCATTGCACTCCAACCTGAGCAACAAGAGCAAAACTCCGTCTCAAAAAAAAAAAAAAGGTAAAATACATATAAAACTTTCATCTTAGCCATTTTTACGTGTACAGTTCAGTATTGTTAAGTACATTCATACTGTTGTGAAACTAGTCCCCAGAATTCTGTATCTTGCAAAAGTGAAACTCGCCATAATACCTAATAAAGAGCAAGTCCCTGCTACTTTCTTCCCCTAGCACCTAGCAACCACCATCTGTCTCTTTCTGTTTCTATGGATATGACAATGCTAGGTAGGTCATATAAGTAGAATCATATGCTATTTATCTTTTTGTTACCGGCTTATTTCACTTAGCATAATGTTCTCAAGATCCATTCATGTTGTAGCATGTATCAGAACTTCCTTCCTTTTTAAGACTGAGTAATGTACCATTGCATGTATATACCACATTTTGTTTCTCCATTCCTTCATTAGCAGACACTTGGGTTGCTGCTACCTTTTGGCTATTGTGAATTATGATGCTTGAACGGGGGTGTAAAATATCTCTTTGAAACCTGTTTTCAATTATTTTGCATATATACCTAGAAGCAAAATTGCTGGATCACATGGTAATTCTATTTTTAATGTTTTGAGGAATTGCTGGACTGTTTCCCACAGTGGCTATACCATTTTACCTTCCTACCAGTAGTGCACAAAGGTTTTAATTTCTCCATATCCTTGCCAACACTTTTTTTCCCTTAGAGACGGAGTCTTGCTATGTTGCCCAGAGGCTATTCACAGGTACCATGATCACATACTACAGCCTTGAACTCCTGGGCTCAAGCAATCCTCCTGCCTCAGCCTCCAGAGTAGCTGAGACTATAGGTGCATGCCTATCCATTTTTATTTATATATTTATTTATTTTTTTGACAGAAGCCATCCTAATAGGTGTGAGGTGGTATCTTAACTGCTTGTGTATCTGCTCCAGAGAAATGTCTATTCAAATCTATCAACATCTTTTTTTTTCTTTTTTTTTTTTTGTAACAGGGTTTCACTCTGTTGCCCAGGCTGGAATGCAATGGTGTTGATAACAGCTCACTGCAGCCTCAACCTCCCGGGCTCAAGCAATCCTCTTACCTTAGCTTCCCAAATAGTTGGGACTGCAGGTGTGTGCCACCACGCCTGGCTAATTTTTGTTATTATTTTTTTTTTTTGTAGGAATGGGATTTTGCCATGTTGCTTAGGCTGGTCTCAAACTCTTGGGTTTAAGCAATCTGCCTGCCTTGGCCTCCCAAAATGCTGGGATTACAGGAGTGAGCCGATGTGCTTGGCCAACACTTTTTAAGAATGTATTTACTCCTTTTTATTTTTTTTTGGATCCTCCTTTTACTCTCTGCTCCATCCTTTCTCTATAACATATATTAACATAGTAAGTTTTTGTATATGGTCTCCATTTACACATATTTACACACACATTTCTAAAGATCTGTTAGTTTGACTTATGAAAATCAAATACTACACATGCTTTTGTGCATCTTAGCTTTCATTGATTTTTTTTCTGTTAATGACTGCATAATATTCTGTGGTGTGGACTTATTAAAACATCCTTCAGAGAAGGGCATTCATCGTCTCTGTCTCCAGTCCTCTGTGACTACAAAAAAAGCAGTACTGTACTGAACACACTGTATACACACTTACTGGTACTTGTATTTCTATGAGATAAATTCCTAGGTGAGGTAAAGCTTTAACACGTTACTAGACTGTTTTCCCTAAATGCTGTAGCAATTTATTGTTAAGCATGTATTCCCAGTCTTTGCATCTCTTCAAGATATTTTATCACTCTAACTTCATGTATATTGACCAGCTAGATTTTCTGTTATGATCTGTCTTTTCATATCCTTTGTCCATTTTCTATTTTATTGTTTGTTCCCTACTTGATAATCTGTAAGTACAGTTTCTGATACATTATTAAATTGAATATGTTGAGACATTAAGGAAGAATTTCTTAAACAAGTCATAAAACATACAAATTATAAAGAAAAATATATCTTTTGCTACATTAAAATTTAAAGTTTTTGCTCAATGAAAGGCACCACAACAAACTTAAATGAATAAGAAAAAGACAATCCAACAGAAAAAATAAGAATATGCATAGGAAATTTGCCAAAAAGAAAACTTAAATGACCAATAGAACAAATATAAAATAAGATACTTAAAAATCAAGGAAAATGCAAATTTAACTGATGAACTACCATTTCACACACATCAGATTGGCAAGTTTTTTTTGTTTTTTGTTTTTTCTTCTTAACACAAGATCTTGTTCTGTCACCCAGGCTAGAGTGTACTCGTGTAATCAAAGCTCACTATACCCTTGGACTCCTGGGCTCAGGCAATCCTTCTACCTCAGCCTCCTGAGTAGCTAGGACTACATGTGTGCACCATCATTCCTGGCTAATTTTTTAAATTTTTTTTTGTAGAGTCGGGGTCTTGCTCTGTTGCCCAGGCTGGTCCCAAACTCTTGGCCTCAAGCGATCCTCTTGCCTCTGCTTTCCAAAATGCTAGGATTACAGGATTACAGATGTGAGCCCCAGTGTCTGGCCCAGATTGGCAAAATTTAAAAATTTGACAATATATAGTTTTAACAAAGATGTGGAGAAACAGGCCCTCTTATATACTGCTGGTGGGAAAGTATATTAGTACCACAGTTTTGGAGATGAACTAGGCAAAATCTAGTAAAGCTGAGAATGTCCATACCCTAAAAACTCAGAAATTCCATTTCTTGGTATATACCGTAGGGAAACTTTTGTATCTATGTAAAAAGGAGACAAAATAATGCCCATAACGGGAGTATTTGTCACAGCAAAAAACTGAAAACATCCTAATTGTCTATCAACAGGAGAATAAATAAATTGTGGTTTAATCATCATGAAATACTATACAATGTTTAAAACATGAATGAACTACAGCAACACTTATCAACACAGATAAACCTAAAAACAACACTGAAATGAAAAGGCAAGCTGCAGTGTAATACATTCAATATGTATCTTGTTACATAATGTTTAAAGACCCCTATATAATGTTGATGGATATTTAATATATGAAATATAAAGGAACGCACAAGAATGAAAAAAGTAAATTAAGCAAAGTAATTATTGCTAGGGAAGGAGAAAGGATAATGGGGGAAACCCCTTCTCTACTAAAAAAAAAAAAAAAAAAAAAACAGCTGGGAGTGGTGGGACATGCCTGTCCTCCCAGCTGGGAGTGGTGGGACATGCCTGTCCTCCCAGCTACTCAAGAGGCTGAGGCACAAGAACTGCTTGAACCCAGGAGGCAGAGGTTGCAGTGAGTGGAGATCATGCCACTAAACCCCAGCCTGGGTGACAGAGTAAGACTCTGTCTCAAACAACAACAACAAAATGATAATAATACAGGGGCCTCCATATTATTTTATATATTTAAAAGAAATTTGAGGTGTGGTGGCTCACACCTGTAATCCCAACACTTTGGGAGTCTGAGGTGGGTGGATCACTTGAGCCCAGGAGTTTGAGACCAGCCTGGATAACATGGTGAAACCCCATCTCTACTAGAAATACAAAAATTAGCTGGGCGTGGCTGTGTGCACTTGTAATCCCAGTTACTTGGAAGGCTGAGGCTGAATCACTTGAACCCAGGAGGCAGAGGAAGTTGCAGTGAGCCGAGATTGCACCACTGCACTCCAGCCTGGGCAACAGAGACTATTCGGAAAAAAAAAAAAAAGATAAAATTATTTTTTAAAAAGAATATTTACATAAAATTCAGTTACATGGAATGGTGAAAAATAAATTCTAATTTCTAAAAATAAATCCAAATGTGGAGAATAGTTTGTGCTTTTAGAAAGATGATACACTACTTGCTATGAGGATATGGAATATATTTTGCCATAAGGTACCAAGAAACAACTTTGCTTGCATTATAATCATGGTGCTTAAGGCCATTTAAATTTCTAAGAAGTAACACAAAATTCTACTAATTAAAAACAAAACAGAAAGCGAAAAACATTCTAAGACTGCTTTGATGGAGAAATGGGAATATATCTTATCTAAATACTCATTTTCTATATCAATCCTACACAGCTTTAAAAAACTAGATAAAACAATAATGCAATATTTAAGAAACATTATCTTTAAACATAATTTTTGGTTTTCATTTGAGAAAGCAGAAAGACATGTTCATAAATGCTGAAATATGAAGCTAGTTTTAAACTAATAAAAAATAATATAAGCATGTTTTTAAATTACTTACCACAATTACTGATTTTGCTTGCTCACAATACTGAAAATCTCCATATCGAACAGACCTACGCCCCTGTAAAGATATTTAAAATTAAGCTGTAAAAGTATTGTATTCAATATTAATAACTTTTAAACCAGTAAACAAACATGTTTAAGCATATAACAATTCTGATCAATTTTCAATATTTACAATGCTCATCCTACTCATTGATAAGTTAGTTAAAATTTTCCTTCAAAGCTATGCTAACTTTTCCAAGCCATTAATAAATATTTCCTTGAACAAAACATTTATTATTTTAGGCATCTATAATTTCCATTTTAATAACTATATGTTCTCTTAAACTTTCTATTGGCAATAGCTTATAGTTATACCCAATATACATTTGGGCCAATATTCAAATGAAATTTTTTTTTTTTTTGAGATGGAGTCTCGCTTTGTCGCCCAGGCTCGAGTGCAATGGCGCAATCTCGGCTCACTGCAACCTCTGCCTCCCAGGTTCAAGCAATTCTCCTGCCTCAGCCTCCTGAGTAGCTGGGATTACCGGCTCATGCCACTACACCTGGCTAATTTTTGTATTTTTAGTAAAGATGGGGTTTCACCATGTTAGTCAGGCTGGTCTCGAACTCCTGACCTCGTGATCTGCCTGCCTTGGCCTCCCAAAGTGCTGAGATTACAGGCATGACAAATGAAATTTTAAGAAAAGCCTAGATATATATATCTTTAACTCAATTCTCCAGTTACCTATAGTAACTTACCTATAGTAAAAATTCAATTTATTATCAACATGGTAAAATTACTTACATCTCGATCTACTGTAGTTGCAAAACCAATAGCTTCTTTTTGTGTACAGTTAACAGCTTTCTGAAGAGTATAAATAACTTGTTCATAGGTGTGAACCTCATCATTAAACAGCATGCAATAGTAGGTGTCACTCTTCTCTCTGTGTGATAAAATATTCATGATATATTATCTATTTGTTTATTATCTTGCTCCAGGCTGACTTATTAAGAGACTACTTTGTCCTATGCAATGTGCTAGGTACTGGACACATATCTGTAAAGAATTCATCTGTGGTCCTATGCTCTGTGATACTACAGTCTGGTGGGGAAAATATATATTGCATATATGACTCTGTGTAAACAGGTTTTTATCAAGAAAAGAAGGTAGAGCAGGGTATAACAGGCCTGGGAGCTCAGAGAACTCTTGGAGAAGTAATCTGAGACCTGAAGTCAGAATTGGCTATCAGTAGCTCTCAACTGGGGGCAATTCCCCTCCACCTCTCATAGTTGACCATTTGGCAACATCTGGAGACATTTCTGGTTGTCAAGACTGGGGCTTTGGGTGCTGCTGGCATCTAGTGGGTAGAAGCCAGGGATGCTGCTAAATATCTTGCAATTCACCAGACAGCCCCCATAACAAAAAATTAATCTGGCCCCTAATTCCAACACTGCCAAGGTTGAGAAACCATGGGCTAGAGGCAGGTGAAAGCAAAGGTGCTAAGGTGGCAAAGGTAAATACTGGGAGATGGAGCACAAGGAAGAAGGGGGAGATTAGTATGACACTAGTCTGGTCTGGAGAGAGACAGAAATCTTGCACAGTTTATAATGGTTTTTTTTGTTTTTTGTTTTTTTTTTGAGATAGGGTCTCACTCTGTCGCCCAGGCTGGAGTGCAGTGGCACAATCTTGGCTCACTGCAGCCTCAACCACCCAGGTTCAATTGATCCTCCTGCCTCAGCCTCATGAATAGCTAGGACTACAGGCATGCACTACCCTGCCCAGCTAATTTTTTAATTTTTTGTAGAGGCGGGGTCTTACTATGCTGCCCAGGCTGGTCTCCAACTCCTGGGCTCAAGTGATCTACCTGCCTTGGCCTCCCAAAGTGCTAGGATCACAGGCATGAGCCACTGTGCCAAGCCAGCTTATATTTTGATTTTTGCCATCCTAAGGACAATAAAAAATTTGATAGGAGATATAATCAGAATTTGCCTTAAAGTTCACTTTGATGCAGTGTAGAGAATGAATTGTACGGGGCAAGAGTGTACACGGCAGTCCAGTTAGGGGGCCATGCTGTCCCAAAATGAAATTAATTTGGACTAGGATGTTATAGTATAGTACAGTATACTATATGACAACAATACTATAGTAAAAATCATGAGGTACTAAGTCATTTTCATCATTTCCAAAAAGGTATAGTCACCTCATTTTATTAGAAAACCTACAACTTTATCTGAAACACAATTGAGAAAGCAAAAAAGAAACAGCACCAATGTCCCTCAGATCCTCATTCCAGCTTGTATTCATTCTAAACTATGACTAATTCCAACAAGCTTGGTCTTACTTCTAAGTAAGAAAGAAGGTTGTTTGAGACAAGCACACTAACAAGGAAAATAAAGCCCTCATCTTAATATATCTGTGGCAGAATCCAGCTCTCTGGCCACAAGTTTGTAATTTCAATAATTTAAGTAAAAATGGTAGATGTACACTAGAAAAGCACAGTGTGGAATACATTTTATTAAAAGTTCGAATCAAAATGATTAAAATTGAATTTGAGCATGTATTCAAACCAGAAACCTCATTTATATCAAAGAGTTTATTTCCTATAATGATATTAACATATAATAAACAAAACAAAAAGTGAAGTTGTAAAGTTAATCTATCATTTTATCATACAATCAAAGAAGAGAAAACTGGTTATGCCTGAAACCAGTCCTAGAGCTATGACAAAGTTTAAATATGGCTACAAACCAACTAATCAACCAACCAGCCAACCAAACAGGAAGAAATCTCCACCAATTAAATGGATCACGTTTTAAAACTATAAAATTGAGGTTATTGTTCTGCTAAAAACTCATTATTAAAAAATGATTATGCCCTATACTAGCTGTGTTAAAGTTAAAATTTAGCAGTTCTTCATACATGAAGAATAAACAGGTTATACTTACACCATCTCTAAATCTGCTGGCAATTCACTTTCTTTTTCCCAGGTTAATATTTCTACTGCATACCGAAACGTAATAGCAAAAATGTTATAAGTTCTTGCTATCACATCTTCTGATAAATGAACAAGAGGATCCTGAAAGAAACAACAGAAAAAAAAGAAAAAGAAAAAAAGGGCAATCATGTACATTAATTTTCATTCTGCTTCCATCCCTCAAAATAGTATAGTAAAAAGTTGACTGGTCTTCCAGCTTCAGCTTCTCTTCAATGAATTTGATCCTATACATTACCACCCTACCAAATAAAGCTTCTTAAAATTTTTAGTTCAGAACAATCCCAGTTATTGAATCAATTCAATCAAAATATTCAATGGCACTCAAATGCCTAATGAACAAATCTAAACATTTTAGAATGGTATTCCACGATCTCAAAAACTTAACATCAAACCAATTTTATAGCTTTGTATCTTACTAACCCCCAATTTCTAGAATACACAAAGGACTATTACCTAGGAAGGGCAAGCAATATTGAGTTTTATAGGTATAAAAGAGAGCTTGATTTTGACAGTTTTAAAGGTAAGAACTCATGACTTTCAGAAAACTGCCCACTGATGTTGTAAGAAGCACTCTCTTGTCTACTTTCTCTCAGCAGGGTGAGACGTGCATGCATGTTAATAGGGAACTTCATACACTAGACGTAAGAGTGAGAGTCACTGAATTTCTAGGGTAATGTAAAAAAGTATTACTTTATGCTATGTTTAATCAAGGTAATTTTCAGTCAAGGCTAGCAAAATGTTTTGCACTATCTTTCATCTTAATGCTTTATCTTAAATCTAAACTCTTTAGTTTAATGGCTAAGTAGCATTATTTTCATTTCTCAAATTAAAATAGCAGTATGTTCCAACATCATGGGATGGGAATCAGCAGATCCCTGAAAATAAATACACACACACACACACACACGCACACACAGCATAAAAATAAAACATAGTGCAAAATATAAAATATGTATTTAATATTCTTATAATATATAATTACATTTTATAAAGTATATATTTTATAAAATATATTTGTATATATTAATGTAAATGTATATATACACACACACACACACACAAAAACACATATATATGGAGACAGAACATTTTTGCATACCCACACCAAAGATGAGCCTAATGGAACTGATATAAAACAAATGGAGAAGGTGGAATAAAAGAATGGGCGGCCGGGTGCAGTGGCTCATGCCTGTAATCCCAGCACTTTGTGAGGCTGATGCAGGCGGATCGCGAGGTCAGGAGATTGAAACCATCCTGGCTGACACAGTGAAACCCCGTCTCTACTAAAAATACAAAAAATTAGCCGGGCGTGGTGGAGGGCGCCTGTAGTCCCTGCTACTTGGGAGGCTGAGGCAGGAGAATGGCATGAACCCAGGAGGCGGAGCTTGCAGTGAGTGGAGATTGTGCACCACTGCACTCCAGCCTGAGTGACAGAGCGAGACTCTGTCTCAAAAAGAAAAGAAAAGAAGAAAAAAAAAAAAGGGCCAGGCATGGTGGCTTGGCCGGGCACGGTGGCTCACGCCTGTAATCCCAACACTTTGGGAGGCCGAGGTGGATGGATCATCTGAGGTCAGGAGTTCAAGACCAGCCTGGCCAATGTGGTGAAACCTCATCTCTACTAAAAATATAAAAGTTAGTTGAGTGTGGTGGTGGTGCCTGTAATCCCAGCTACTTAGGAGGCTGAGGCAGGAGAATCGCTTGAACCCAGGAGACGGAGGTTGCAGGGAACCGAGATTGTGCCACTGTACTCCAGCCTGGGCAACAGAGCAAAACTCCATCAAAAAAAAAAAAAAGAAAAAAAAAAGAATGGAGAAAAAAGGACAAAGATGCCTAAAACAGATGGGTCTAGAGCTTGAAGAAGGTAAATTTCCTTTTCTCAGTAAGAAGCAGATTTTTCAAATGTTTATAGCACCTTTTACCTATAACTCTTCTCATACAGGCTGCTTTATATGTCCCATTGAGGTTTTTTTTTTTTTTTTTGAGCTAGAGTTTCGCTCTTGTCGCCCAGGCTGGAGTGCAATGGCACAATCTCGGCTCACTGTAACGTCCGCCTCCCGGGTTCAAGCGATTCTCCTGCCTCAGCCTCCTGAGTAGCTGGGATTCCAGGCATGTGCCACCATGCCTGGCTAATTTTGTATTTTTAGTAGAGACAGGGTTTCTCCATATTGGTCAGGCTGGTCTCAAACCCCTGACTTCAGGTGATCCACCTGCCTTGGCCTCCCAAAATGCTGGGATTACAGGTGTGAGCAGCCGCGCCCAGCGAAGTTTTTTATTTATTGTTTCTGCTAGCAAGGTTTATTACTATTTGTTATGGAGGCTTTAGAAATAACTGACATGGTGAAATCACTTGTATACAGAAAGAATCAGAGCTGGTCCCTCCTGGGGATTCAAACAAGAGTAGGTATTAATAATAATATGAACCTCATACTACACCAAAATAGAAAGTGGAATCAAAATTCAGCTTTCCTGGTACTATTATCTCACCAAACAGTCATTCCATTTCTTACAGTTATAGCCCATAAGACAAAAACATTTAAGGATTGAAGAGTTTGATAAACAGGGTTTATAAAACTTTAATGGTCCTGGAACAGAGACAACCACCAATTCTTGAGAATCCTAACCAACAGTTTCCAAACTCTATTTTACAAAAATCCCAGGGCATGGTAGAGATGTCCTATTTGAATTAAAATGTCAGTTCCAAAATATATTCTAGGCCGAACATGGTGGCTCATGCCTATAATCCCAGCACTTTGCAAGGCCGAGGTGGGAGGACTGCTTGAGCCCAGGAGTTTGAGACCAGCCTGGGCAATACAGTGAGACCTCATCTCTACAAGAAAAATTTAAAAATTAGCAGAGAGTAGTGGTGCATGCTTGGGAAGCTGAGGTGGGAGGACTGCTTGAGCCTGACAGGTGGAGGCTAAAGTGAGCCATGATCTTGCCACTACACTTCTCCAAGCCTGGGCAACAGAAAAAATACACTCTAAAATGTGTTACATTCCATATTGGAACACCAACTGATAATTTTTTTTTTTTTTTTTTTTTTGCTACAGTAACCCAGTTTGAGGCAGGCCTAGACAGATTCTTCTGCCATCTCCGTACACAAATTTTAACTTCTAAGAAATGTGTCACTCATCATAAAGAATTATTTCTGCATTGAAAAGATGCTACAGCTGTACAAGTCTACGAATGTTATGATGGTAAATTAAATGTCAGGAAAGACTAAGACATTCCTGCTCAGATTGCCCTTTTCATAGCATAAATCAGTTGGAACAATAAATGACATCCTATTGTATTATCTATTATTACTAATAATTTTAGCTCTTTGATTATATTTATGCTACAGAATGTTCATCTGTTGGTGAGTCTGCTTTGATTTACTATTCTTTCAAGCTAGAAGAATGCAAGGCATGTTGTTAAAAAGGTTGTTAGTGGTTATTTTAGAGGGCAGTAGGAATTATGGAGAACTTTATCTTTTATGCAGTATACTCCTGTAATATTTGAATTTGTAAAATGCAAGCATGTATTACAATAAAGATTTTAACTGTTATCATATGCAATGTAGGTATGAATGAGGATTTTCTCCATACTGCCCAACTAAAAATATAGAAATAAACTAGAGGCTGCAGTCATCAAAACAACCTCAATTATCTCATAAACTGACTTTCTAACAATAACACACGTTTCAATTTACAAAAAATAAATCTATTATTAATACCACTTTAATGTGCTCTATTATTTTTTAAAATTAGATTTTCATTTAAAAAAACAATTCTAGCTAGGCGTGGTGGCTCACACTTGTAATCCCAGCACTTTCAGAGGCAGAGGCAGAATTGCTTGACCCCAGGAGTTTGAGATCAGCCTAGCAGGGTATGTGCCTGTGGTCGCAGCTACTGGGGAGGCTGAAGGGGGAGAAATCGCTTGAGTCCATGTGGTCAAGGCTGCAGTGAGCCATGATTGCACCACTCTACTTCAGCCTGGGAAACAGAGCAAGACCTCATCTCAACAAAACAAAACAAAACAAAAACAAAAGCATAACAACAACAACAACAAAAAAAACCCCCAAACAAAACCCCAAACCATGCAATAATTCTGCTAAAAATGCTTTTTAAAACCAGTATAAGGTACTGTGTTAAGAGCATCATTACTGGAGTCTATACTACATAGGTTTAAATCCCAGTCCCATAATTTCCTATGTGGGACACTTTGGGCAAGTTTTTTTTATCTTTCTAAAACTCAAGTTTCTCTCTTTTTTCTTTTCTTTAAGAGGGTCTCTCTCATCCAGGCTCATACCTCACTGTAACCTCAAACTCCTGGGCTCAAAGTGATCCTCCACCTCAGCCTAAAACTCAATTATTTATAAAATATTGGTAACAGCATTATCTATCTTATGAGGCTGTTTTGGGAATTAAATGAGATAGACCAAATAGTCAGCATTAACATCTAGTTATTAATAATTACTGATCTGAATTCAAACAGATGGGAGCAGCATTTGTGAGTGAAATTTCAGATTACAAAAATCTTCACTTAGGTTGTTGTTCAGTTAATATTTCTTATTTAATTAAATCTAATTCCAAATAGGATTTACAGCAACTTAAGAATACATCTACATCCCAGCTACTTGGGAGGCTGAGACAGGATGACTCTGCTTGAGTTCAGGAGCTGAAGACCAGCCTGGGCAGCACAGTAATAAAAACCATGTCTCTAAAAATAAAATAAAATAATTTTTTTAAAGAATGCACCTAATAGAGTGGTATATTAAAAAAGATGTAAAAAGCAGGTAAATGAAAATAAAGATAGGAAAATAAACCATAGTCAAGGTAACATCTATATATAGATAGAGATCACATAAATTTTCACACAGCTACTACAGGCAGGCTGTTTCCAACCATCTGGCTCTTTTTCCAAAAGTCTCAACAAAAGGAAACACAATCAGTTATGAGATTCACACCAGGAGAAACATAACATTTCTTAATATAGAGACCTAAGAGAAATTCCTTATGGACTCCTATAAAGACTAACAAAGGAGATACCACATATTATGTGTTGGTTCTCAAATGGGAGAGGTACATCTCACCACCCTCCCTACTCACTCCCACACCCCAAGGGGCCATTTGCAAACCTAGCTGGGCATTTTTTTCTGTCACTGTAGTGGAAGATGCTAGTGACATCTAGGGAGTGGGAACTGAGTAGGCGAAACACAATGCTTTCAGTAGCCTACACCTAGGGTCAACAAACTTTTTCTGTAAAGGAGATAGTACTTTAGTCTTAGCAGGCTATAGGGTCTCTGCTGCAACTACTCAATTTTGTTTGTAATGGGAAAACAACTACAAATACTACGTTAAAATTTAAGCATGACTGTGCTTCAATAACATTTTATTTATGGACACTAAAATTTGGATTTCATATAATTTTCTCATGTCACAAAATACAATTCTGTTGATTTTTTTCAACTATTTAAAAACAGACACAAGAACAGGTTGTGGACAAGATTTGGCTTGTAGGAGTCAGAGCTTGCTGAACCCTGTCCTATACAATGAAGAAATATCTCACCCCCAAATGCAAAGAGATGAGAAGACCTGTGGAACTCCTGCATAGCATTTCTATATCACCAGGTTTCCCCCAGCTTTTTCGGAAGATGTAGGCTAAATGTATGACAAAAAAATTATGTTCAACAGTTACTGGGAACAGGTATGTTAAACAAAATGCTATCTTAATACCCTTGAAGACTTCATTTCTCTTTTTTTTTTTGGTTTTTGAGATGGAGTTTCGTTCTTGTCCAGGCTGGAGTGCAATGGCGCAATCTTGGCTCACCACAACTTCTGCCTCTCGGGTTCAAGCGATTCTCTTGCCTCAGCCTCCCAAGTAGCTGGGATTACAGGCATGTGCCACCACGCCCGGCTAATTTTGTATTTTTAGTAGAGACGGGGTTTCTCCATGTTCGAGACCAAGCTGGTCTCGAACTCCTGACCTCAGGTGATCTGCCTGCCTCAGCCTCCCAAAGTGCTGGGATTACAGGTGTCAGCCACCACGCCTGGCTGACTTCATTTCTCTTAAACTTTTTTTTTTTTTTGGAGACAGAGTCTCACTCTGTCGCCCAAGGCTGGAGGGCAGTGGTACAATCATGGCTCACTGCATCCTCAATCTCCCCTGGCTTTGGTGATCCCCTTACCTCAGCCTCCTGAATAGCCGGGACTACAGGTGCACGCCACCATACCTGGCTAATTTTTGTAATTTTTGTATAGACGGGGATTTGCCATGTTGCCCAGGCTTGTCTTGAACTCCTGGGGTCAAGTGATCTGCCCACCTCGACCTCCCATAGGGCTGGGATTACAGCATGAGTCACCGCGCCTGGCCTTAATTAAACTCTTAAATATAAATTAAATGGTAGAGTTTGGAAGGCTTTATTCTTTGTCTAGTTCCAGGAGTATACATTCTCCAGGCAGGATTGTATGACTTTTGGCTAGGCAGGGGAGCTTGCTGGTGTCTTCTTAAAATTCAGGAAATTAAGTAGAGCTTGGACTGTTGGATAGCCATCCCACTAATGTATGAGGATAAAGCCAACAGAGCAAATGTAGGCAGATTCAAAACTTTTCATTAGAAAATTATTTTAAGTCTACTCTAACACAGGGATAAAAAAGGTAACAGAAGTCCTAAAGTATCTTTTCCAAATAAATGACATGACATTTACAGAACATAAAATTAACCATTTTAAAGTGAACAACTCAGTGGTACTTGGTACATTTATTATAACGTGCAACTACTACAATCTAGTTCCAAAACATTTCCATCACTCCAAAGTAAAACCCCTTACCTACTAAGCCATTTCTCTCCATTTTCCTCTTCCCCAGCCCCTGGCAACTACCAATCTGTTTTTTCTCTCTACAGATTTACCTATTCTGAATATTTCATATAAAAGGAATCATACAATATGTGACCTTTTGAGTCTAGCGTCTTTCACTTAATATGTTTTAGAGGTTCATGCATGTTGTAGCATGTATCAGTTCTTCATTCCTTTTTATGGACGAAAAATATTCCATTGTATGTATATTATCACAATTTGTTTATCCATTCATTCACTGATGGACATTTGGGCTGTTTCTACCTTTTGACTATTGTGAACAACATTGCTACAACATGTGTGTGCATGTACTTGCTCAACTTCGGTTTTCAGTTCTTTTGGGTATATATCTAGGTGTGAAATATACGGTAATGTTTAATATTTTGAGGAACAGCCAAACTGTTTTCCACAGCACTGAATCATTTTATATTTCCACTAGCAATATACAAGGGTTCTAATTTCTCTATATCCTTGTCAATACTTGTTATTACTTTAATAGTCATCTTACTGAGGGTGAAGCAGTATCTCACTGTGGTTTTGATTTTGCATTTCCCTAATGACTAATGATGTTCAGCATCTTTTCATGTGTTTGTTGATTATTCATATATCTTCTCTGTAAAAATGTCTATTCAAGTCTTTTGCCCATTTTTAAATTGGGTTATCTTTTTACTTGCTGAGTTGTAAGATATAAACTCTGCATACTAGATCCTTTTTGGATACATGGCTTGGATATACACACATATACTTTCTCCTGCAGTCCTAAAGTTTTATACCAGTGGTTTTTAACCTTTTTCTAAAGCACAATTCTTTTTTTTCAAATATATCTTTATTTGTCCTGTATTTCTACATACAGAACCCCAATCAACTATATAAAAATGGAGCTTCTCCAATAGAAGTGGAAAAATCTGGAACCTTGACCACTTGGCATCTTACTGTAGCAAATTACAGAACCCTTTCACAAAGCAAATGAAAAACAAAACATGTTTTCCATAGCACTGAATCATTTTGTATAAATTTTGATTTGTACATCAAAAGCTTTGGTCATTCTGATAAAATATATTTGAGACCTGTAGGATATGGGTACCAGGAAGAACTTTTTTTTTTTTTTTTTTAAAGACAGGGTCATGATCTTGGCTTGCTGCAACCTCTGCCTCCTATGGCTCAAGCGGATCCCACTTCAGCACCCCCAACCCAAGTGGCTGGGACCACAGGCACGTGCCACAACACCCAACTAATTTTTGTATTTTTTGTAGGGATGGGGTTTTGCCATTTGCCCAGGCTGGTCTCAAACTCCTGGGTTAAAGTGATCCACCCGCCTTGGCTTCCCAAAGTATTGGTATTATAGGTATGAGCCACCTTGCCTGGCTGAGGAAGGACTATTGATGTCCACTTGCCCCAAATCTATATCAGGCCTACTAACAATGTAGACGTACTTGAGTGTACCTATTCCCCTGCCATTTAAAAATAAAATCTGAAAGAAGGATCTTGAACTATACAACAAATTGTCATAAAATGTAGCAGAAGAGGGACTGCCACAGGTTGGCTAACGGATACAAGAACAAAGCTAGATAGAAAGAATGAGTTCTAATGTTCTACAGCACTATAGCATGACTATAATTAACAATTTACTGTATATTTTCAAATAGCTAGAAGAGCGGATGGTGAAGGTTTCCAAAACCAAATAATGTTAAATGCTTGAGGTGATGGATATGTTAATTACCCTGATTTGCTCATTACACATTGTATATATGTATCAAAATATCACACTGTGCCCCATAAATATCACGCTGTACCCCATAAATATGTACAATTATTGTCAATTAAAAATAATAAAACATAATCTATTGTAGCATACCATTGAAAGATTTAATCATTGTATAATTACAGTTAAGTGAGTTATTAGAAATATATGGAAAGTTTTTGAAGTTTTAAAAAAAGCAGCAGAGATTTAAGCATTTATTTTGTGGGACTCTACTATTCCATTACAAATCCATTTAAGAAAAATAATGCAGGATCAACAATTTGAAAAACACAGTAAGCAGTGGGAATTATTTGTACTGAGCTATCATCACTACACATGGTCCCATCACATAACCAATGATAATGGAAACCAGGAGATGATGATTGGGATTGGCTGTCATGTATGGTAACAGAAAAGAAAGCTATCTGGCCCCAAAAGTCTTTGTTATAATAAAGATATACAAAACTCAACTTGGTTAACTGGTCTACACATATGGGAAAAATAATCCTCTCAACCATAGGTTAGTACTCAAATAAACTTCAAGTATGCTTAAAACAAAACCCCAACCAAATAAAAAATCAGAATTAAATGAAATTTCCCAAATTTCAACTGTGTACTATTAGCAACCGTACAGCATCCACAAAATGCAAAGAACTTTCAAAGTAAACTAGTCACTGTCAATAGTGGAAGTACTATTTGCTTATCCATTTCTCACATCATCTAATGACTATTTCTCAAAATATTTCAAACTTGGGTTAAAAACAACTTTGTGAAAATGTTTTTACCTCTTCTTCCTCAATTTCAGAGGTGTTAAGTTCATGTTTTTGACAGTAAGGACCCTCTTTCCAGGCTTCAGTATCACCACAGTCACAGAAACCTCCACCTCCTGATGTTGTCATCTTGGAAAAAAATTGTAAAGTATCTTGTCAATAAATATTTACTGAGGGCTATCAGATAATAAATAAGAATATCAAGTGCTAAGGAAATACCATTGCTTAAGTGTTTAATTTCTTTGGAGGCATAAAATTAGATAAAATGCCAAACCTCTCAATGTTTTAAAGTTTATTTTAAATAAGCCTATAAGCTAATCTAAGTGATTTCAAAATAAAATAAGCTACTTTGTAATGTTTGCCTACATGACTTCCTTAATTAGGAAAATCATGAGGATCACAAGGGTTTTCTTGCTGGGTTTTGGTTAAATTGGTATAATGCTGATATCTACGCTACAGGTTGTGATGCTATAAACACAATAGACTCAGGGGTTATACAGATTCCTCTAGTTGCTGTCTCCTAGAGTCTAAGGGTGCTGCATTTGCTTTGGAGAAATTAACCAACAAAGACTATAGAAATAGTTAATTTTTCTTCTCTAATACACCTTAAATAGCCACTCTTTGAAAGGACAAGTAATAGGGGCTCAGGAAATGCAAAAGTAGACTGCCTAATAAAAGCTTTTCACCACCTGCAATGTTCAGGAATTATTCATAATTCCTTAAGACAGGGCAATGATTTAAGAAATCTGGCATCACAGAACCAGAATTAATAATTGGTAGACTAGAAATTCTGCTTTTCTTAAAATAGTATGAGGAAGAGCTTACTAACAGGTATTAGATACAGCAAATTTTAGAATAAGCCCTATTATATTCTGCCCAAAGTAAGTATTTGTGTTATATATCACAATATAATTAATGTAACCCTATAAATGACAACTATTCCCAGGGAATGCAAAGATATATGCCAAGAAATGTGGGTAGGAGTCATTTGGAAAATGACACGTGCTTGTTTCAGTTACCAAACACAGGCAGAACAGCTTAAAGGAAACTGGGCCTCTTTTACTGATTTATGAGACTAATGAACAGACAAGAATATAAGTAGCCCAATTTTGTAGCTGGGTTTTTATTATTTTTATTTTTTATTTTGGGATGGAGTCTCGCTCTGTCGCCCAGGCTGGAGTGCAGTGGTGTGATCTCAGCTCACTGCAACCTCCGCCTCCCAGGTTTAAGTGATTCTCCTGCCTCAGCCTCCCGAGCAGCTGGGATTACAGACATGCGCCACCATGTCTGGCTAATTTTTGCATTTTTAGTAGAGATGGGGTTTCACCATTGTTAGCCAGGATGGTGTTGATCTCCTGACCTCGTGATCCGCCTGCCTTGGCCTCCCAAAGTGCTGGAATTACAGGCATTAGCCACTGCGCCCGGCCCCGTAGCTGTTTTAGTTCATTATTATGAACTCCTGGGTAGAGTAAATAAAAACAAACAGGAGGAAAAGTTCTGACCCAGATGGGCTCCTGAATTAAGAATAATATTAAAATATTCCTCTCTACCATTCTGTTTTATGATTAGGGTGAAAAGTTCCATCTAACAACCCTACCCTTTGAATCTCCATGGTCTGTCTTCAATTTCCAATAGAGGAACCAGGACAGGATTTGGAATAATCTGTATTTATCTGTGTCCCTGACTTAAAAGCAAACAAACATACCTGAATTTTGAAAAGTACTGACAGCATTACAGCAGTGAAAAAATACTAAACTGGTGGGTCGTAGGTGCTGGAGTTGGGTCCTCTCCTACATTGTAGTAGATGCCTCTTTAATAAACATTAAAAAATAGCAAAAACAAACTAGTTGAAAACCAATACAGAAGAGCTGATATCTCTATTATCTTTTTTAAATCATATGCTCCAAGAAGTGTGGATTCATAATTTGTTTCTACACTGGCACCCTATATCCAATGGTATTTAAATAAACACACTGTTTAAACCACCCTCCCCCCATTTTAGTGTTAAATCTTTGCATTTTGAAAAGAAAGAAAAGATATTTATTATAAAATGCAATACTGCGCATGGTTATTATTTGGACATTACTAACCCTATATCGATGATCTCTGTGAATACTTCCCAAAAAGCACTCCATGCACAAAACACAAGTTGGATCAACTGCACAGTCTCTGTAAAGTTAAAAAAAAAAAATCAAAGTGTCAGAAAATAACTATATATTTCACAACAGAATTATTTCAAATTGGAATCCATCCTAAAAGAATGAAAACGTGAAGTTTTTTGGTGTTTTAAAAAAGGAAGTATCATTCCCAAAGATCTGTCAGATCTTTGATCAATGAAAGCAGTTTAAGGACCTGCGTCTCCATAATGGATGTGTGCTAGGGAGTCTTTCAAGGCACATATTATTAGAACAGTAAATTTTAATGTAATGGTGTGTTTTCCCATAGATTTGTGGAAATCACATTACACATTAAAACACATAGATGTATATGAAATATACTCAAAATATTTATGAATTCTTAAGATTCATATATTGGAATTTCAAATAACTTCTTCCAAACAGGTATTTGAGACCAAGGGTCTTCAAAGTGATATGTATACATCCCTAGAAAGGCAGAAGTATCAACTGAAATGCAAGAAGACAATATTTGAACTTACATTTCTACTTAAATTTTAACTAAAAAGGGAAATTAAACCTTCTATAGGTTCACTGCACTGAATGATACAGGTCTCCTCACATGGCCCCTATTTCTGGTATTCACACAACACATATGGCCCATAAGATATCCTGACTGAAGAGTTTCAAAAGGTTGGTTGGGGTGCCCTGAGTTGTTTCATTTGCTTTCTTCATACTGCCAGTTAGATACATTTATAGATCATATCTTAAGAGAATCTAGACAATTCCATGAAATGAAATGGGGAGTGTAAAATAAGAAATCTATATTGGTTCCTGCCCCTGGTTCCTGACACCAGGCTCCTAAAACTCTTGTAGATAAGGGTGCTAGTAGATGGGCTAAAATTTAGTCTTTAACCCTAGTTACAGACACAGAAATCCCCTGGGTGACAGAAGAGTCTTTTGTTCTTTTTATTGAGCCAGGCTGGAGTGCAGTGGCATGCTCATGGCTCACTGCAGCCTCAACCTCTTGGACTCAAGCAATCCTCCCATCTCAGCCTCCCTGGTAGCTGGGAGTACAGGTGTGTGCCACCATGCCCAGCTAATTTTTGTATTTTTACTAGAGACGAGGTTTTGCCATGTTGGCCAGGCTGGTCTCAAACTCCTGGCCTCAAGTGATCTGCCTGCCTTGGCCTCCCAAAGTGCTGGGATTACAGGCATGGGCCACCGCACCTGGCCTAATTCTCTTTTCTATTCCACTCATCTATGTCTATCCTTAGGCCAGTACTATACAGATTAATTTGTAATTGTTCTGTGTGTACTTGAAAGAATATATATTCTGTTGGGACAGAGTTCTCTAGATATTTGATAGCAAGTTTATTAATTTTATTGTTCAAATCTTAGATCACTCTGCTTTTTATCTTCTTTATCACTTCCTGTGAGGAAGGTGTTAAAAGTCTTTAACTAGAATTGTTGATTTTTCCATTTCTCCCTGCAGTCCTACTAGTTATCACTTGATATATGCCAAGGCTGTAAACAGTGTACAGTTAGGTGCATAAATGTTCATTATGGATATTTTTTCTTTACCTACTGCTCTCTTTACCAGCATACAATGTCTATTTGTGTCTTTTATATGAAAACTGCTACTTTAATTTTCTTTTGTAACATATTATTTGCCTGGTATTTTTTTCTTAACTGTTTCTCTTCCCACTTTCAATGACTTTCTATTTTAGTTTGCCTCTTATAGACAATACTTGTGGATGTTTAAATATCAATCTGAGAGCCAGTCTTTTTGCTTTCATATAAAGAAAAGTAAAGCTAGAGTCTTGTCCTCATTTAGCTATCATTTAACAGAAAAGACAAATGTGTACAGTTATAGTATTGATTGTTGACTACCGTATTAAAAGTATGTAGGGCCAAAGCCAGTGCATCTGGAGCACTCAAGGATCCCTGAGATCTTAGTGATTTGTCTAAAGCCATCATCTCCAAGCTTTTACAATCATATACCCTTGTATTAAAATGTTTTGTGTATGCAGTATCTATCTCTATGTAAATATATTCATATTACACATATATTATTTTAACATAATATTAATACATGTACTAATTAGTTACTCAATTATACTACTGTGTAACTGGAGTCTTCGGAATGGAACAAAGGCAGAAAAAATATTTGAAGAAATAATAACCTAAACTTAGCAATTTGGTGGAAGACATTGGCTAAAAACAAACCTCAAGAGAATAAATACAAAAAAGATATTTAGGCCTATCATAGTCAAACTGCTAACATTCAAAAATAACAAGAAAATCTTCAAGGCAGCTAGAAAAATCCAACACATTTCACACAAGGTACATAGATATGCCAGTAACAGCTAACATCAACAAAACAACAGGGTTCAGAACACATTGGATCATGATCTTTAAAACGTTGAAAAGGAAGAAAACCAGAAACAGTCTATCCAGACTTCAATATTCAGGAAAAATATCCTTCAAAAATGAGTACAAACAATCTGAACAGGCCTATATCTATTAAAGAAATTGAGTCAAGAACTAATAACCTTCAAAATCAAAAGCACTGGGCTCACATGGGTTCACTGGTGAATTCTATCAAATGTTTAAGGAAGAAATTATACTAGCTCTATGCAATCTCTTCTAGAAGACAGAAGCAGAGGGAATACTTCCTAACTCATTCTATTAGGCCAGCGTCGCTCTAATGTCAAAATCAGATATAGACAATTCAAGAAAAATACAGACCAATCTCTTTCATGAAAATAACAAAGTATTAGCAAATTGAATCCAACAACGTATAAAAAGAATTCTACACTATAACCAAGTAGAATTTATCCCATGTATGCTAGGCTGGCTCAACATCTGAAAATCATGTAAATCTATCACATTAACAGGCTAAAGAAGAAAAATTACACACAGAAAAGCATCTGATAGTTGGTGCAGTGGCTCACACCTGTAATCCCAGCACTTTGGGAGGCTGAGGTGAGAGGATCGCTTGAAGCCAGGAGTTAGACCAGTTGGGGCAACAAACTAAGACTCCATCTCTGCAAAAATTTTTTATAAAAATTAGCTAGGCACAGTGGTGTGCCTGTAGTACCAGCTATGAGGCTGGAGGATCCCAAGTCCAGGTGTTTAAGACTGCTGTGAGCTATGATCTCGCTACTGCACTCCAGCCTGGATAACTCTATCTTTGGAAGAAAAAAAAGGATTTGACAAAATACAATGCCCATTCATAATAAAAACTCTCAGCAGAAGAGGAATATTGAGGAATATTTCTCAACTTGACAAGGAATAACTACAAAAAAACCTACAGCTAACATCACTTAATGGCGAGAAATCTGAGTTTATGCTTGTGAGGTGACTTAGTGTAGAGCCCCTAGACAGCCTCAGTACAGGGCCAGTTACCAGAAAGACCACGACCAAGAGGGCTGGAGCTTTCAGACTCACCCACCAAAATCTCGGAAGAGGGGAGGGGTGGGGTTGGAGATTAAGCTCTTTATTATAAAAACTTTTTGTTGTTGTTGTTGTTTCTTGGGATAGGGTCTAGCTCTGTCACCCAGGCTGGAGTGCAGTGTGGCCTGATCACAGCTCACTGCAACCTTAAACTCCTGGGTTTGAGCAATCCTCCCACTTCAGCCTCCCGAGTAGATGGAACTACTGGCTCAAGCCACTATGCCTGGCTATTTTTCCTTTGCAGAGACAGCATCTTGGTATGTTGTCCAGGCTAGTCTTAAACTTCTAGCTTCAAGTGATTCTCCTACCTCGGTCTTCCAAAGTGCTGGGATTACAGGTATGAGCCACCATGCCTGGCCCCTATAAAAATTCGACAAAGTTTAATGAACTTCCAAGTTGCTGGAACTTCACCCTGGGACTGAGGTGTTAGGAGGGTGGCATGCCCAGAGAGGGCATGGAAGCTCCTCACCCTTTCTCCCACACCTTGCCCTATTAAGTCTCTTCCATCTGGCTGTTCTTCTGTATCCTTTATAATATCTGTAAGCTGTCCTAGCAACTTAATCCAACCCAAAGAGGAGCTAATGGAGACCCCAATATATAGCCAGTCAATCAGAAGTATAGATGACCATTAATTGCAACTGGTGTCTAAAGTAGGGGGCAGACTTGTGAAACTGAGCTCTTAGCCTTTGGATTCTGACAATAACACCTGGTAGACAGGGTCAGAGTTGAATTGAATTAAATTGTAAGATACCCAGCCAATATTCAGAGTTGGAGAAATCCTTAGGGTAAAAAAACCCACATACCTGGTGTCAGAAGCGTTGCATGAGAATGTAGAGAAAGAGTGTGTTTTTCCCAGAATAAAAAAAGGGAGAAAAAAATAAGTGCAAAATAAAAACATTTTCAGATGAGATCGGGCACATTCAGGGTGGTATGGCCATAGACAATAAAAACATGTTCAGATAAACATAAACTGAGATAACTAATAATTAGAATCCACAGTAAAAGTCAACAACAATGGTCCACAGCCTCTGGTTCAACCTGCAACTAAGAATGATTTTTACATGTTTAAACAGCTATTTAAAAAAAGAAGTCTGGGCTTGGTGGTTCATGCCTGTAATCCCAGAACTTTGGGAGGCTGAGGCGGGAGGATCACTTGAGCCCAGGAGTTTGAGACCAGCCCTGGCAACACGGTGAGACCCCATCTCTACAAAAAATTTAAAAATTAGCCAGACATGGCAGCATGCACCTGTAGTCTCAGCTACTTGGGAGGCTGAGGTGAGAGGATTGCTTGAACCTGGGAGGTCAAGGCTGCAGTAAGCTGTGGTTATGCCACTATACTCCAGCCTGGGAAATGGACAGAGCAAGACTCCATCTCAAAAAAAGAAAGAAAAAAAATTAAAAGAAGAATATGCAACAAAGACTGCAAATATATTTTCTACTTGGATCTTTACAGAAAAAGCTTCCCAACCTCTAGTCCAGGAAAGAATGAAGATCCCTGGGAGCAAGATATATGTGGGTTAATATTAATGCTTATACATATTTTTTCCTGTCTTTTCTTAATATCTTTAAAAGACTAATGTGTTAAAGCAAAAATTGTAACATTGCATTGTAAGGTTTATAACATTTTGGCCGGGCATGGTGGCTCATGCCTGTAATTCCAGCACTTTGGGAGGCTCAGGCAGGTGGATTACCTGAGGTCAGGAGTTCAAGACCAGCCTGGCCAACATGGTGAAACCCCGTCTCTACTAAAAATACAAAAATTAGCCAGGCGTGGTGGCGGTGCCTGTAATCCCAGCTACTCGGGAGGCTGAGGCAGGAGAATCACTTGAGTCTGGGAGGCGAGGTTGCAGTGAGCCGAGATTGCGCCACTGCACTCCAGCCTCAGCGACAGAGTGAGACTCTGTCTCAAAAAAAAAAAAAAAAAGTTTATAGGTGCAATATATATGACAAGAAGCAGAAAAGATGAGAGGAATAAATGTAACTATAAATGCAAGGTTCGTTTATTTTACACGAAGTAGTAAAAACAGACTTTGATAAATTAAAGATGCATATTATAATCCCTAGAGTTACCATTTTAAAAAATGTGAGAGAACAGCTAAAGAGCCAAAAAAATAATCAAAACGAAATGCTACAATTCTAATTAACCCAAAAGGCAGCACACAGTTAGGAAAATTAGGAACAGAGGAACAAAAAAAAAAAAAAAAAAAAGAGAGACAAACTGAAAACAAATAGCAAATGGTAGACCTAAATCAACAAATACATTAATAATTATAAGCATATCAATAATTACATCCAACAACTGCAAAATATACCTTCTTTTCAAATGCACATGGAATAAGACTGACCATGTTGCCGAACCATAAAACAAGTTTCAAGTTTTGTTTGTTGAGACAAGGTCTGGCTGTGTTGCCCAGGCTAGAGCACCATGGTACAATCTCAACTCGCTGCAACCTCCCACTCCTGGGCTCAACTCAACCTCCCACATAGCTGGGACTACAGGTGTGCTCCACTATGTCCAGCTAATTTTTGTATTTTTTTTTTTTTGGTAGAGATGGGGTTTCGACATGTTGCCCAGGCTGGTCTTGAACTCCTGGGCTCAAGCTATCCACCCAGTTTAGCCCTCCAAAGTGCCAGGATTACAAGCGTGAGCCACCTTGCTGGGTCCATAAAACAAGTTTCAATAAATTTCAAAACTGAAACCATACAGAATGTGTAATTTTGTTAGAAATAAGTTACAATATGTTATCTAAGAAAGCCTCAAATACATGGAAGTTTAGCAATGCACTTCTAAATAACCTGTGGGTCAAAAAATATAAGACCATAAATCCAAACTAAGCAGAAGGAAGAATAATAAGAGTAGAAATCAATAAAACAAAATAGATAAAAGACAAAAATAACAAAGCTAAAAACTTATTATTTGACAAAATTAAATTGATTTGAAAGACAAAATACAAATTACTATTACCAGGAATGAAAGAGACATCATTATAGACACCACAGACATCAAAAGCAAAAGGAAATAGGCACAATTTTATGTCAATTTGACATTATATGATGAAATATATTCCTTGAAAAATATATAGTGCCAAAACTGACAGAAGATGAAATAAAATTATAAAAAACCCTAATAAACATCAAAGAAATTGAATCGTTACCAAATACTTCCTTGCAAAAAAACCCTAGGCCTTGATGATTTATTTTACTGGCACATTCTATCAAACATTTAAGAAAAAGTCATACCAATTTTACATAAATACTTCCAGAAATAAGGAAGAAGGAATATATCCCAATTCGTTTTACAAGGCCAGTATAACCCTAACAACCAAGACCGGACAAACACATTACAAGAGAATGCCAGATGGGTATATTCTATGGAACACAGAGACAAAAATCCTTCACACAACATTAACGAGTTGAATCCAGCAATATACAAAAGTTATAATTCATGATAATAGAGCCGGATTCATCCAGTAATAAAAAAATGTGAAAAATCAAACAATGCAATCAACCAAACTAATGGAATAAAAAAGAAAAACTATGATCATCTCAATAGATGCAGTAAAGGTACTTGACAACATGAAATAGTCATTTATGATTTTTTTAAAAACCTAGGTAAACTAGGAATAGAAGGGAACTTCCTCAATGAGATAAAAGTTGTATGAGACAATTATACTTAACATCATATTTAATAGTGAAAGACTGAATTTCTCCCTAAGATTGGGAACAAGGAAAGAATATCCACTTTCACCAGAGCAATGGAGCACAAGAAAGGCAAAAAGATTAGAAAAGAAAAAGTAAAACTGTCTCCATTCATAGAAGACATAATTATAGGAAAATCCTAAGAAACAAAAAACAAAACAAAAACACCAGAACTAGCAAGTGAATTTAGCAAGGTCACAGGGTAAAAGTTAATATCAGAAACCAGCTGTATTTCTTCATAATGGCAGAAAATAAACGGACACTAAAATTCAGAAAAAATATCATAAATTATTTAGGAACAAATATAACAGAAGGCATGTACAACTTCTATATAAAAACTATAAGACTTTGCTAAAAGGAATTAAAGAAGGCCTTAATAAATGAAGAGAGATAAAATGTTTATGGACTTGGGAAACTCAGTATTGTTAAAATGTCAATTAACCCCAAACTAATCTATAGATTCAATGCAATCCTAATCTTAATCTTGGTAGTCTTTCTTAAAAACAGAAATTTACAAACTAATTTTAAAATTTATAAAATGCAAAAGACATGAAATAGACAAAACAAACTTTAAAGGAACAAAAATGGAAGACTTACACTAATCAGTTCAAGACTTATTATAAAGCTGCAATAATCAAAGTAATGTCTTTGACATAAGAATAGACATAGCAATGAATGAACTAGATTACTGTTCAGAAATGGACCCACACTTTATGGTTAAGTGATTTTTTATAAGATATCAAAGCAACTCAACCAGGTGCAGGTGGCTCACGCCTGTAATCTCAGTACTTTGGGAGGCCAAGGTGGGCAGATCACCTGAGGTCGGGAGTTTGAGACCAGCCTGACCAACATGGAGAAATCCCGTCTCTACAAAAAATACAAAATTAGCTGGGCATGGTGGTGCATGCCCATAACCCAGCTACTCGGGAGGCTGAGGCGGGAGAATTGCTCGAACCCAGTAGGCGGAGATTGCGGTGAGCTGAGATAGCGCCATTACACTCCAGCCTGGGCAACAAGAGCAAAACTCTGTATCAAAAAAAAAAAAAAAAAAAAAATTCAATGGGGAGAGGAAGAAATGATGCTGGAACAACTAAATATCTGTATGTCAAGAAATGAAACTTAACCTCTACCTCAAGCCATATAAAAAATTTAGTTTGAGACAGATCATAGGCCCAGACATAAAGTCTAAAATCACAAAGTTTACATGAAAAAATTAGAGAGAGAGGCCGGGCGCGGTGGCTCATGCCTGCAATCCCAGCACTTTGGGAGGTGGAGGTGGGCAGATCATTTGAGGTCAGGAGTTCAAGACCAGCCTGACCAACATGGTGAAAACCTGTCTCTACTAAAAATACAAAAAAATTAGCTGGGACTGGTGGTGCGTGCCTGTAGTCCTAGCTACTCAGGAGACTGAGGCAGGAGAATGGCTTGAACCTGGTAGGCAGAGGTTGCAGTGAGCTGAGATCGTGCCACTGCACTCCAGCCTGGGAAACAGAGCAAGTCTCAGAGAAAAAAAAAAAAAAGCCCTGTAATCCCAGCACTTTGGAAGGCCTAGGCGGGTGGATCACATGAGGTTGGGAGTTCAAGACTAGCCTGACCAACATGGGGAAACCCCACCTCTACTAAAAATAGAAAATTAGTTGGGCTTGGTGGTGCATGCCTGGAATCCCAGCTACTTGGGAGGCTGAGGGAAGAGAATCGCTTGAATCCGGGAGGCAGAGGTTGCAGTGAGCCGAGACTGCGCTATTGCACTCCAGCCTGGGCAACAGGAGCAAAACTGTCTCAAAAAATAAATAAATAAAAGTAAATAAATAAATCACAGAAACTATTTTTGCCATTTGAGAGAAGGCAGAGATTTACTGGACACAAGAACAATAATCATGAAAAAAAGTGGTAAATTGAACATTAAAATTAAAAACTTCTGTCATCAAAAGCCACCATAGAAACAAGCCACAGCCTAGGAGAAAATAGTCACAAAATGAGTCTGACGAAGGACTTGTATTCAGAATAAAGAACTCCAAAAGTGAATAAAGATAATGAAAAGATAAACAACCCAAAAATGGACAAAAGACCTTAACAATAACTTCACAAGAGAAGCTGGATGAATGGGCAATAAGCACATGGAAAATCGTCATTAAGGAAAATTTAAACTATAATGATACCCAAAACGCACTGACTTTTTTTTTAATTTTAAAAAGAAAAAAAGAACTATAATGAGATATCATTAAATAGAATGGCAAATTAAACAGTCTATGTAGTATATGCTGGCAGATATTTAAATAGTATGATGCATTAAACTTAAATTTAAATGAGGTTATTATTTTAAGGACTTGTGTTTTTTTCTGTAAGGAATAATACAATAATTGCAATTAAGAAATATTTCATACTGTATTAAACACAGTCTTCCTGTTTTGTTAAAAAAAAAGTCTGACAACATCACCTATTGGTAAGGATATGAAACAACAGGAACTTTCGTACATTACTAGAGGAGAAGATAAAATCCTTTTGGAAAAAAGGTTTAGCAGTTTTTATTAAGTTCAACATATACCTGCCCTTTTACCCAGAAATTCCACTCTTAGGAATTTATCCAAGAAAAATTAAAACATATGTCCACAAAAACACTTGAATAAAAATGGTAATATCCTGAAACCAATGTATCAAGTAAGAGTATTCACTGTATTATTACAGTCTAGAAGGCCTATCTTATGGTGTCTTAATATAAATAATTTTCTTACATTCCTAAAATGTTTTTTTTTTTTTTTTTTTTTGAGACGGAGTCTCGCCCTGTTGCCCAGGCTGGAGTGCAGTGGTGCGATCTCGGCTCACTGCAAGCTCCACCTCCCGGGTTCACGTCATTCTCCTGCCTCAGCCTCCCGAGTAACTGGGACTACAGGTGCCCGCCACCACGCCCGGCTAATTTTTTGTATTTTTAGTAGAGACGGGGTTTCACCATGTTAGCCAGGATGGTCTCGATCTCCGGACCTCGTGATCCACCCACCTCGGCCTCCCAAAGTGCTGGGATTACAGGTGTGAGCCACCGCACCCAGCCCTTAAAATGTATCATTAAAAGCTGCAGATTTTTAACAGTGCAAAATTTATGTTATTTGGTATATAAAACACATTAAAATGTGGTTAAGTATAGAATAACAATGCCTAATATTTTAATGTGTTGCACATTTAAAAAAGAGAAGGTCATAGAAGTTTTATTCATAATAGCCAAAACTTAGAAACAACTCGAATGTTCATCAACAGAACAACAGATTGTAGGCAACTGTGGCACATTTATACAATGAAATACACTCAGCAATAAAATGGAACCAACTTCTAATAATCATTACATCATGGATAAATCTGACAGACATTATGCTGAGAAGAAGCCAGGCACAAAAGGACTACAATTTCATTTTTATAAGATCTAGAACCAGGGTGGGCGCAGTAGCTCATAACTGTAATCACAACACTTTGGTAGGCTTAGGGGAGAGCATCACTTGACCCCAGGAGTTCAAGATGAGCCTGGGCAGCAAAGTGAGACCTTGTCTCTTCAAAAAATTAGCCAGGTTGGCTGGGCACAGTGGCTCATGCCTGTAATCCCAACACTCTGGGAGGCCGAGGGGGCCAGATCATTTGAGTCCTGGAGTTTGAAACCAGCTTGGCCAACATGGCGAAACCCGGTCTCTACTAAAAAATACAAAAATTAGCTGAGCATGGTGGTGCGTGCCTGTAATCCCAGCTACTCAGGAGGCTGAGGTGGGAGAATTGCTTGAAACCAGAAGGCAGAGGTTGCAGTGAGCTGAGATCATGCCACTGCACTTCAGCCTGGGCGACAGAGCGAGACTCCGTCTCGGAGAAAAAAAAAAAAGGAAAAAGAAAATTAGTCAACATAGTGACAGACACATGTGATCCTAGCTATTTGGGAGGCTGAGGCAGGAGGAAAGGTTGAACCTGGGAAGTTGAGGCTGCAGTGAGCCATGATCATGCCATTGCACTCCAGCCTGGTCAATAGAGCAAAACCCTGTCTCAAAAAAAAAAAAAAAAAAAAAAAAAAAATTCTAGAACCACCCAAGGTAATCTAAGGTGACAATATCAACACAGTGGTTACCTAGGCGGCTGGAGCCAATGACAGGGAAATTTCTAGTGAGACAGGAAAGTTCTCTATCTTCACAATACATAAATCATATAAGGTTAACTACTGTCAAAAATGTACAATTAAGGCCGGGCGCGGTGGCTCACGCCTGTAATCCCAACACTTTGAGAGGCCGAGGTGGGCAGATCACGAGGTCAGGAGATCGAGACCATCCTGGCCAACATGGTGAAACCCTGTCTCTACTACAAATACAAAACAAATTAGCAGGGCGTGGTGGCGGGCACCTGTAGTCCCAGCTACTCAGGAGGCTGAAGCAGGAGAATCGCTTGAACCCAGGAGGCGGAGGCTGCAGTGAGCCAAGATCGTGCCCCTGCACTCCAGCCTGGGCAACAGCATGAGACTGTCTCAAAAAAAAAAAATGTACAATTAAGATTTGTCTTTTGACATATGTAAATATTCCCTTAAGAAAAAACACTCAAAACTCACAGAGGGGCCAAGAGATAAAATTTTAGTAATATAAATTTGCGTTTCCTACCTGAATGGATTACCCCAAAGCCTTTATGGTTCTATTATTTCTTACCATCTAGGCAAAGGCAGCTAGCTACATGCCAAGTTGATGATACCACCATGTACTTCTACGTTTCATTCTGCACCAAACTGAATAATCACAAATCTCCAAAATAAGAACATAAGACTCATTTTAGACAACTACAGAAATCTAAATTATCTAGAAGATATTTACTGCATTTTCCCAGGTCAGAGAGAGCAGTGTAGACAAGGGAAATTCCATTATACTGAAGGCCCCATGATAACGTACAGAATTAAAATTCTACCTCTGGGTATTTATTGAAACATGTACAAAGAGATGTACACAAACATGTGCAGGGTATTCCTTGCAGCATTGTTTGCTACAGAAAAAAAAACCTAGAAATCTCCATTTCTAATTTCATTATTAGGTCAATCAAATAAACTATGGCCTGTCCTTACTATGAAAACAGTTATAAAGAATGAGGTAGATTTATATATATTGACATGAAAAGATCTCCAAAACAAACTGTTAAGTGAAAAAATGTAAGCCACAATTATAATACACATAGTATAATTTCATTCATATGTGTGTAATATACACAGTATAATTTCAGCATGTATCACACATGCCAGCCAGGTGCAGTGGTTCACACCTGTAATCCCAGCACTTTGGGAGGCCAAGGTGGGAGGATCTCTTGATCCAGGAGTTTGAGACCAGCCTGGGCAATATAGGGAAACTCTGTTTCTACAAAAATACAAAAGTTAGCTGAGCATGGTGGCACACGCCTATGGTTCTAGCTACTTGGAAGGAACACTTGGGCCCAGGAGTTGGAGGCTGCAGTGAGTTATGATCATGCCACTGTACTCTAGACTAAGCGACAGAATGGGACTCTGTCTCAAAAAAAGAAATAACCAATGGTTTTAAAACTAACACAACATTGATTCCAATCTCTGGACTATTCACATTATAAAGAAATAGCTTGATATAGTTTGGATATGTGTCCCCTCTAAATCTCATGTTGAATTGTAATCCCCAATGTTGGAGGTGGGGCCTGGTGGGAGGTGACTGAATCATGGGAGGGATTTCTCATGAACAGTTTAGCACCATCCTCTTGGTGCTGTTCTCCCAATAGAGAGTTTTTGTGAGCTCTGGTTGTTTAAAAGCGTGGCACCTCCTCCTCACCTCTTGTTCCTGCTCTCACCATGTGATGTGCCTGCTTCCCTTTCCCCTTCAGCCATGACTGTAAGCTTCCTGAGGTCCCCACCTGAAGCTGAGCAAATGTTTATGCCATGCTTGTACAGTCTTGCAGAACTGTGAGCCAATTAAACCTCTTTTCTTTATAAATTATCCAGCCTCAGGTATTTCTTTATAGCAATGCAAGAACAGCCTAACACTCAGTTTTAAAATAGAATCCTGCAAGAGATCAAGACTTCAAGTTTGTGTGTGTGTGTGTGTGTGTGTGTGTTTGTGTGTGTGTGTTTTTGAGATGGAGTTTCGCCCAGGCTGGAGTGCAATGGCATGATCTCGGCTCACCGCAACCTCCCTCTCCTGGGTTCAAGCAATTCCCCTGCCTCAGCCTCCTGAGTAGCTGGGATTACAGGCATGAACCACCATGCCCAGCTAATTTTTGTATTTTAAGTAGAGAAAAGACTTCAAGTTTTTTCAAAAGCAAGAAACTGAAAGAACAACCCCTCTTCATGGAAATACGTAGGTCTTCCATATGAGAGCTTTATTACTTCCAGACAGAAAAGGAACTAGAACTATCTGCACCCCTCTGCTTGAGATGCTACTCATGGCTCAGTAATTTATATGAAGAAGAGTATTCAATTAAAAAAAACCTCACACATATCTATAATTACCTATGTGCTTTCATACACGTTACTTCATTTTATCCTAATGACTCAGGGAGGAAAAATCACCCTAAAAAACGTAAAAAAATCATTGCTAAAGACACTTCCAATGCTCATCCACATCCTAGTTTCATCTATCCCTGAGACTTAGGAGAATTACACTTTCCCGACCTATTCTGTTGCTGGATAGAGGCATTAGGCCTAGTTTTGCCTAATGGGATTTGGGTAAGATCATAATTTCTGAGACAAAGCATTTATTTGCTGAGAATGATCCACCAGCTCTATTCTGTTCTTGCTGTGGTGAACCTTGAAAGCATTACAGTAAGCTTGTGGAAACATAAGATGGTGTCAAAAAAACTACCTGGAGCAGAACCCTCTACTTATCACCCCACTCATCTGAATTGGTCACACAGTCTGAGTAATAAATATATCTTGGTACATAAAGTCTTTGGGATTGTAGAGTTGTTTATCATTTTTAGCATAATCTCAACTGTCATGACCAACAGAATCAGGGTTAAAACATCCCAACAGAAAGAAATGATAAATGTTCAAAGTGATGGATATCCTAGTTACCTTGATTTGATCATTACACCTTATGTGTGTGTATCAAAATTACATATACCCCATAAATATGTACAATTATTATATACCAATACAAACCACTATTAAAGTAAAAAAAAAAGCCTATACAAAATTATTTAATAGTTAATAAAGCATCATAAAATACTATCTAGAAACAAAAATACTCCTGATGGCAGCATAAGCCACCCCCGCCCCCAATGCCAATTTCTGGTTAAGTATAACATTCATGTAATACGTTTTTAAATGTTAAAAAAGAATGTTCTCAATTTAACTACACTAAAAAAACAGGGGGATGAAACCTTACTTCTCCGTATCTTAAAAGAAGTATTAAGCTAAAAACTTAACTCATGAAAGTATGATTTCATATTCTACTCGTTTTATTTTTCTTAATGGTTATAAAAAATGTCAAAATATACAATTATCAAAATCAACACTAAGATTTTTGCCCACTAAGATTTTTTACACTGTAAAACCATTTCTATTTAATAACGAATAACAAGTGCTAAGTTTGACCACTCTTTTCCTAATAGAGTACACAAAAAGTAGCTTACTGCCTACGAACACCCAGATGGCTTTTTTCTGACATCATGGAGACTTCAGAAAAATAATTTGTGACCAACACAATTTTAGAAACTATGAACAAATAACTCCCCATAGCAAAACTAATCTATGCCCTTCACAAATCCTTTTCCTAAGTACTATATATAAAAGATCCTTTAATATCATTCTTTCTCATTAAAGAAACCTTCTGCATTATGGATATCAGTCACCTTTATCCTGAAGGGTCTAGTTTAGAAACCTCCCCAGAATTCCAATAACCATATTTAATCTTTCCAAATAACAGACTCCGTGTCATTTTACCAGGGCGCTGGGTTTCATGGAAACACCTACTTTTAAAATGAGATATTCATCCCCAGCACCCAGCATGGCCATTTACTATGAGTTTACTGTGTGCCAAGTATTGTGTAAAGTACTACACACAAAGGATCTCACTAACCCTCTCAACAATCTAATAAAGAACCTGGCTGGTCTTTGATCTGGTTTCCAGGGAGGTAACCTTTAAATCCCTGGCATTACTTATGTGATCAGAGTGTCTCTGTTATTTGTGGGACCCCCACAAATAAGAAAAACTATACATCCTAGAACAAGGCTTACTTTGGATCTGCCCTAACAAAACAGGAGGGAGGCCGGGCACGGTGGCTCAGGCCTTTAATCCCAGCACTTTGAGAGGCTGAGGCAGGTGGATCACTTGAGGTCAGGAATTTGAGACAAGCCTGGCCAATGTGGTGAAACCCCATCCCTACTAAAAATACACAGATTAGCCAGTGTGCGCCTGTAGTCCCATCTACTCGGGAGGCAGAGGCAGGAGAATCACTTGAATCCGGGAGGCAGAAGTTGCAGTGAGCCGAGATTATGCCACTACAATCCAGCCTGGGCTACGGGGTGAGACTCCATCTCAAAAAAAAAAAAAAAAAAAAAAAAAGAGGGAAAGGCCACTGTGACCCAGTACTGAACACAAAATCCAAATGGGGTAAAGGGGGGCAATTATGCAGAGAGTTGGGCAGCAGCAGCAGCAGAATGGCTGCATACAGGGGAATAATTAAATAAGCAAATATTTTGAGGAAAATGAGAATCAGGTTTTCTCTTGTCAGAGAAGGAAATTAAAAATATGCAAAGGAAGAAAACTAGAAAGAACCTTAGATGGGAACAGAAGAGATCACTACAGATGCATGGTTTCCAATATCTATTTCAATACATTTATACAGATAGGTATAAAATAAAGCTCCATTGAGACAGCCTGAGAGTTATAACACCAACAGCAACATGCACACATACCATCTTATTTGTAAACACCATTTTCCACTAAAAAGAACCAGGATCCTTGGCAAAATGGTTGATTTCAGGGTTGGGGCAGGAGAAAGCTCAAGATTGCCTGGGACATCTTGTTGTACCAGGAAGAAAAGAAAAAACAGAAGGGAAAAGGAAAGGAAAAGAAAAAGAGCTCAAAGGATGATAGAGATATGAAAAAGAACAAAGATAGCTTGAAGGGGCTCCTATTGACCAAATCTAGGACAATTTGAGCATAATAATGAGACCCCACAAATACTGATATAAATAAATAAATTGAAAGTTTGATAATGAAGAGGATACTTAATAGTCTCAAAGTACTTCCCAACAACACACTTATTGATCACATAGGGGAAAAGAGTAACATTACAGTGGAGAAGTCTTGCAGACATCCCTTTAATCAAGTGATCAATATCACCAGTTGTAGAACTAATCAAAATCATACATACCACCTGACAGGGTTAAAACACATGATTTCTGTGGCACTCCTGTCACAGATGCAACTTGAATCTAATTACGAAAACCAGACAAACCCAAATTGAGGGGACATTGACAAAATAACTGGTCTGTAATCTTCAAAAGTGTCAAGATCATGAAAGTCACAGAAAAATTGAGGAAACATTCCAGATTGAAGATTAAAAGACAAGATATACAAATAATTTGGAACTAGATCCTATTAATACAAAGAACATTACTGAACAATGGGGTCTCAATTTCCTATCCATAAATTATGAGGTTCAACTAGGTCTACTGCTCCAAACATCAACAGAATATTCAAAGTAGTTTCTGTAATAGCAAACAAAAAACTAGGTCTAATAGTTTTTCAATATATATACTGTTCTCTATTGATATTCTAAATAAGCTAATAAAGAAAACTACCATAGATAACCAGAGGCTTTCACCAAAATTAGCTTATTAAATTTCAGTTTTACAGGAAAAAGTTTAAAGGAAAAAGTTAAATAATGTCTCTGACAACACATCTACACAAAAGAATATTATCTAGCTACATAAGCTGATACGGAAAGATGTTAAGCTATGGTTAAATACAGAAAAGAAAATTTAGCTCAGTATATGTAACATATTCCCATCTGTATTTATGTATGTAGGTTTAAAATTGCCATATATCTTGGCCTATATACACAAAGAAAATTTCTGAAAGAGGCCGGGTACAGTGGCTCATGCCTGTAATCCAGCACTTTGGGAGGCCAAGGCAGGTGGATCATCTGAGGTCAGGAGTTTGAGACCAGCCTGGCCAACATGGTGAAACCCCGTCTCTATTAAAAATACAAAAATTAACTGGGCATGGTCATGGGCTAAGCCTGTAATCCCAGCCAGTTGGGAGGCTGAGGCAGAAGGATCACTTGAACCTGGCAGGTGGAGGTTGCAGTGAGCCGAGATCGCGCCACTGCACTCCAGCCTGGGTGACAGGGCAAGACTCCATCTCAGAAAAAAAAAAAAAAAGGAAAATTTCTGAAATGATATATGGGAAAATGTTAACAATGATTAATTCTGGAAAATTGGACAGTCAAAAAGGGGACAAGGCACTTTATTCTCCATCTTCTACCCTTGTATACTCAATTTTCACCAAGAAATTTAAAAAAGAAAAGTCTTCCTAACAGCAGTAAATGCATACAGCACCCAGATCTTGGTTTCTAACTACCATTCCCAAATGAAAGAAAAATCTTTAAAGAAATAGCTGATTGTACATACGGGTCAGAGCAAGTACAAAGTGAGCTGGGGCATCTTGTGCCAGAAAGGAAAGAAGCACCCACAAACTAATGAAGGCATGTGAAAAAGACAAGATGGTGTGACGGGGCTCTCACTAGCCAAATCTATGGCAATTTGAACATCAGAATTACTGTAACTAAAAAATATCAAGAAAAGCAAGAAAGTGATTATTGCAAGAGTCAAGATGTCAGTTAATTATGGGGGAAGGAAGAAAGCACACAGTGGGCTTCAAGAATGCTGGTGACAATTTTTTTTGATCAAGAATAATTACAAAAATGTTTGCTTTAATTATTTATTAAATAGCATGTATTTGTAATACAGATTTTTAAGCAGATATGGTATTTCATAATTTTTAAACAAAAACTCAAAAGTTCCAGGGAAAAAAAGAGGTCAAATAAAACAAGAGCCTCCTAGAAAGAAAATTAAAATATTTTACCTGCAAGAATATGTAGGCTCTCCTACTTTAAAAACACGACCACAAAGATGAGAAGGTTTGTTTGCTTGCTCAAGTTTTGGAAATCCAAATGCAGGATCTTCACCACAAAGGTACCATTCCATTGGTCCCAACAAAACATGCTGTGCCAGCATGTCTTCTTTCTGTGGAAAAGGGTTGGGACCCCTGCAGTAGATTTTGGGTACATAGTGGGCTAAATGCTGGTACACTTCTCTAGTGAGGTCAGTTGCTTGCAGCCATTTCTTTAAAAGAAGAAAAGAGAAGAAATGGTTTTAAACACCAACAAACTAATTTGAACAAATTCACCCTACTTTCTTTTAGGTACAAAAATAATGACAAAAGCATATTAAAATATTTTGTTTACAACACTCACCACCGTACGTTAGAAATTTAATCTATTAAAATGCCAAGTATGTTTAAATCCTACTTTTAAGTGTAAGTAAAATTAAAATGAAACAAGCCTCCCTCCTTCCCTGCAAAATGACTCTTGAAGCAATCTTCTCTAGGCAGTACCAGAAAATAATTACAAGAAATCATTATATAAGATATGAACCATTGAGCTCACCTAATGTCCTTCCTAATGCTTTGCTCAAATGTTATTCTCATTGTGATATCAATTCTCACGTCAGTTTGTCCATAGGAAGAGTGTACGGTGAATATGAACAGCCAATATGTACGGTGAACATGAACAGCCAATACACATTTCTTAATGATTGATAAGCAAGTTTATATACCAGTCTCTTATTGAATAAGTCAGTCCACAAGAGACTGTTGTACCAATTATGCCTTCTTTCTCTGATCAACTTCTCTCTCTCTATAAGGCCTTTTCCGTTTGCTCTCCCCACTAAAAACAAATTTTAAAGCATGATTCTACTTAGATCTCATAGGTACCAACTCAATAACTGAATGCATGATCTCCCCTCCATGCTCCACCAAAATCTGTTATTTTCTCCATTTCCAGCTCAACCTGGGTATCCACACCGAAAAATCTGAAAAGCTTCCCAGCACTTTGGGAGGCCAGGCCAAGCAGATCACCTGAGGTCAGGAGTTCAAGACCAGCCTGGCCAACATGGTGAAGTCTCTTCTCTACTAAAAATATAAAAATTAGCTGGATGTGGTGGCGCATGCCTGTAATCACAGTTACTCAAGAGGCTGAGGCAGGAGAAATCGCTTAAACCCAGGAGGCAGAGGTTGTAGTGAGCCAAGATCCAGCCTGGGCGACAGAGCAAGAGTCTGTCTCAAAGGACAAAAAAAAAAAAAGACTCACTTCTGCTAGAATGCAGTTAACTGAACCGTGAACAAAACCCACAGATGGAGGGAAAGAGGAAGGGGAAGTGAGTTGAAAAACTACCTATTGGGTACTATGCTCACTACCCAGGTGCAATATACTCATGTAACAAACCTGCACATGTATTCCTTAAATCTAAAGTAAAAGCTGAAATTAAAAAAAACCTCCAATGTTTACCTATGGATTACTACCTAATTCCAGTTACATTTTTATTTAAAAAAAAAAAAAAAGTATGTTCAAGTGATATGTAACATCATAAGAAGTCAACATAAGGTCTTCATTTTAGCTATTACTTGTATATTCTTCAGACCACTCCTTCTAAAAACAACATACAGAGAGATTTTAAATATGCATGAGGTGATGTATATTAACTTTCTAGTCAATTTCTGTTTTCAGAGAACTTTTACTAAAAATGTAAAAATTTTGTTCATAAGTTAAGGGACTGGATAGAAGCTTATAACCAAAAACGGTGAAAGAGTTTTCATGCTTAAAGTGAAACTAAACTATTTTCCAAATATTACTAACATTGTTGTGTTTACATTATGCAAGTAGGAAAGAGACTAAATTACTTTCAAAACAACAGCATTTCTTCCCTGGTGGCCAAGTGGTTAGGGAAAAAAAAATAAAAATAAAAATAAAACAGCAGCAGCAGCATCATTTCTTAGGAGACAATCCTACAGGCTTTAAGTATTCTCTCCCTTCAGAGTGACTCAATCAAAATTTTATATATACATACACATCCTTTAAGCTCAGTAATTATAAAGAGGACAAGTTTTAAAAAAAGAAAAAGAGTCCTCAACAAGCATACTAGAATCTTATTCTTTGAGCTAAAAGACCTCGTTTTGGCCTCATTCAAAGGTAAATGTCTCATTTTTCACCCATTGTCAGCAAACCAAAACAAGAATGAAGGTAGTCAAATGATCCTAAGCGCTTTTTTTTTTTTTTTTTTTTGAGTCTCGTGCTGTCGCCCAGGCTGGAGTGCAGTGGTACGATCTCGGCTCACTGCAACCTCTGCCTCCCAGGTTCAAGTGATTCTCCTGCCTCAGCCTCCTGAGTAGCTGGGGTTACAGGTGTGCACCACCACACGCGGCTAATTTTTGTATTTTTAGTAGAGACAAGGTTTCACTATGTTGACCAGGCTTGTCTCAAACTCCTGACATCAGGTGATCTGCCCACCTCGGCCTCCCAAAGGTGCTAGGATTCAATTTACTCTTTATGAAAGAAAAATTAAGCAATAAGACCAAAATAATTCACCTCCATGATCCTAGAAAGTTAAGTGCTTCGGACTTTTTTTTACAACATATTGAAAGATTTTATTTAAAAACCAGTTTTTTTCCTTATATTTTATGTTCCCATTCCTGTAAAACTTCACTGTTGCAAAATTTTAATACAAGAATGAAAGGTTACTTTAGAAGGGATGCTTTTTTTTTTTTTTTTTTTTTTTTGAGACGGAGTCTTGCTCTGTCACCCAGGCTGGAGTGCAGTGGCGCGATCTCGGCTCACTGAAAGCTCCGCCTCCCAGGTTCACGCCATTCTCCTGCCTCAGCCTCCCAAGTAGCTGGGACTACAGGCTAGCATGGATGCTTTCTAAAAAAAAATTATGCAGTCTAGTAACTGTAACGAGAGCAAATTTGTTCATAGATTTCTTCAACAAAAATTCAGACGCTAGTATCAGCTTCTGGTTAAGAAAAAAAAAAAAAATCGGCCAGGCTCTTTGGCTCATGCCTGTAATCCCAGCACTTGGGAGGCCAAGGCGGGTGGCTCATTTGAGTTCAGAGGTTCGAGTCTAGCTTGGGCAATATGGCAAAACCCTGTCTCTTCTAAAAATAAAAGAAGATTAGCTGGGCATGGTGGTGCATGCCTGTAGTCCCAGCTACTCAGGAGGCTGAGGTGGGAGGATCACCTGAGCCCCGGAGGTTGAGGCTTCAGTGAGGCATGATCACGCCACTGCACTTCAGCCTGGGTGACAGAGTGAGATCCTGTCTCAAAAAACAAACAAACAACAAAAAAAAAACTAGCCACTTTACATAAAAATATTATTAGTAAAACAAGCAAGTATTTCACTCTTTATTACATATTATTATAAATAACAAGACTTAAAAGTCTGGTCCAAGAAAGGCATGCATATGCTCCCCATTTTTCAAATCTTTACTACTCCTGGGCACAGTGGCTCACGCCTATAATCCCAGCACTTTGGGAGGCCAAGGTGGGCAGATCACTTGAGGCCAGGAGTTCGAGACCACCATGGCCAACATGGTGAAACCCCATCTCTACTAAAAATACAAAAATTAGCCAGGAGTGGTGGTGCACGCCTGTAATCCCAGCTACTTGGGAGGCTGAGGCAAAAGAATCGCTTGACCTCAGGAGGTGGAGGTTGCAGTGAGCCTAGATCACGCCACTGTACTCCAGCCTGGAGGACAGAGTGAGACTCCGTCTCAAAACCAAAAACTTTACTACCATTATATGAAAAAATCACAATCACCTAAAAGATTTGGGCTCTATTACAGGCACTTTAAGCTGATTAAACATACATACTTAATATAAAAAGCAAGAAAAATTTATGACTGTCTTTCAGAAGTAGCTCACACATTTCCCCAAAGAATAAAATCTATAGCTTTTCATATTAGTTCTAACATATGCTAACTGCAACTGTTTCTTCAACATGAAAAATTAAGATTTCCAGTTTGGTTGGCCTTTTGTCTTTATTTCAGACACTTGTAGCTGTCACACCCATGTGGCATAAGAGAGTAATAAGCATTCACTATCTTACTACAAGTCCCTCTTAAGGGAAGTAAAGAAACTGTCAACTCATTCCTCTAAAGTAAACATGTTATGACAATGTTTCCAGGAGCTTTCCCTCTATTAAATACTAAATTTAAGCCTTGGGATAGAAAGCAAGTACAATAAAATAAAAATGAAATGAAAAATGAAAGAATCCCTAGAGGTTAGTTAGCCTTTTATTACAGTCTCTATTATTCTATACCCAATTAAAATTGTATCCTTTAACTACTTTTGGTTTTGCTTTCAAACAAGGATAAGCAACATGTAAGTTAATCATAAAACAACTAGTGCTCATAACCATAAAAACAATAGTGTTTAAGTGGGAGTTTTAGGGAATATATTGAGAAAAATTTTAAACAAATTATATTAAGAGCTCTACAAATTAAGGAGAATATTTACAAATAAAATATAGAAATTTAATAGGTCAAAAGACTAATTGAAAATAGGCAAAGAAGACATAAAAATGGCCAATAAGCTCATAAAAAGATGTTCCAACATGACTCATGAGGGAAATGCAAATCAAAACCACAATGAGAAGGCATAACACCCAAAAGAATGGCTGTAATCAAAACACAGGCAAAAACAAGTGTTGGCAAGGATCTGGAGAAATTGGAACTCTCATGCACTACTGGTGGGAATGTAAAACAATGCAACTGCTTTGGAAAAATCTGGCAGTTCTTCAAAATAGTTAACATATGACCCACCAATTTCACTTCTAGGTATGTATATACCCAAGAGAAACAAAAGCATATGTCCCCACAAAAATTTGTAAAAAATGTTCACAGCAACATGATTCATAATACCCAAAAAGTAGAAACAACCCAAATATTCACCAACTGATGAACAGATAAATAATATATGGTTTATCTATACAAAGGAATGTCATTTGGCAATAAAAAAGAAAGAATTACTGACACAGGTTGAGCATCCCTAATTTGAAAACGTGAAATCCAAAATGATCCAAAATCTGAAACTTTGCATGCCCACACGATGCTCAAAGAAGTGCTCATTGGAACATTTGGATTTTGGATTAAGGATGCTCAACTGGTATAACTGCAAATATTTTAAAATCCAAAAAAATCCAAAATCCAAAACACTTCTGGTGGCAAGCGTAACAATACTCAACCTGTACATGGTACAACATGGATAAATATTTTATTTTTATTATTTTTTTTTTGAGACAGAGTCTCGCTCTGTTGCCCAGGCTGGAGTGCAGTGGCGCGATCTTGACTCACTGCAAGCTCCGCCTCCCGGGTTCATGCCATTCTCCTGCCTCAGCCTCCCAAGTAGCTGGGACCACAGGCGCCTGCCACCACGCCCGGCTAATTTTTTGTATTTTTTAGTAGAGACGGAGTTTCACCGTGTTAGCCAGGATGGTCTCGATCTCCTGACCTTGTGATCTACCTGCCTTGGCCTCCCAAAGTGCTGGAATTACAGGTGTGAGCCACCGCGCCTGGCCCAACATGGATAAATATTTAAAACATTATCTAAGAGAAAGAAGTCAGCCACAAATGACAATATGTTGAATTCCATTTATACGAAATATCCAGAATAGGCAAATCTACACAGACAAAAATTAGTAGTTGATTAGACCTCAGGAGTTTAGGTGTGAAAGGGAAGTGACTGCCAATAGGTACAGGATTTCTTTTTTGGGGTGATAAAAATGTCCCAAAATTGATCATAGTGATGATTGCATGAATCTGAATATACTAAAAACCACTGAATTTAACTGTACAGTATGTGAGTTATATCTCAATAAAACGGTTTAAAAAATGTACAGCAAAAAGATAACCAATACAGACCTAAAACTCTACATAAAACTTAACAAATTCATTATTTATTAAAACAAAATTTTTTTTGAAGACAGGGTCTCACTGTATCACCCAAGATGGAGTACAGTGGCATGATCATAGCTCACTGTAACTTCTAACACCTGGGCTCAAGCGATCCTCCCTGCTTAGCCTTCTGAGTAGCTAGGACTGCAAGTTCATGCCACCACACCCAGCTTATTTATTTTATTTTATTTTTTTTTAGTAGAGACAGGGTATAGCTAATGTTGCCCAGGCTGGTCTCAAACTCTTAGACTTAAGCAGTCCTCCCACCTCAGCCTCCCAAATAGCTGGGATTACTGGCATGAGCCAGTGCTCCCAACCTGTATTTCTTTTATATTCAGGGAAAAAGATGGGGTCCCGCTCTGTCACCCAGGCTGGAGTGCAGTGGCGCGATCTCGGCTCACTGCAACCCCAGCCTCCTGGGTTCAAGCAACTCTCCTGCCTCAGCCTCCCGAATAGCTGGGATTACAGGGGTGCACCACCATGCCCGGTTAATTTTTGTATTTTTAGTAGAGACAGGGTTTCACCATGTTGGCCAGGATGGTCTCTATCTCTTGACCTTGTGATCTGCCCTCCTTGGCCTCCCAAAGTGCTGGGATTACAGGCAAGAGCCACCACACCCGGCATGTTTACTTTTAAAACCGTAATCACTCACTGGAACATACTATAACCATATGTAGTATAGAAAGTAAACAGAGCCAAGAAGTGTTGGGAAAGTCATACTTATGGAGTCAATTCTAACAAGAAAAGAGAAGAATGAGAAGAGAGGGCCACTGTAATATCCTAAACTTACAAATATTAAAGAGTCAGCTTAGATACTTTTCTTTGTGAGGCATACTAGCTGGAATGGATGGGATCACAAAAAGTTCTTCCTCCTTATAACAGGAATAAGAAAAGCGGTGTGTAAATGAAATGTGGAAAGGTTGACACTAGTGCTCATTAGGTGATTTTTAAATGGAAGTGATCCTAACAAATTACCAATGACAGAGGTCTAAAGCCTACAATCACTGTTTTCTCTACTTGTTTCTCTTCCCTAAAATGTGCTTTCAACCTAAGAAAAAACTTTATTAATTTAAATGTGTGATAAAAAAGCTGAAGCCTAAGCTGAAAAAAACAGTTTTAAATGTTAGGTGTTTTAACTTAATACAGACAGTAAAGTCCTCACAAAGTAAGGCAAGATTAAGGTTATATAGTTGAAGGAATTTTATATTTTAATATTGGTTTTTGAGGTAGGAGGATCTCTTGAGCCTAGGAGGTCAAGGCTGCAGTGAGCTATGATAATGTCACTATACTCTAGTCTGGGCAACAGTGCAAGACCCCATCTCTTACCAAAAAAAGAAAAAAAAAAACTTATTGTTCAGAAAGGCATTTAAAAGTAAACAGGGTAGGCTGTGTGCGGTGGCTCACGCCTGTAATCCCAGGACTTTGGGAGGCCAAGGCGGACGGATAACCTGAGGTCAGGAGTTCGAGACCATCCTGGCCAATGTGGTGAAACCCTGTGTCTACTAAAAATACAAAAATTAGTCAGGCGTGGTGGCGTACGCCTGTAATCCCAGCTGTAATTCGGGAGGCTGAGGCAGGAGAATCACTTGAACCCCGGAGGCGGAGGTTGCAGTAAGCCAAGATTGCGCCATTGCACTCCAGCCTGGCGACAGAGCAAGACTGTCTCAAAAAAACAAACAAAAAAAGTAAACAGGGTAAAATGTAGCTCAGATTATGATCTTCACAAACTCAAATGAAGTCCAAATTAATAATTTTTTGTTGCATTTTCCTTGATTTTTCCTTACTGCATCTGCTTGAGAATTTCACTGAACAAGAACTAGGAGCACTGGCCTCCCGCACTACTTTTATAACCAGTTTCCTCAGGAGCCTCTACAAATTGGAGAACCTCTAATCACTTGATAGTTTGCACTTTTAGAATGGGATAACGGAATTTGTACCCTGTATCACTGGACCAAGACACAAAATTCAGTGAGAGAAAAAAAATCAAAACAGTACTTTGAGGTAAGCAACAGATATCAATTAGAAGAGGCATGGAGAGCAAACAGCTGTCATTATTATTTAACAGTTTACTTGTAACACTACTTTCATTTTCTTTTTTCAAATCTCCGATAAACGAAAGGCAGAAATTCCTTGAGTTGTACAACATTAAGTAGAAAGTAAATGAAAACAGACCTAGGCTAAACAAGTAAGTAGGTTTAAAAAAACACACCAAGGCAGGGCGCAGTGGCTCACGCCTGTAATCCCAGCACTTTGGGAGGCCCAAACAGGTGGATCACCTGAGGTCGGGAGTTTGAGACCACCCTGACCAACATGGAGAAACCCCAACTCTACTAAAAATACAAAATTAGCCGGGCGTGGTGGTGCATGCCTGTAATCCCAGCTACTCGAGGGGCTGAGGCAGCAGAATCGCTTGAACCCGGGAGACTGAGGTTGCGGTGAGCTGAGATCGCGCCACTGCACTCCAGCCTGGGCATCGAAAGCGAAACTCCGTCTCAAAAACAAAAACAAACAACAACAAAACACACCCAAACAAGCAAAGATTCAGCATTTAACAACGTATTTCTTTAAAGTCTTCACCTCTACTCCTGACATTTCTTTCTACCCGGACTTAATGTCCTCACCAATTCACGCAAAATAACTACTCACTGACCAACAGCTCCACAGTGCCCCCAATCCCAAATTTTGTTCGTAGCATTCAGATTGCTGACTTTTATTCACGGGTCACTCCCTTCCTAGCAGCCTTTTTAATTGGAGGTCTTAGAGGTGGGGCCCAAGCTGTCTTGGTCCATTCATAATCATTCTCGGCAATCTCTTCTAATGGGTGTTCCTACAACTCTGCTATTTACACTAGCATATTCATATTACAGTTTTAATGCAATAGTGCGTTTGAACGGTTTTACGTTTGGAATATAACTGCTCCTACTACACTGTGACCAGTTCTCACGTTTAGCTTATACAGTATTTGTTGAAAGCTGCTCTATCAACGTTATATAACATTTGTTCTCCATCCAATTACCCCTAACTCCTAGAAAAAATATTTTTAAAATTTCCCAGACTCCACGACTACTTTCTCATACTCAGTAAACTTTCCACACATGCATCAACGTTGTCAACTAATCAAACCGGTGCAAAAAAAAAAGATAGCACTGAAACGGATAACGAAGGGTAGTGTCGTTTGCCTTCTTGGTGCCTGGGGCAGTCCCAAAAACAAAAGAGGGGCTCGGTTAGGGTGGCATGTTTAGTCGGAGGAGCACACGGCTTCGCTTGTCTCAGGAAAAGCAATTAACTAGATAAACTAGGGCGATTATACCAAAAACACAAGAAGCGTCTCTTCTCCTCTTCCAAGAGCTGATATAAAGGGCAAAGGCCCATGTGTTGGGAGACTTAATGGGAGGCTGGGGGAAAGGAGGTATGATGGAAGAGCCGTGGGTTCTCCTGGGCAGAAAGGGAAAGTAAACGTAGTTAGTGCACAGCGCAGCTCTGGCAGCTGTTGAAAATGGAAAGAGAGGGGCAGGATCGGTGGCCTCCCCGGGCTATTACCCCACAAGGCGAGGGCCGGCACAGCTGTTTCCCCAAGTCTGGGTCGGGCTGCTCCAGGACGTCCAGGAGTCGGTTCCTCCCCACAGGCGCGGCCTGCGAGGGGCAGACGCACCCGCCCGGGTTCCGGCACTCACCCCCGCAATCTCCTCGGCCGAACATTCCAGCAAGCTCCGGTCGATGGCCTGCACCTCTGGCTCTAGCTCCGACGCCATCTTCTCTCCTCCTCCTCCCCAGCGCTACCGCCGCCCGGAGAGCTGCAGCCTCACCTCGGCCCCGGCGGCCTCGACTGCCACCCCTGCCCCAGGCAATCAGTCCCGGAGCCGTCCAAGTGGCTGCAGGTGGAGCAACAGAGGGAGAGAAGGGTGACGTGAACCGGAAAGGAAGGACAGCGGCCTCCTGCGCTCCCTCCCAAGCTTAGCGCCCAAGAGTCAAGTCACTGGCTCGTCCCTGACCCAGGGAAGGACACAGAAAACCCCAGGCCTGACACTCTCGCTGGCCACTACCGCGTCCTGCACCAGGAAAGGGGCAATAACACCCAGGAGGGGAAGCGGAGCTTTCTGGGTACTGTAGTTCTGGGTGCTGTAGGTACAGCACAGCCGGGAAAAAGGTGGCGCCCTAACACGGTGCCCCTCGAATGCATTGTGGGAGTTGTAGTCCATTCTCAAGGGGCGCTGGCTTAAATGGCAGATAAGCGGGCGGGGCTTTTCTGCCCAACGAGAATCATGGGAAGACAGTCGCGGAAAGCAGCGCCCCCTGGAAAAAAGCCAAAGAGAAAGATACTGTGGGAACTGTAGTTTTATTCTCCGAATCTCGTTTGTTCATTTTTGTATCCCCAGCTTCAAGAACACTGCCTGGCACATGGTAGACCCTCAAGGACTTGCCAGTCTGGCATAGGGTAGGCACTCAAATACTTGTCAAAGGAATGAATGAATTACATTCTATTCCTGTGGTTCTATGTCCTGTCATCCATCGAACCCATATCTTTTATACGAGTAATGGAGGTGAACATTACCCACTTTTTTGAAGGTTTAAAACATGTTTTAAAAAATTTTTCAAAAACTTTAGTGATGACCACTTATAAACTTTATCACAAATCTTGCTGCAAAGGAAAAAGAGTCTATTAGGCCAATTAAAAGATTTCCTCTTGATAGAGACATTTAATTTCTACAGATAATCAGACCAAGCTTGGTGGCTCATGCCTGTAATTCCAGCACTTTGGGAGGCCGAGGGGGGCAGACTACTTGAGCCCAGGAGTTTGAGACCAGTTTGGACAACATAGCGAGACCCTCTTGATAAAAATCAAAAAATTAGCCAGGTGTGGTGGCACGCCTGTAGTCCCAGCTACTCGGGAAGCTGAGGCAGGAGGATTGCTTGAGCCCAGGCAGTTGAGGCCATCGTGAGCTGTGATCAGCCCACTGCACTCCAGCCTGCGTGACACAGCTGAGACCCTGTATCAAAAAAGAAGGAAAAAAAAAAAAAAGAAATAGGTAAACATTGTTAGACTAGCTATCAAAGAAAACTATGTTTAGTTAAAGGTAATTAGACTCTTGACTGACAGCTGGGTGACTGGGCTTCTTAGAAGTCTTCAGTCTCTAGAGTTTGTCAGAAAATTGTTTATACCTTTTGTCAAGTGTGTTAATTTATTCCCAGAAGTAGGTTGTAAATTACATATAGGGGGGAAAAGTTCTGAGCCAGACCAGGTTTAGGACATGTTTATGTTTATGTTGTTTTGGGATTTTTTTTAAACCAATACTATGATATTAACCAGTTTTTTAAAAAAGGAAATAAGAAACTGCCTGTATCCCTGTAACCTCACAATACAAGTAAGCCTTCTTATCACTTTTTAAAAGTTATATATATATATACATATAAAACATCAGAAATTCAAACTCGAAAGGAATGTTTTAAAAAAGGAAAATTGAAAACTTCCTATTCCTCTTACCCCAAGTCCCTCTCCCCAAAGAAAATCATTTTTGACACTGTCTTATGAGTCTGTCCAGAAAAAAGTATGCACATATCTGTACAGATATTTATAATGAGATATCTTGAAATATTCTTCTATGTATTTTTCTTTTTTTGCCCAACTTCCTTACACTGATCCACTCAGGACAGAGTCAACTTGGAAGAAAACTGGGATTGTCCCAGCCTAGAAGCAAAAACAACATCTCTTGAGCTGTCCTAACATAGAATTTAAGTCGTTAATAGACTGTAAAGGCAATTTCTGTTCTTAACATTATTTGCTTCCTAACATTATTTGTTTCAGGCCGAGCATTGTGGCTCACACCTGTAATACCAAAACTTTGGGAGGCCAAGATTGGAGGATAACTTGAGGCCAGGAGTTTGAGACCAGCCTGGGCAACATAGCAAGACCCCATCTCTACAAAAAAATTTAAAAATTAGCCGAACATGGTGGCCCATGTCTGTAGTCCTAGCTACTTTGGGAGGCTGAGACAGGAAAGATCACTTGAGCCTAGGAGTTCAAGCCTGTAGTGAGCTATGACTGTATCACTGAACTCTAACCTGGGTGAAAGAATGAGAGCCTGACTCAAAAAAAAATTGTTTCCCTTGTGTGTCATAATTATGAATTTGGAGATCATCTTCACTTAGCATTAGTAGCATTAGCAGTGGGACTCTCCATGTATTAATACTTTCAAAATACTTTTTCATTTGCTTCTGCAAGGCCAGACAACCTAGAAAACATCGTATACTCAGGACCAGGCACTCTAGGAGTATCCTGTATCTAGGACCAATTGTACGTCAGTTTCTAGGCTTGAAGATTCCCTAATAGTATTAATTCAGTTGTGTGCCATTTCTCTGTCTATAATTTTTGTTTTTTTGAGACAGAGTCTCACTTTGTTGTCCAGGCTGGAGTGCAATGGTGCAATCTTGACTCACTGCAACCTCTGCCTCCCGGATTCAAGCGATTCTCCTACCTCAGCCTCCTAGGTAGCTGGGATTAGATGCGTTGGTGGTATAGTGGTGAGCATAGTTACCTTCTAAGTAGCTGGGATTATAGGCACGTACCATCATGCCTGACTAATTTTTGTATTTTTAGTAGAGACAGGGTTTCACCATGTTGGTCAGGCTGGTCTCAAACTCCTGACCTCAGGTGTTCCACCCACCTCAGCCTCCCAAAGTGCTGGGATTACAGGTGTGAACCACAGTGCCCGGCCTGTCTATGAATTTTTAAGGAGAGTTCTTTTTCCTACTCAGAGTCAAGGTAAAGAGCTTCTTTGTCATTTTTGTATGCCAGTTGGTGGGTTTTTTGTCTAGTCTACCCTTTCACTGATACGACATTCCTTTGAAAGCCCTGGCTTTATGTAGAGGATCTCAGTTGCAATTCCAATGTTTCTTTGACCCAGGGTCTTGTTTTCTGTTCCCATGGGGGCATTAAGAGCTAAGCCCCAACTTCCAGTTAAATGTGGCAGATTGAATACCTCATGACAGTAAAGGGAGAAAAAAAGAAAAGAAGAGAGGATGACAGCACCAAAATTTGGTGGAAAGCAAGTGGTTGAGAAGTAACTAAGAGAATGCTGAAACCTCCGCTAGCAGTAGAGACACTGAGTCAAGCTAATTAATATGCAGTACCCTGAAAGACTTAAAAATTTGAGGCACCATGTAACTCTGAAAGTGGGTGAAGACAATGCTAAAAGCAAGCTTATTGTTTGAAAGTCTGTATAGCAAGAAGTTAGATCTCACTTCCTACTCTGGAAGAAGACTAGAGCTTTATCCTCTAGAGTGACTACACTTGAGGGCCTTTTGACTGGGAGACACCAGACACAGCTGAGGACAGGGATACCGCACTGCATTCAAGAGAGATGAATCAAAGTCTACATAGTGAACAGGGATAACCTAGCTTATTTCCCCATTTGGCTCTGAGAACCTTAGTGGCCAGGCTTATACCTCCCAGGCAAGAGTTTGGGAGGGTCTTCTCCAGAGGGGTAGATTATCTCACCACCAAAAAAATCTGTAGAGGTCATGCCTGTAATCCCAGCACTTTGGGAGGCCGAGGCGGGTGGATCACCTGAGGTCAAGAGTTCAAGACCAGCCTGGCCAACATGATGAAACCCTGTCTCTACTAAAAATACAAAAAAAGCTGGGCATGGTGGTGGGCACCTGTAATCCCAGCTACTCGGGAGATTGAAGCATGAGAGTCGCTTGAATCCAGGAGGTGGAGGTTGCAGTGAGCCGAGATTGTGCCACTACACTCCAGCCTGGGTAACAAGAGTGAAACTCCATCTCAAAAAAAAAAAAAAAATTCTGTAGAGGATAAGACCCCAACAAAATGGTATAGTCAGTTCACCCCACCCATGCATAAAACTTCTAATCATATTTTTAGTAAGTCATTCTTAAATATGAAGACAGGCGGTTGTGTACAGATACTTGAGCAAAGCCTATGGAAGAGAGACTAAAACAAAAATGACGAAGGAAGAAACAGACACAAGTCAGAAAGTTGGAAAGAACTTTTACAAATGTTATTAAAAACACTGGAGGAGATAAGCAAAGATTTTATATCCAAGAAAGAAGTACAGGAGGCTAGGGAAAAGGAGTTTTTGTTTGTTTATTTGTTTGTTTTTGAGACAAAGTTTCACTCTGTCACCAAGGAATTTCACTCAATTTTTTTTCTTTCTTTTTTTTTTTTTTTTTTTAAATAGAGAGTCTCATTCTGTCATACAGGCTGGAGTGGGGTGGCATGATCTCAGCTCACTCCAACCTCCACTTCCCAGGTTCAAGTGATTCTTCTGTCTCAGCCTCCTGAGTAGCTGGGATTACAGCCACCTGCCACCACACCCAACTAATTAACTAATTTTTGTTTTTTTTTTTTCAGTAGAGACAGGGCTTCACCATGTTGGCCAAGCTGGTCTGGAACTCCTGACCTCAAGTCATCCGCCCTCATTGGCCTCCCAAAGTGCTGGGATCACAGGTGTGAGCCACGGCTCTTGGCCATAATTCAGTATTATTTAAATCACCTGAAGCATTGGAAAGAGACACTGAGTTCATCAATAAGGTTAAATACATTATGATGCAGGCCAGGCACGGTAGCTCATGCCTGTAATCTCAGCACTTTGGGAGGCTGAGGCGGGCAGATAGCCTGAGGTCAGGAGTTTAAGAGCAGTCTGTCCAACATGGTGAAAACCTGCTCTACTAAAAATACAAAAATTAGCTGGGCGTGGTGGCAGGCACCTGAATCCCAGCTACTTGGGAAGCTGAGGCAGCAGAATTGCTTGAACCTGGGAGGTGGAGGTTGCCGTGAGTCAAGATCACGCCATTACACTCCAGCCTGGGTGACAAGAGCGAAACTCTGTCTCAAAAAAAAAAAAAAGAAAGAAAGAAAAGAATCATTATTGGGTAAAACATCAATATGAGTTTCTGTTTTATGTATTCATTTAACAACTATTTATGGAGTACTCAATACATTTCAGACATTGTTCTAGGAACATGGATACATGTGTGAAAAAAGGGGATCCCTGCCTTCATGGAACTCACATTTTAGCTATTCAGGAAATATGGCACCACCATTCTCAACACAAATACCTAGAAATATTGGGTGAAAATATAATAAACATAATCTTATATGAACATTTTAAAGGATAAGGCATCCAGTGCCATTCTGATTCTGGAGTCTTTGCGTTTTCTCCTGGAAGTAAAGGATTCTTTCTTTGTTCCTGTTGCTCTAAAATTTCCCAATGACTTGCCATAACGTTATTTCTACTTAAAACCATTGTGCTGGCTATGGAAGGGCTCTTTCCGTCTGGACACTCATGTCCAGTTCTTGGAAATTTTTTTGAAATTATTCCTTGATAACTTCTTCCCATTTATTTTATTTGTTCTCTCTGGGACTCCTCTTATTCAGAGTTTTCACAATTTAAATTTCTAAGAGAACTTTTTTGTTCTTAAATGTTCCTTTTGGCCAGGTGCAGTGGCTCACACCTGTAATCCCAACACTTCAGGAGCCCAAGATGGGACAATCACTTGAGCCTAACAGTTCGAGACGAGCCTGGGCAACGAAGTGAGACCCTGTCTCTACAAAATATAAAAAAATTAGTCAGTTGTGGTGATTCACATGTGTGGTCCCAGCTGCATGGGAGGCTGAGGCAGGAGGATCACTTGAGTCCAGGAGGTCAAGGCTACAGTGAGCCAAGATCCCACTACACTCCAGCCTGGATGACAGAGTGAGACTCTGTCTCAAAAAAACAAACAAACAAACAAAAAAATCGAATGAAATCCCTTGTTCATATAGCTTGCCAAAATCCTTTTAAGTATAGCCAATGGATAAATTCCTACAAGGAATGTGCTAAGTCAAAAGGAATAATGTAAATGATAAAAGGGCAAAAGGTGCAGAGTGAGGCTCAGAGTCTACAGGACTATGAAAAAGGCCTATTTGGGTACCCCTTGTCACTCACAGGCATTCAGAGTCCCCTCTCTGTGTAAGGCTCTCTACTGTGGCCTCTCACTGGACCTAGTTATGTTCTCAAACTTCAAATCTTTACTCAACCTCCTATTTCTCCCCCTACAAAAGTAACCAATCTATATGCCATTTCCTCAGAGCCCAACCTAGTGCCATATTTATTCTTCCATCAATTAGCTAAGAAATTCATTGAACAAATATTTTTGCACTCCTGCTAAGTACCAATTACACTTTTGTTTCTGGGATATACATCAATAAACGTAACAGGCAAGGCTACTGCTTTCACAGAGCTTGCATTTTAGTGGGAGAGACAAGCAATAAAAAAATAAGCTGGGCTGGGTGTGGTGGCTCATGCCTGAATAATCCCAGCATTTTGGAAGGCCAAAGTAAGAGGATTGCTTGAACTCAGGAGTTCAAGACCAGCCTGGGCAACATAGTGAAACCCTGTCTCTACAAAAAATGCAAACATTAGCCAGGCATGGTGGCACACACTTGTAGCCCCAGCTACTCAGGAGGCTGAGGTGGGGGGATTGCTTGAGCCCAGGAGGCGGAGGTTGCAGTGAGTCAGGATCATGCCACTGCACTATAGCCTGGGCAACAAAGCAAGACCCTGTCTCAAAAATAAAAAAGTAAGCTAAAGAATATACTATATAATTTTTAGATATTGACAAGTGTTAAAAGGCAATAAATATTATACAGAAGGTGAAGGTGAAAACGGAGGTAAGGGCATTAGATAGGTTGGTCAGCGAGATGTGCATGAGAAGTGGGGAGTTGAGCTGAGTACTGAGTGAGAAGAACCCATCATGTGAAAATCTGAAATGAGAGCATTCCAGGCAAAAAGAAACAGCAATTGCAAAGGCCCTGAGGGTGAAATGAACTTGACTTGAATCAAGAACAGTAAGATAGCTGCAACTTTTAGCCAACAAGTTTCAGATAAACTAATAAATGCTATGCTCACTAGTAATAGGCATAGGTATATTATTCCTATTCCTTAGTAAAATTGTTTCAGATATGTGTTATTATTTTCAGTTAAGACTTCATGAAATAGACTGGGCGTGGTGGCTCAGGCCTGTAATCCCAGCACTTTGGGAGGCCAAGGCAGGTGCATCACTTGAGGTCAGGAGTTCAAGACCAGCCTGATCAACATGGTGAAACCCTGTCTCTACTAAAAATACAGAAATGGTGGCAGGTGTCTGTAATTCCACTACTTGGGAGGCTGAGGCAGGAGAATCACTTGAACTCAGGAGGCGGAGGTTGCAGTGAGCCCAAGATCGTGCCACTGCACTCCAGCCTGGGTGACAGAGTGAGGCTCTGTCTCAAAAAAAAAAAAAAAAAAAAGAAACTGAGACTCATAAAGGCAAAGTAACTTGGCCACAGTCACCGTGGTAGATTGCAGTTTTATGGCCCTAATTAACGACATTCCTGCCTCCACTCCCTTTGTAATGTGACTCAGCCACTCTTTCTATCAAGAAGTGGGAACTGTTTTACCACCCCTTGAATCTGGGCTGGCCTTATGATTGCTTTAGTGAATACAATGTGGCAGAAATGACAGTATACAGTTCTAAACCTAGATCCCTAAATATGGCCTTGGACGCTTCAACCCTCTCTAGGACTCCCCTGCTTTCTCCATGTGAACAAGTCCAGGATAGCCCACTTGGGGATGAGAGATCATATGGAAGAGAACAGAGGCATCTAGCTGACAGCCAGCCAGCTCCCAAAAGCAAAATCATTTAGCTGACCTGTGGATAGCTTAAGGTGTTACCGGTAGAGAGTGTCTGGGTTCTTGGTGCTTTGAACAAAGAATTGGACAAAATACACAAAGCAAGAATGAAGCAACAAAAACAGATTTATTGAAACAAAAAATCACACTCCATAGGGTGGGAGCAGCTAGAGCAAGCAGCTGAAGGGCTTGGTTACAGAATTTTCTGGGGTTTAAATACCCTCTGGAGGTTTCCCATTGGTTACTTGGTATACACCCTAGGTAAATGCAACCAGAGACTGAAGTTGCCAAGTTACACCCTATGCAAATGTCTGATTGGTTGCGAAAAGTGACCAATCAGAGGCTGAAGTTACAAAGTTATACTTCTATGCAAATGAAGACTTGGCCCTTGACCAGCCTGATTGGTTCCAGGAGGGGACCAATCAGAGGTACTTTCAGTTTTTCATCTGCCAGGCAGAAAACAGGGTGGGGTAGCAGGGAGGAGAGGCTTGCAAAGGGAGTAGCCTCTGATCATTTGTTACTTGGGTGTGGAAAGTTGGGGTTCACCCAGGCTGGAGTACAGTGGTACCATCTCAGCTCACTGCAACTGCGGTTTTCCTTTTGATTTAGTTCTAGGAAGTCAGTGTGAATCTGCCTTAGGTTCTCTACCTCCAAACCCTATTCTCCTGCCTCAGAGGCAGGTGAGAGAGGCCAGGGAGACCAGGAGCACTGGCCTAAATTGCTGACCTGCAGAATTGTAATCTAAATAAATGCTTGTTGTTTTAAGCCACTAAACTTTGAGGTGATTTTGTATGTACCAGTAGCTAATCAATTCAGTTGCATTGTTAGATCAGCAGCTCAACTGGCATTTGAAATCTGGTCTCACCAACTCCAAGGCTCATGTTCGTCCCAAGACAGGCTGTTCCCCCTACAGGCCTACTTCTAGGCAAATTATTTATTTCCTAATTAAAATAACCAAGCTTGTGTATGTTAGGCCAAAACCCAGTCTCCCTTCTTCTGGACTGGTCCTAAACTAATTAGTTGGGTTTCTCTTCTCCTGTCCTTCCTTCCTTCTCTCTCTCTCTCTCTCTCTTCCAGCTTGCTCTGTTGCCCAGGCTAGAGTGCTGTGGTGCAATCTTGGCTCACTGCAACCTCTACCTCCTGGGTTCAAGCAATTCTTTGGCCCCAAGCCACCCAAGTATCTGAGATTACAGGCGTCCACGACCATGCATGCTAAATTTTTGTATTTTTAGTAGAGACAGGGTTTCATGATGTTGGCCAGGATGGTCTTGATCTCCTGACCTCCAGCAATCCACTGCCTTGGCCTCCCAAAGTGTTGGGACTAGAGGCATGAGCCACCCTGTCTAGCCGGGTTTATCTTAAAGGCCATGGGTAAAAGATTGAGAACTTTCATGTCCTGGAATTCTTTCAAAACATTGGACATAGATCTATCTCAGGAGTGTCACACTGTGTCCAGAATTGGTGGGTTCTCGGTCTCACTGACTTCAAGAATGAAGCCTCAAACCCTTGCAGTGAGTGTTACAGTTCTTAAAGGTGGTGTGTCCAGAGTTTGTTCCTTCAGATGTGTCTGAAGTTTCTTCCTTCTGGCAGGTTCGTGATCTCGCTAGCTTCATGAGCGAAGCTGCAGACCTTCACAGTGAGTGTTACAGCTCTCAAAAGCAGCACAGACCCAAAGACGGAGCAGCACCAACATTTATTGCAAAGAGCAAAAGAACAAAGCACCCCCGCCACACAGAAGAGTACCTGATCAGGTTGCTGCTGCTGGCATTGGTGGCCTGCGTTTATTCCCTTATCTGGCCCCACCCACATCCTGCTGATTGGTCCATTTTGCAGAGAGCTGATTGGTCCATTTTACAGAGAGCTGATTGGTCCGTTTTGACAGAGTGCTGATTGGTGCGTTTACAAACCTTTAGCTAGACAGAGAGTGCTGATTGGTGCGTTTACAATCCTTTAGCTAGACAGAAAAGTTCTCCCAGTCCCCAATATCCCAGAAGCCTAGCCGGCTTCACTTGTCACTGGCACTGGCTGCGGGATTTTGGGGCACCTAGCCGGGCACTCCGGCAGCCCAGAGGGAGCTCGTCCCCCAGTCAAGCCCAGCAGGCGCCGGCCCGCCGCGCAGAGTGCGGGACTTGCGGAGCCCGCGCGCAGCCCCAGCTCCCGCCGGCGCCTCTCTTTTCACACTTCCCAGTGAGCAGAGGGAGCCGGCTCCGGCCTCGGCCAGCCCCAGAGAGGGGCCCTCACAGCGCAGCGGCGGGCTGAAGGGCTCCTCGAGCGCGGCCAGAGCGGACGCAGAGGCCGAGGAGGCGCCGAGAGCCAGCGAGGGCTGCTAGCAGGTTGTCACCTCTCAACACCAAGATAGTTGTATCCGTGGTTAAACTCTGTAGGCATACACTCTGCTTTTCTTGGGGACAAGGTTACCCGCCTCCCACTTTTACAGGGACATTGGCTTTGGTGACAGCCAATTGCAACTTTTTTCTTCTCATTGGGAAGTACTGAGAGTGGGTTTCCTTTAGTCTCTAGTGGGAATATTATAAAGCGCTGGTATACAAAGAGCCCTCAGACAATAAAAAAGTTAACAAAATACATTATATAAATAAATATAAACTAAAAAGATTCTGAAGAACATTTTATGTTTTCTGTACCTGTTGTTGCTGATATAAATTATCTCCTGGGACTGAACTTCGAATTGTCAATTGTCTAAATCTCCCATTGTACTGAGACACATCCAGTGGTCTATAAATTTTATCTTGGGCTGGGCGTGGTGGCTCATGCCTGTAATCCCAGCACTCTGGGAGGCCAAGGCCGGAGGATTTCTTGAGGCCAGGAGTTCGAGACCAGCCTGGGCAATATAGTGACACCTTGTCTCTACAGAAACCTTAAAAAATTAGCGGAGCATGGTGGTGTACACCTGTGGTCCCAGCTACTCGGGAGACTTAGGTGGGAGGATCACTTGAGCCTGGGAGGCAGAGGTTGCAAGAGCTGAGATTGCTCCACTGCACTCCAGTCTGAGTGATGGAGCGAGACCTTGTCTCAAAAAAAAAATTTTTTTAAATCTTTTCTTTCCTTCCTTCCTTCCTTCCTTCCTTCCTTCCTTCCTTCCTTCCTTCCTTCGTTTTTTCTTTTTTTTAAACAGTCTTGCTCTGTCACCCAGGCTGTAGTGCAATGGTGCCATCTCGACTCACTGCAACCTCCGCCTCCCGAGTTCAAGCAGTTCTTGTGCCTCAGCCTCCCCAGTAGCTGGGATTACAGGCATGAGCCACCGTGCCCGGCCATTTTTTCCCCCCAGTCTTGTAGAGATCTCTCCTGGAGTTTTCTATCTACTCCAAAACGGATTGGTTACCCTGTTGGCCTAGTTCCAGAGGTAGATTTCCCATGAAACTAGTAAAGCTTAAGCTTCAGGGGCCCTCACTGGCTTCAGCAATGAATTCATATGGTCATAAGTTACATAAAATTTGCAAAATAAGATATTTTAACTGTGATTGGCTAAACTGCTGTCTCTTTCCTGTCTAGCTTTTCCTCAGTCGCATTTCCTCTCACATTGCTGTTTCGGGATCAGACCAATGGGAAATAAATAGGAGATCTTAGCATGGGTTTAGTTAGATTATTTATGTAGTTCACAGTCACAGCTATGTAAAGTTGGGTTATTGTCAGCCATTCCAGTAGGAATTGCTTCCAGAAATATTCACACCTCTTACTGTCGTAATTCACCCTGGGTGCAAGGGTGAATATGCACCACAGAGGTGCGCCTGTAGTCCCAGCTACTATGGAGGCTAAGGTGGGAAGATGGCTTGAGCCCAGTTGAGATCGTGCCACTGCACTTGAGCCTGGGCAGTATAGCCAGACCCTGTCTCAACAACAACAACAACAAAACATTTTGCTATACTTTTTTTTTTTTTGAGACAGGGTCTGGCTCTGTTGCCCAGGTGGGAGTGCAGTGGCACCATCTCGGCTCACTGCAACCTCCACCTCCTGGGCTCAAGCCATCCTCCCACGTCAGCCTCCCAAGTAGCTGGGACTACTGGTGCATGCCAGCACATCCGGCTAATGTTTGTATTTTTAGTAGAGATGGAGTCTCACCATGCTGCCCAGGCTGGTCTCAAACTCCTGAGCTCGAGCAGTCCATCTGCCTCGGCCTTACAGGTGTGAGCCACCATGCCCCGCCAGCAAAATGTTAAGTGTAGAATTTAGATGACAGGTATATGGTGTTCACTGTAAAGTTCTTTTAACTTTTGTATAGGTTTGAACATTTTCATGAAACACTGTTGGAGGACAAGTATATAGCTGAAAAATAAAGGAAAAAAGTATTATAGACAGGGATCAAGCAGTTAATTCATTTAAAAATTCTATCTTTTGGCCAGGCGCGGTGGCTCACGCCTGTAATCCCAGCACTTTGGGAGGCCAAAGTGGGCGGATCACCTGAGGTCAGGAGTTCAAGACCAGCCTGGCCAACATGGAGAAACCCCGTCTCTACTAAAAATACAAAAAATTAGCTGGGCGTGTAATCCCAGCTACTCGGGAGGCTGAGCTAGGAGAATTGCTTGAACCCAGGAGGCAGAGGTTGCAGTGAGCTGAGATCACGCCATTGTACTCTAGCCTGGGCAACAAGAGCAAAACTCTGTCTCGAAAAAAAAAAAATTATTTTTCTAGATTTTGTGATGTCTGTGGTATTTTTGTTAGCTTTTAAAATTTTTGTTGTGATTTCTCATTGTAAATAAATATTCATTTTTATACCTAATTTTGTATTTACAATTTTGTATTTTACTTTTAAGAAGAGGACCCTCAAATTGCATAAGCTTCAGGCCCCACAAGACCTGGATCCACTCCTGCCTGGTACACAGCTGACATTCTCAAAGCTATTTTCACTTTGACTTCGGAATTTCCAGTCTCCATATCCTTAAGATTCCTTTCATCCCTCCTGTGTTGAAGCTTTCATTTACTGGATCCTATGTCTCCTTAGTGTCTTCATTCTTGAATTCATCCTCCTTTTGATGAGTCATATACTCCAATAGCTTCCCAAGAAAGGTTGCATAAGAAATTCATTTTTGAATTTATTGTAATCATGCAATGATTTTTATTCTGTTCTCCCACTTGATTGATAGTTTGCCTGAGTATAGAATTCTAGGTTGAAAATAATTTTCCTCCAGAATTTTGAAGGCATTTCCCAATTGTCTTCTAGCTTCCAGTATTGCTACTGAGAAATCTAAAGACGTTCTGATTTCTGATCTTTTATTTCTGATCTATTTTTCTATCTCTGGAAACGTAAAGGATCTTTTTATCCATAGAGTTCTGAAATTTCATGATAATGTGGCTTGACGTGAGTTAATTTCCATCTATTGGTTATGGGTACTAAGTGGGCCCTTTAAATCTGAAAACCTGTGTTTCTAAGTTTAGGGAAATTTTAGAGAATTAATTTTAAAAATAATGTTATCTGTTTCTCTCTTTTCTCTCTTCCTGGAACTCCCAGGCTAGTCTTCTCTTTTTCTTATCTTTTGTCTTCTATTTCCACCTCTTGGTCTCTTTTTTTTTCTGGGAGATATCCTGGACTCTATCGTCAATCCTTTTAATGAGTTTTTCTTTCCATTCTTAATTTCCAAGGACTCGGTTTTTTTCTTGACTATTTTCTGAAACAACATATTTTTCTTATTTTGAGGTTTCAATATCTTATCTGAGGATTTCAAATATAGGCGTGGAGATTTTTTTGTGTTGTTGTTGTTGTTGTATTGTTAAAATTTTCCTCCCTCCTGTAAAGTTTCTGTTTTATCCAGGTTTCTTTTTTTCTCTGTTAGTTTTGGTCTCTATCTTTCACATCAGAGACTGCAATCTGTTGTTGTTGGTTCATTTTTAAGAATGAGAGACTAAGAACCTGATGAAATGCTCTGAAATCATGGGTAGAGCTTATCAATTATGGAATGTTTTGTGGGGTGATCTGTCTGGGATGTTTCACCAGGAAATCTATAGTGCCAGTATCTTTTGATCTTTCCTCTTAGTCTAGTCAGATTTCTCAGAGAAGATACTTGGTCTTTTGCCTGGATGGTAAAATTGTCCTATCTTTTCTCACTGTTAGAAAAGTAATCCAGTACGGCACCCACTGTCAGAATCTGCAGGAACAGAATTCCCAGGCTCCCAAGCTGAGTCAGTTAAACAAACTTACCGTAGACAAGTGATAAATGTGTTCATTTTTTAAAACTATTGAAAGGGCAGTAGTGTACTTAAAAATTGATACCCAGTCATTTTTTTTTTTTTTTTTTTTTTTTTTTGAGACAGAGTCTCGCTCTGTCGCCCAGGCTGGAGTGCAGTGGCACAATCTTGGCTCACTGCAAGCTCTGCTTCCCAGGTTCACGCCATTCTCCTGCCTCAGCCTCCCGAGTAGCTGGGACTACAGGCGCCCGCCACCACACCTGGCTAATTTTTTGTATATTTTTTTAGTAGAGATGGGGTTTCACCGTGTTAGCCAGGTTTGTCTCGATCTCCTGACCTTGTGATCCACCTGCCTCAGCCTCCCAAAGTGCTGGGATTACAGGCGCGAGCCACCGCACCTGGCCCAGTCATTTAGGATTTTTACTCACCAATTTTTGTTGGCATTTGTTTCCATCAATTGCTTTTGCCAATGGCTAATAGTTGTACTCTTCCATAGTTGAGTTTACACACCTATATGGTCTGCAAATAACTGAGTGTTAATTAGCATTAATTGAGTGTGGCTATTCTCTACACACATTCCAGTCTGCTCCTTTTGGGTTCAGTCTGTCCACAAGTGCTACATGAGGAGTCTCTTAGAGTTGTAGCTTGTGCTGCTCCCTATTGGAGGGAATAACCCCATGCTTATTGAGGGCTGATCCTTGACTAGGAGGCGCCATTACAAAAAGAAACAGGATCAGGCTGGGCACAATGGCTCATGCCTGTAATCCTAGCACTTTGGGAAGCTGAGGCAGGTGGATCACTTGAGGTCAGGAGTTCAAGACCAGCCTGGCCAACATGGTGAAACCACGTCTCTATGGAAAATACACACACGCACAAAAATTAGATGTGTGGGGTGGTGCGTACCTGTAATCCCAGCTACTCGGGAGGCTGAGGCAGGAGAATAGCTTGAGCCCAGGAGATGGAGATTGCAGTGAGCTGAGATCATGCCACTGCACTCCAGCCTGGGTGACAGAGCAAGACTTCGTCTCAAAACAAACAAACAAAAAACTGCTCTGATCTGGAAAAAATAAATTCAATCAAAGATCTCTTAACTGATGTAGTAAATTTGTGTTTATGGTCATATTCAGTACTTCCCCGGCCTCCCTCCTCTTCCCCTTTATGATTTGATTCCCGGATAGTTTGTTCATAATTTATCTACCATTTAGTTAAAAAGAGTTTTCATTTTTACTTTCATCTTTCTGGTGAATTGTGAAATTATAAGTTCCTGTCCCAGTTTACTTAGTGGATTTTCATCAGATTGGTCACCATCATCATGTAGAACCTAAAAGGTAGAGGGAAATTTCATTTTAGACTCATATGTTTACTTGTTAGTTTAGACTCATTTGTTTACTTGTTAGTTTTCCCTTGTTTTCCCACTCTTTGTCCCAATCCTTCACTTGTATTTATCAAAGCAAAGTTCAAAATTCCTTATTTGTATTTATCAGATCCCTTCATAGGTAGCATCACCAGATGTACTTGGGGTTTTGGCAATTTATTGATGGGACTCTTACCTGTCCCCATTATTGTTACTCACTCTTTGGTCTGTCACCATGGAGTTATATGTTGGAAGCAATTAGGAGAGTAAATGGCTTGTGATAGAACAGTAGGCTTCCTCATGCATGTTCCTGAGTCAGTGAAAATCCTCAGCTATAAAGTGAGGAGTCAATGCCTCCACCCTCCTTTACTTGCTGCTTAGGAGATGGGCAAGTAGGAAGGGCCATTTTATATTCAGATTATAAACCCATTCTTGACAAATCAGATGCTAAGAAATCAGGAATGCTGTTTTTCTGTACATCTCCTTAGTGGTGGCTTTTACCGAATTCAGCATTAATTGTGACAACATAGTTTTGGCTCTGATGAGAGGGCAGCAGTGAAATATAACCTACCTTTAGGCCGGTGCCTCCAGGCACAGAAAAGGGTAGGGAAAGGATAAGCTCACAGGGCTGCTGTGAGTAGCACGTGCGTGGACTGCTAAATACGTTGGGTCCTCCCCCAGGCCAAGGCAGCATCCACTCCTCCACGGTCTCTCTGGTCATGTGACCACTTGTCTGCCTCTCTCATCTTATCAGAACATCTACAGCTTTGTTCCACGGGATTCTTCACTAGGGATCTGATGGCATCCACGTGAGGAACCAGGAGCTTAATTTTGTCCGCCAGTCAATGGAATCCACAGCCGGCAGCCAAGCCAGTGGCCTAAACATAAATCACTGCCTGCGAATTTGAATACAGGAAAGTCTTGTTTGCTCTCTAGAGCCCAGCTTCAAGTCATCGGTACTGCCTTTGGTTCTGCCCACTGGGAAGAAGCCCCTCATTCTCCTCTCCAAGTATCCCCCCCAGGCAGGGTATAAGGGGACCGCCACCGCTGGAGGTTTTAGAAGTGAGGGAGGCAAAGCCACCCACAAAACCGGCGGCAGCTCAGAGTCCACCGTGCTTCTCCGGCACCGATGCCGGGAGCCTGCAGGGGGCGCCCTTGCCCAGGCTGGCCTCCGCAGTGCCGGAGGAGGGACCAACCTCCGTGGGGCTGAGCTTTTCGATCTCTGGAGTTCCTCTTCAGCACTGGAGCTAGCTTTTGTTTGAACGTGACCGATTCCTGTTATACAGCTTGGGACCCCGAAGTACTTGATGTCCCTTGTCTTAGCTTCCATAAGCAGCTGGTAACTGACATTCAAAGGGAGCATCCTCAGGACTAGAAGCCACAGGCTAAGTCCTTCCCCTCCCTCAGGAATTCCCAGAAGGCTCCGGTCATCAGCAGTTAAGGAGACACACTTCATATTCTGATTGGTGATATGGACCCAGAGGAAGGGCAGCAGGCACTGTGGTCTGCAAGGCTTCGGAGGCAGTGGCTGGTTCGGACCGCATGCAAATTCTGATGCCCTTCTAATAATCTAATACCCAGATGTGGATCCAAGATGCCCATTAATATCTATGCCTGCTTTTTAGTGGTAGGGGGCTTGAAAAACAAAAGCCTCTATCTGGTCCAGGGTGAATTCCTCTAGCGGGCAGAGGCAGAGCCAAACTGCATCTTGGAGGGCGCCTGAATTTTCTCATGATTGATGGCACATCCCTTTCAGTCAAAAAAATCAAGGGAAGACAGAGCTTCAAGCACAGTTGTTTCTGAATTACCCCTAATTAATTTGTCATCGTTGTACAGAATAACTTCAGTATCTGAATTAGGCCACCTATTAAAATCCTGCTTTATCAGATTATGGCACATTGCCGGAGAATGGATATTTCACTTTGAAGGGAATTGCTGGCCTCGCCAAATGAAGGCTAGCTAAAAGTAGGGTTGTCAGATTTAGAAAATACGAATAGAGGGCACCCAGTGAAATTTGGGTTTAAGAGACATAACAAATAATTTTTTATTTAAGTGTGTTCCAAGTATTGCATGGGATGTACTTATACTAAAAATCAATTTGTTCTTTTTCTGAAATTCAAATTTAAGTGGGCATCCTGTATTTTATCTGGCAACCCTAACTGTAAAAAGAGAATTCAAACAATTTAAAAGACCTTAGACCTTCGGTACCATTGTAGAGAGATAATCACCATTAAGAGTTTGGGGTGTGTCTTTCCTTTTTTTGTTTTGTTTTTGAGATGGAGTTTCACTCTTGTTGCCCATGCTGAAGTGCAATGGTGCGATCTCGGCTCACTGCAACCTCTGCCTCCTGGGTTCAAGCGATTCTCCTACCTCAGCCTCCCGAGTAGCTGGGATTACAGGCATGCGCAACCATGCCCAGCTAATTTTATATTTTTAGTAGAGACAGGGTTTCACCATGTTGGCCAGGCTGGTCTCGAACTCCTGACCTCAGGTGATCCACCTGCCTCGGCCTCCCAAAGTTCTGGGATTACAGGCGTGAGCCACTATGCCCGGCTTGGGTATGTCTTTCCATAAACTATTCATGAATATACACAAATATTTATGTATGTTCAAATCCTGGTTCCTCCAATTGCTAGCTGAGTGACCTTGGAAGAGTTAACTAATCTCTCTGGATCTTAGTTTCTTCATCTGTAAAATGGGCATAATAATAGTATCTGTCTCATAGAGTGTTAATGGGGGTTAAATGAGTCTGGCATTTAGAAGGCACTGAATGATTGTCTGTTATCAATAATTATTATCAATAATGATAACTAGGCCGAGCGCGGTGGCTCAAGCCTGTAATCCCAGCACTTTGGGAGGCCAAGGCAGACGGATCACTTGAGGTCAGGAGTTCAAGACTAGCTTGGCCAACATGGCGAGATCCCGTCTTGGAAGCTGCAGCATGAGAACCTCTTGAACCCAAGAAGCGGAGGTTGCAGTGAGCCAAGATCACACCACTACACTCCAGCCTGGGTAACAGAGTGAGACTCTGCCTCAAAACAACAACAAAACACAAACACACACACACACAACATACACACACAAATAATATCACTAATATATATCATGTCTTAAAAATTTGCAAATGGAGGCCTACTCTATGAATTGTTCTATACCTTGCTTTTTTCAACTTTTATCTTGTTTATTCTTTTTCACAGATACATATGATTTTTTTAAAAAATTTAGTTCCTATTGATGATCATTTAGGTTATTTTCAACACTTTTTTGCATGTACTGCTGTGTAAGTACCACGTGCGCTAACCGATTGCACCACTGGAGCTCCGATTTTCAACACATTTCTATCTGAATATTGCTGCAGTAAACACGCTTGTGGTGAAATGATTGTATGAAAGTGCTTCCTCTGTGTAGTCTGGACAATGAGCCAGCCAGGACTCAGAGCTCCCCCTCCCTCACTTTTTTCTAGTACCCAGGGCTGCAGTTTATCACTGTCAGCAGAGCCAGCACCTCCCTTACCCAGGTGCTGTCAGCTGGCATCTCCAGACAACAAGGCAAACAATGGCAAAGGGCTGAGACTAGGATGTTTAGATGCAAAATTTTAGAGGACACCAAAATCTCAGTAATTAAGATAAGTAATATTTTAACGCGCTATTTAAAAAAAATTGATATAAATACAAAATTAATGATGGACAAATAGCAAGCTTTTAAATAAAGACAGGATTAACAACTGTGCCATACAGAGTCCTGTTGGATTTTACATTAATTTGTATTTTAAAAAAATACTTCATTGAGTTGGGCATGGTGGCTCACACCTGTAATACCAGCACTTTGGGAGGCTGAGGTAGGAGGATCGCTTGAGGCCAGGAGTTTGAGACAAGCCTGGGCAACAAAGCAAGACACAGTTTCTACAAAAAATTAAAAATTAGCCAGGTGTAATGGCATGCATCCGTAGTCCCAGCTACTTGAGAGGCTAAGGCAGAAGGATCCCTTGAGTCCAAGAGTTTGAGGTTACAGTGAGCTGATTGTGCCACTGCACTCCAACCTGGGTGACAGAGCAAGACCTTATCTCAAAAACAAACACTCCCCCCCGCAAATCTTATTTCATTGAAATATAATATCTTGGTTACTGAGTTTTTTAGTGCCACTTTAAATTTTGCACCAGGGGCAAGTGCCTCATTTGCCTCTTTATAAGTCCTGGCTCTGGCTGGTACCGTATCTGGATGGCAAGCACAATGTCCAAGTTTGAGCACCATTGTTAAAGTGGTTCTAGCTGGGCATGGTGGCTCATGCCTATAATCCCAGCACTTTGGGAGGGCGAGGCAGGCAGATTGCCTGAGGCGAGGAGTTCCAGACCAGCCTGGCCAACATGGTAAAACCCCATCCTACTAAAAATACAAAAATTAGCACATTGTGGTGGCTCACACCTGTAATCCCAGCTACTCGGGAGGCTGAGGCACGAGAATTGGTTGAACCCAGGAGGCAGAGGTTGCAGTGAGCCAAGATCACACCATTGCACTCCAGCCTGGGCCACAGAGCGAGACTCTGTCTCAAAAATAAAATAAAATAAAATAAAATAAAGTGGTTCTTGTGCTTGCCTTGAAAGAAGGGAGCCCTTCAAAGAATGGGGTTCCTCCCATGAAACACAGCCCCATATTGCATATACAGTAAACTACTTGATTCCAGCATACCTGTCCAGTGGTTAATGGGCTGAAGGGAGTCATAGGCCTTCTCCTGTTGACCCTGATCTCGTAAAGCCTATTCTTCAATCCACACCACGTGTGTAACAGTGTTCAGGAATTTATTCCTGGGAGTCAATCCTGAAGGGATCTCTCTAACACGACAAACCTTGTATATATGCTTTCGTGAACATACAAATATATATCTGTAGCATAAGTTTCGATAAGCGAAATTCTGGTCCAAATGATATGTGCATTACAAGTTCGGATAAATATAGCCAATTTCCTCTCCTAAGATAATATATCCATTTACACTCCCACTAAAAGTATGTGAGTATGACTGTTTCTCCATATTCTTGACAATATTGAAAATTGTGGCACTTTTTAATCTTTGCTCATCTTACAGATGAAATAGTATTTCATTTTTGTTTTAATTATTATTTCTTAATTCTGAGCAAGGTTAAGCAACTTTTATCTTCCTATGTATTTATAAAGCAATAAATAGCATGCTCTTCTATGAGTAAATTCCCTAGTCTCATTTTTCAAAGTCAACTGTTGGTCTTTTTCTTACCGATTTGCTAATGCTCTTTAGATAAGTTTTTTTTTAATAACTCTCTGGCTATTATATATGTGGTGGATATTATCCCTGATTTGTTTATCTTTTGACTTTTTAATGATTTTTTCCCCTGAAGAAATGCTTTACATTTTTACATTGTCAAAGTTATCAATATTTTCCTTTTTGATACTAAATGTTATATTTCATATAGAGAGATCTTTCTTACAAGTTTATATGCTGTTTACCTTCTAGTACCTTTATGGATTTATTTCCTCTATTTAAATTCATCTGGGATTTTTGTGTGTGTGTGAATAAAGAGTAAGAAATACTTTTTTCCCCCTGAAATGACTAGCCAACATGATTTGTTGATAACCTCTGGGCCGGGCACGGTGGCTCACGCCTGTAATCCCAGCACTTTGGGAGGCCGAGGCGGGCGGATCACGAGGTCAGCAGATCGAGACCATCCTGGCTAACACGGTGAAACCCCGTCTCTACTAAAAATACAAAAAATTAGCCGGGCGTGGTGGCGGGCGCCTGTAGTCCCAGCTACTCGGGAGGCTGAGGCAGGAGAATGGCGTGAACCCGGGAGGCAGAGCTTGCAGTGAGCCGAGATTGCGCCACTGCACTCCAGCCTGGGCGACAGAGCAAGACTCCGTCTCAAAAAAAAAAAAAAAAAAGACAAAAAGAAAACCTCTGCTTTTTCCCACTGATTTGAAGTGCCGCTCATATCACACTTTAAATCCTCATTTGTATATGGGACTTTTCCTGAATTCTTTAATCTGTTACAATTGTCTATATTTCTGAACCAGCACCAAATTGTTACAAATAAGGTAGATTTTTAATGCATTTTAGTATTTAGTATTTGTTTTCCCTGGAGTTAATAATTGTCACTTTTTTCCTCCATTTCCTCAGTTGTTTTTTCTTAATGTCATTATCATTCATTCAACCTCAAACTCTTTTTTTTTTTTTTGAGACGGAGTCTTGCTCTGTCGCCCAGGCTGGAGTGCAGTGGCACAATCTCGGCTCGGCTCACTGCAAGCTCCGCCTCTCAGGTTCACGCCATTCTCCTGCCTCAGCCTCCCGAGTAGCTGGGACTACAGGCGCCTGCCACCACGCCCGGCTATTTTTTTGTATTATTTTAGTAGAGACGGGGTTTCATCGTGTTATCGAGGATGGTCTCGATCTCCTGACCTCGTGATCCGCCTGCCTCGGCCTCCCAAAGTGCTGGGATTACAGGCGTGAGCCACTGCACCCGGCCTCAACCTCAAACTCTTACCTAGCTTATATATCTCTTTGCGAGATTGATTATTTTCTCAACGTTATCTCCCTGAAAAAAAAAATCTGGGCTTGCCGCTCTCCATGATGGGTGCACATTTTGTATCCCTTTGTCTTCTGTCATGGTCTCCTGGGATTCCCTTAGCCTGTGATAGAGCTCCAGTTTCCTGGACATTCTGTCTTCCTTGTTTTGTTTTCTTTACTGTCATGTTTGGATAAAACATACCCTTCAATAGCTTCATAAGGAAGGGTGCATGGGGGGTAAATTTTCTCACATCTAAAATATTTTTATTTTGCTCTCATACTTGAAAAATGGCTGGACATGGTTTCTCTAGATTGAAAATCATTTTACTCTAGAATTTTGAAGGCATTGCTTTTTTGCTTTCCAGCTTCCTGTTGAGAAGTCAGAAGCCATTTTTGTCCCTGATCTTTTATATGGGTCCTTTGGCTTTCTCTCCAGAAATGTGGAAGATATTTTTCTTCGTCCCCATTGTGAAATCTGCATGATGTACCTTAGTATAGGTCTATTTTAATTCTTTGTGCTGGACACTTTTAATTTGGAAACTCATACTATACATTTCTGGGCAATTCCCTTGAACTATTTCTTTAACGGTTTCCTTTCTTTCATGTTCACTGTTTATTCTTTCTGGGACTCCTACTATTTGGGTCATGTTCCACCTGAACTAGCCTTCTAATTTTCTTATCTTTTCATTCCTATTTTCTACCTCTTTGTGTTTGAACTCTACATACTTAGAGATTTCCTCAACATCATCTTCCAAACTTTCTGTATATTAAAAATAATCTCTGCTATCATGTCATTAATTTGCAACGGCCCTCTCTCATTCTTTTCCCTGTGAATATTTTTTTCTTTGTAGCACTCTATACTTAGTTTATGGATATGATATTACAATTGCTTTTAACTTTTCTAAGGATATTGTGATAGTTAATTTGATGTGTCAACTTGACTGGGCCCATAGGGTACCCAGATATTTGGTTAAACATTATTCTGGGTTATCTGCAGGCAGGGTGACAAGGGGGTTTCTGGATGAGATTAACATTTGAATCAGTAGACTGAGTAAAACAAATTGCCTTCACCAACGTGAGCAAGCCTGATTCAATCTGTGGTATTCAATTTGAATAGAACAAAAAGGCTGAGCAAGAGGGAATTTGCTTTCTCTACCTTATGGTGTTTGACCTGGGACATTGGGCTTCTGTCTTTGGACATGGACTGGAACTTACATCATCAGCCTACTGGTTCTCAGGCTTTTAGACTGCAGATTTGTGGACTTCTTAGCCTCCATATTCGTGTGAGCCAATTCCTTATAATAATCTCCCCTTTATATATCTACATCTATTATTTATTTATTTATTTATTGCTACTAGCAGGATCAACCAGATAAATATCTATCTGTCTATCTATCTATCCATCCATCCATCCATTTACCTTATTGTTCCTGTTTCTCTGGAGAATCCTAATATTCATATTAATGATAAGATTTGTTTTGTTTTAGTTTTCTTCTCCTTGTGTAATTGCATAATTCATTTTCTCCAAGTTTCTTTTTTCTATTTGTACATTTTAGTTTCTAGTGATCCATGTTAGAAGTTTTCCTCAGATGCCTCAGGTGATCCTTGGTAGTTTGCTCCTATTTAAGCTGATTGGAAACTTTGACAATGCAAGGAAGGATTTATAGGGTGTTCTGGCTGGATGGTTTCATTGGAGGAATGCTTGAGGTCTATACGTTTATGTCTTTACTTGTCAGCTGATCAGATTCCCCAGATGTGTCCTTTCCCATCTCTGTCTGGAAGGGTGCAAGCCAGGCTGCCAATGTTATAGGAGCAGAGGCGGAAGAAGGCAAGAGTTTCTGCCTCTAGTGCTTACACCTAATCCTGTTTTCTCTCCCTTTCTTTCTTTCTTTCTTTCTTTCTTTCTTTCTTTCTTTCTTTCTTTCTTTCTTTCTTTCTTTCTTTCTTCTTTCTTTCCTTCTTTCTTTCTCTTTCTTTCCTTCCTTCCTTCCTTTCTTTCTTTCTTTCTTTCCTTCCTTCCTTCCTTCCTTCCTTCCTTCCTTCCTTCCTTCCTTTCTCTCTCTTTCTCTCTTTCTCCTTCCTTCCTTCCTTCCCTCCTTCCTTTTTTGAAATGGAGTCTCGCTTTATCGCCCAGGCTGGAGTGCAGTGGTGCGATCTCAGCTCACTGCAACCTCTGCCTCCCGGGTTCAAGTGATTCTCCTGCCTCAGCCTCCTAAGTAGCTGGGATTATAGGTGTGCACCACCACGCCCGGCTAGTTTTTTGTATTTTTAGTAGACATGGAGTTTCACCATGTTGGTCAGGCTGGTCTTGAACTCCTGACCTTGTGATCTGCCTGCCCTGGCCTCCCAAAGTGCTGGGATTACAGGCATGAGCCACTGCACCCGGCATCCTGTTTTCTGTGTAGTGTCAAGTGTGCCTAGTGTCCTCCAGACCAGACATCTACCTCACCCTCACCCCCAGTTTACCCTTTTTAGGCAATAAACCACCAATCTGTTGCTGTGGGGAGACAGGGAGTTGGGGGGGCATCTAAGGCTCTAATTGCTTTTATTTATTTATTTATTAACTAGAGAGAGAGAGTTGTGCTCTATCGCCCAGGCTGGAGTGCAGTGTCACAATCATAACCCACTGTAACCTTGAACTCCTGGGCTCAAGCAATTCTTCTACCTCCACCTCCTGAGTAGCTAGGACTACAGGTGTGCGCTATTTTTATTTATTTATTTATTTTTGGTAGAGACAAGTTCCCACTATGTTGCCCAGGCTGGTCTTGAATTACTGGCCTCAAGTGATCCTTCCACCTCAGCCTCCCAGAGTGCTGCGATTACAGGTGTGAGCCACTATGCCAGGCCTCTAATTGCTTCTTAAGTGGTATTTCCATCAGTTCTCTGTTTTATCTCTCTTTCATTTCCAAAGATAAATGGTTCCATCCATTCCTGAGCCTTTTGGGAGATTCTGTCGTGTAAATTGATTTGATTTCTATCTTTCTCCACTGCCACCTTAGGATTCTGTTTTCTTAGGTCTGAGTCATTTACTTATAGCATAGCTATTCATTTGTATATTTATTTTGCAATTAGATACTGAAGTGCATTTGCTTACTCTTAAGTTTTCAAAGTACACAGTACTATAACAACTGCAAATAATGAAAATTTTCCTTCCCTTACTAACTTTTATACCTTAATATTTATTTTAATATTTATTTTCCTTCTAAAATACTATTGGCTTATACCTTCACTACAATGTGAAATAGTAGTAGTGATACGGGCATCCTTGTCTTTTTCCTGGATTTGCTGGGATTCTTTTAGTATTTCACCATTAAGCATGCTGCTGGTTTGGATCTGATTGCATACATTTATTTATTGTGTTAAGGAAATATCTCTCTTTTTTATTAAAAGGTTTGTGTCAGAAATGAATGTATAATTTTTCCAAATACCTTTTGGTCCCCTACAGATTTTTTTTTTTTTTGAGATGGAGTCTTGATCTGTTGTCCAGGCTGGAGTGCAGTGGCACGATCTCGGCTCACTGCAACCTCTACCTCCCAGGTTCAAACAATTCTCCTGCCTCAGCCTCCCGAGTAGCTGGGGTTACAGGTGCCTGCCACCACGCCCAGCTAATTTTTGTATTTTTAGTAGAGGCGGGGTTTCACCATATTGGCCAGGAGGAACTCCCGACCTCAGGTGGTCCACCCACCTTGGCCTCCCAAAGTGCTGGGATTACAGGTGTGAGCCACTGCGCCTGGCCTCCCCTACAGATTTTTAAAATCCATATTCATGAGAGAAATTTGCCTGCATTTTTTCTATTCAATGCTGTATTTTTTAGGTTTTAGTATCAGTGTCATATTGCTTTTGTAAAAAAATAATCTAAAAGCTTGCTTTCTCTCTTATACTTTGGAACAGTTTAACAGCATTGGAACTATCTGGTGAGTAATTTAAAAAATTAGTGTCCAGTACCTGAACAGACTGACCCTCTACCCTCCTTCAAATCAAATAATAGTTTATAGGGTGATGCCTACTTGTAAGTCAGCTCCGCAAGCTGTGGTCTCAGCAACTACAGAGGTAATATTAAATGAAAGACACAAAATTTACTTTCTCGAAGCTTCAGGCAGCCGGAAAAGGAGGAGAAGGGAAAGGAAAAGGAAGAGGAGGAAGTTAATTGTGTTGTTTGGACAAGAATGTAGTTCAACAGACTGTTTTTCTTCAGCCAACAACAAGACAAGCCTGATAAAAAAAGGACGAAGTAAAAGGAATTTCTGCTACTCCTTTCTCCAAAGCTCTCAGACTTGGCCTCACGATTCTGTAGTCTCCTCAAGAGTCCTGTAGAAGATTTCCCAGAGGAGATAGGTAAGGCTGTCTCTGGGCCACTGGAACAAGGTCTGGGGTTGCTGCTTGCTGACAAACAGCAAAGTGCTGTGTTGGTTTAGTGATTTGCTGATCCCTTTTCTTTGATGAAGATGGTGTTTGATTCATTGCATCAGCTTGATTTGGCTAACTCAAGACCTGGCTTTTCACAGTTTATCTACTACCTGGGGAAACACTGAGGTGGAAGGTTCTAGAAAAAGTTCAGTGTATTATAAATGAGAGACTTCTGATTATGTCTGCAAGTGGAAGTTGCTGCTGCCCAAGGCTTGATTTCACCATCAGACAGTGGCCAAATGGGATGACTCTTACAATTCTCCAAGTGTACAGTGAAATGGGGAGGTTTCGAAGATGCCTTCATATTTTAGATGGGCTTGGAGCTTAGACCACTTCCATATTCCCTTTTAACTGTCATAATTGATGAGGGAGTCAGTATAGCTCAAGTGACCAAGAGCATAGACTCTGGATTAGACAGATCTAGTGTGGATCCCATTTCTGCTCTAATTAGCTCCATCAAATTAATGAACCTCCCTGAGCCTCAGCTTATCTGGAAAATGAGGACAGTCATCGAACTTACCTCACTCAGAAGGCTGATGTGAAGATGAAGTGAGATATTGGGTAAAAGGCTCCTGACAGGATGTCAGGCCCATAAGTGAGGACCTATAAGTGATTGTTATTGTTGGTGTTACTATTATTCTATATGTCTTCTGGGACTGATGCTTCTGTCACTAAATAAGTGAATAAAGCTCCTGCTCATGGAGAGAGGCTGTTAAGGGTCAGGCCTGTCTGGGAGTTCGATAGCAGCTGGGGACTTGCCTAAACCGATCCACCCCATGGTTAGCAGGAAGATGCTGATCCCTTAGTCTCCTGTTCTCACTTCCACATCTTTTGTCTTAGGGGAAGTGGTAGGAACTTCTTGGATGTGCAAGCTCTGTCCTCTGAAAGTAGACCAGGGTCTTTATTCTGGTTGTGAGTGGAGAGTGAACTCCAAGTCAGAAAATCTTGTTACTTCTGATTAGTCATCAACAGAGCAAGGCCCCCTCGGGGGACTCACCTGCTCCCTGCACCATCGAACGTGCTCTGAGTATCACACCACCTCTCAACATCTTCTCCTGGACAACCCTGTGCTGCTCAGCTGCTCCTGCCCTCTGACACTAGCCTCCAGTTGGGTTCTCTCTCTGACTGGAATAGCCTGGACTGGTTGTGGATAAAGAAGTTTGCCCCCTCCTTCTCCCTCATTTTGCCCTCTTTGCAATGTCTTTCCTCTCTCTTCCTACCCCAGGGACCCCCTAGTCTTCACTTCCTTCAGTTACCCTGTGTTTTCCCATCCTCTTCCACACTTCTTCCCATTGCAATCACATTTTAAATCCTTTATTCAAAAGTTTAATAAATGAATCTAATTACTTAAAGTATGTGCTAAGCTCTCTTGCTTGTAGTAAATGGCTTTCTTTGGTTTATCTCAAATAATTCTCTTCCTCCAGTGGGAGGGTAGGTTACATAATTATTGTGAAGAACCCACATGGTAATTGGGGGAATCAGGGCACTGCCGGCACCAGAGTGGCTGCCCAGCTGGGCCTCATTGCAGCTACAGCATGGCTGGGGAACCAGAAGTGGGGCCCAGGATACAGAGCTCTGGGGACAGTAACGTGTCCCCCTCTCAGCAGGAGATTGTCTACCTTTTGACATGACTGTGACACAGCCTCCTTCTGCCTCTGATTCTCACACTTTTGCCACTACCAGCTCACCTCTAACCCTTCTTTTCTTTGCCTCATGGCTTCTGTTCTCTACAAGCTTCTACTTATCAAGAGTTCTGGTTCTCAATGGCTTCTATGACCTCATGGCACTGCCTCTTCTTTGGTGGACAGGAGTTTTTACAGTGGAGCCCCTCACGGGCTGCTGCTGGCTGGGCCACTCATTGGCTGACCCTGCATTGGTTTTCCACCCCTGATCCATTCGCCAGTGGACACAGAAGACCCATGGCTCTGGGCTGGGTGTGGTGGCTCACACCTGTAATCCCAGCACTTTGGGAGGCCAAGGTGGGCAGATCACCTGAGGTCGGGAGTTCAAGACCAGCCTGGCCAACATGGTGAAACCCTGTCTCTACTAAAAATAAGAAAAATTTGCCAGGCCTGGTGGCTTGTGCTCCCAGTTACTGTAGTCCCAGCTACTTGGGAGGCTGAGGCAGAAGAATCGCATGAACCCAGGAGGCGGAGGTTGCAGTGAGCCAAGATTGCACCACTGCATTCCAACCTGGGCGACAAGAGTGAAACACTGTTTCAAAAAAAAAAAGAAAGAAAGAAAGAAGAAGACACGTGGCTCTGAACTTGCTCCTCAGCACAGGGACTGTTTGTGTACCCAGCACTCTGAGCTTGGCTTTATCCAGGAAACACCATGATCTTCCTATAAGAATTTCAGTGATTCCCTATCTAGATGATTGGCAGAACCTCATGGGTAAATTTTTAAAAATACAGATTTCTAGGAGACACTTATCTGTAAAATGATTACAGTGATAACACCTACCTCACAGGATTGGTGTGGCTGATTTTTTTTTCTCTTTTTTTTTTCCAAAAAAATAATTCTTTTTGCTATGTTTGTAATGCCAAATGTTTGGAAATCTAAGTTCCCCCAAATGGGAACTTAATAGATCAGTGGTTCTCAAGGTCTGAGAAGAGGAAAGAAGGATAGTGTATCAGAATTACTCGGGGACCCCCATACTTGACCTCTGCAACCAGAATGGAGGGGGGTGCTGAAATTCCCAGACTCTATACCAGCTGCAAACCCCATCTCCACATCACTGCACTAAGTAACTTACAGTATGTCTTTAAAATAGAATCTCGTGTAGCCAATCAAATTGGTTTTGCAGAAGTCCATTTTGTTTAACATGCAAAGAAGGTCATGATGGATCATTGAATTAAAAAAGCACGTTGTAAAACAGGACTATGATTGGATCTAATTTTTAGGGGAAAAAAGTATGTACATCTATGTATACCTAAGGGCCTGGAATAGTAAAAGTATGGTTGGCAGACCTGCTACCCCAGCATTACCAGGGAGCTTGATAGAAATGTAGCATCTGGAGCCCCACTCCAGACCACTGACTGAGAATCTGCATTTTGACAAGATCTCCACGTGATTGGTGTGCACATTAAAGTGTGAGGCTCACTGCTCTAGAACACTGGTTCTTGTCTTGGGTGCTCATTAGAATTCACCTGGGGAGCATGGAAAAAATAATCCTCATGCCCAGGTGGTACCCAGATCAATTTAATCCTAGTGTCTGTGGGTAAAGACTGGCACCATATAGCTTTAAACTCCCAGAGATCTTGATGAGCAGCCAGGATGAAAACAGCTGCTGTGAGGATATATCCTAGGTGTTAGACTGATTGTCCTGCAGATGGTGAGAATCTGGTGGTTCTTCTTTCTGCTTTTCTATATTTTCTGATTTTTGTCTAAGAAGCACATGTAGTTTTTGTAATGAGAAAGAAATTATTTTTAATTTAAAACCCTTAATTAATGCAAGGCTCATCCAAGGTTTAGACAGAAGCCTCAAAATGAGGAAGACGTTTTAGAGGAGGATTTGTAACAGAAAGAGAAAGGAAGGCCAGACATGGTGGCTCAAGCCTGTAATCCCAGCACTTTGGGAGGCCAAGGTGGGCTGATTTCTTGAGGCCAGGAGTTCGAGACCAGCCTGGGCAACATGGCGAAACCTCATCTCTACAAAAATTAGCCGGGTGTGGTGGCACATGCCTGTAGTCCCAGCTACTCGTGGAGCTGAGGTGGGAGGATCACTTGAGCCTGGGAGGCAGAGGCTGCAGTGAGCTGAGATCGTGCCACTCCAGGTTGGGCGACAGAGCCAGACCTTACCTCAGGAAAAAAAAAAAAAAAAGGAAGGGAACAAAAGGCAACACGGGCTAAAATGGTTGAAAGACACCATTTCAGAGGAAAATTAGGAGTCACTCCTCACTCCACCTAACACCTGATCTGGTATATCCCTGACCTGGTACATCTCCTCCACTTGAGAAAGAAGGAACTGAGCATTGCTGAGAGTGTACTAATTACCCAGCAGTGTAATAGGTGTTTCTTCCTTTTTTTTTTTTTTTGAGACAGAGTCTCTGTCGTCCAGGCTGGAGTGCATTGACTCAATCTTGGCTCATTGCAACCTCTGCCTCTGTCGGGTTCAAGTGATTCTCCTGCCTCCCCCTCCTGAGTAACTGGGACTACAAGCGCTCACCACCATGCCCAACTAATTTTTGTATTTTTAGTAGAGATGGGGTTTCACCATGTTGGCTAGGCTGGTCTCGATCTCCTAACCTCAAATTATCTGCCCGCCTTGGCCTCCCAAAGTGCTGGGATTATAAGTGTGAGCCACTGCACCTGGCCTATAATAGGTGTTTCATGGATCCTTATGAACTGTGAGTGTAAAATACACACCAGATATCAAAAAGACTTACTATAAAAAAGAAACATAAAATAGTTCATAATGCTTCATATTAAATACACATTGAAACATATTGTTTTGGATATATTTGGGTTAAATTAAATATATTGTTAAAATGTATTTCACTCGTCTCTTTATCTTTTTAAATTTGACTACTAGAAAATTTAAAATTTCATCTGTAGCTCACATTTGTGGTTCATACTTTATTTCTAGATGGTCAGTGGCAACTAGAGTAGCAGACACATGGGGATTACTTACGCTGGTTGTTCATTTTTTTTTGGACCCCTCCTAAGAGCAGAGAAAGAGGTGAGAGAGGAAGTAACTTCTCCCAAGCCTGTCTGATTGAGGATTGGATGGAAAACAGGTTAAAATGAATTTGAGGACATATCCCTGCCCATTTTCTTTCCTTTAACTTTTATTTTACTTTTTTTTTTTTGAGACGGAGTCTCGCTCTGTTGCCCAGGCTGGAGTGCAGTGGCGCGATCTCGGCTCACTGCAAGCTCCACCTCCCGGGTTCACGCCATTCTCCTGCCTCAGCCTCCCGAGTAGCTGGGACTACAGACGCCCGCCCCCACGCCTGGCTAATTTTTTAAAAATATATATTTTTAGTAGAGACGGGGTTTCACCGTGTTAGCCAGGATGGTCTCAATCTCCTGACCTCGTGATCCGCCCTCCTCGGCCTCTCAAAGTGTTGGGATTACAGGCGTGAGCCACCACGCCCGGCCTAAATTTTATTTAACTTTTTAACTTTTTTTTTTTTGAGGCGGGTTAATGAGACTGCCTAATTTTTGCATTTTTTGTAGAGACGGTTTTGCCATGTTGCCCAGGCTGGTCTCAGGCGATCCACCTGCCTCGATCCCCCAAAGTGCTGGGATTACAGGTGTGAGCCACTGAGCCCAGCTGATGACCATTTTCTTTAGCCTAGTGGTTCTCAGCCTCAGCTGACCACTAGCATCTCCTGGGGAGCTTTTAAAAATCTGATCCTCAGGCACACTACTGTCCAGTTAAATCAGAATCTCTGGAGAATCTCTGTTTTTCAGGTTACTGAGGCTCAGGCAAGATTGAGTCTCAGTATCCTGAAAAAGAGTGAATCACTGCTTTAGCCAGATTTGTAATCCTTCCCTGGGAGCAAACTGTAGGTATCTGGAAAACAAAGCTAGCAACATTTAGAAAGCAGTAGTCTGTGAAGATTTTGAAGGATATTACTTGGGTCATTATAAATGTTCTTTCAAAAAAAAAATTGAGGTTACTTTATTTCCCTTTTGTGAATTAACCCTGAAAGAACAATGTTAGTTTTCTAACAGGGTTAGAGAACTAATCTTGGAAGTTCATCCTGTTGGCCACTAGGGGGACTGGATAAAACATTTGTGGAAGGACAAGCCTGTGTCCTTGGAGAAATTGCCTCCAGTGGAGGTAAGTTGGCACTGTCATCTTAGTGGACAAAAGACCAGCATGTATTACTACTTTTTAATTTTTATGTGAGTTAAATCCTATAAGCTCCCCCAAAGGACCTGACTTTGCCCCTAGGAATGAAAATTGATATAATCCTTCTGGAGAAAGCAACGTAATTACAGAAAATATTTATTGAGCGCTCACTCTAGGTTGGATACTGTGCTAAGTGCTTCACGAACATTATCTTATTTAATTCCTCACAAAAATCCTATGCAGCAGGCACAATTGCCTGTATTTTCAGATGAAAAACAAGGACAGCAGCCAGGCGTGGTAGCTCATGACTGTAATCCCAGCACTTTGCGAGGCCAAGGTGAGAGGACTGCTTGAGGCCAGGAGTTTGAGACCAGCCTGGCCAACATAGAGAGACCCCTGTCTCTACAAAGAATACAAAAATTTAGCTGGCATGGTTGTGCATGCCTGTAGTCCCAGCTACTCAGGAGGCTGAGGTAGGAGGATCGCTTGAGCCCAGGAGGTCAGCCCAGGAGGTCAAGGCTGCAGTGAGCCATGATCGTGCCAGTGCACTCCAGCCTTGGTGACGGATCCACACCCTGTCTCAACAAAACAAAACAACACAACAACAACAACAAAACCAAACAAGGGCTGGAAGGATAAAAGAAGATACCCATGGCTACAGAGCTGGAAAATAAAGCATTTGAGCCTAGGCAATCGGTCCCCTAGAACCTCACTCTTAACCTCTAAATAGACTTTCACCTAAGGCTTATAGTTCTTGGACTTTACTCAAGGAAATGATCAGACAACTGCACAATTCAGAACAAAACTGGACCTAGAAAAACCCCTATTCTTATAGGAGACTAGTCAAATAAATTATTATGCAGCCATGAAATGAAATAATATGCAACAGCTAAGAGTGCTGATATAGAAGATTTTATTGAAATGGAAAAATCTTCATGAAGTATTAAGTTAAAAAAGCAAGTTAGAAAACATATTCAGTATGATATCCAGAAAGCAAAAGTTGGCAGATACGTGTATGTGGGAAGGAACACTAAAATATTTAACAGTGGTTATATTTAAGTGGAATCTCAGAAATTTTAACTTTCATCTTTACATTTGCCTTTATTTGCTAATTTTTCCATAATGTATCTTTTGGGCAGTAATTTTTTTAAAAGCAATGCAAACTAAGATATTTCAGGATATGAAAGAACAATGCCTGATTAAAGGAAGTGGAAGGAGTAAATGGGAACTAGTTCTTGAGATTGTCCTGGGCACTAAATTTAGCTCTAAAACTCTGGCAACCAAGAGAAAAAGATAAACATATTGGCTGTACAACTTTCACGTTATTTTATTTAGTGTTTTAGGAGAGGGTCTCTTAGATGGTTTTCCCCATTTCTAATTGTTCACTCTTGTGAATTTCAGAATGTGGGACCCTAGACAGTTGTTCCACACGTGTCCCAATTCTGTGTTACCAACTGCATTTCACTCGATTGAACCTATGTTCAACACTAGAGATAGTGCCAGGTGAGAGACTGAGTGCTAAACCATCTCTTCCTTGCAACAGCACTCTGATTCCTACCTCCCGCTCATCCCCCATCTTGAATTCCATCTCATACAAATCCTTCTGTTGCTTGAGTCTAGTTCAGGCACCTCCATTAAGGTCATTGGTTCAAACCAACCTTCCCCTTTGGTGAGCCTATTGCAACATGAGTCCTCATAGAACAATTCAGTGTGGACACATTCCCTCATTTCATAAGCAATGTTTCTACTATTAGACTGGAAACACCTCATAAACACAAACCTCTCCTATGTATAGGGTTCTCTCCTATGTATAGAACCCTAGAATCAGCATTTTAGAGTTTAAAAGGGAGACCTGACCACTAGGGTGATCAATGCATCCTGGTTTGCCCAGGACTTTCCCACTTTTAGCACTAAAGTTTCGGCATCCAGAAAAGCCTCTTAATCCTGGCAAGATGGCAGGACACTTTATGGGTACTCACTAGATGTTTCTCGATTGGTGGGACTGTTTTATCTGGTAAAATCCCTACTGGGCACGTTCCTATTTTTAGCTATGTGTTAACAAAATAATAACCCTGTGCATTAACATGACTCTCTCCAGTGCAGTGGTATTTTTTTTTTTTTGAGATGAGTTTCGCTTTTGTTGCCCACCCTGGAGTGCAATGGCGCGATCTCGGCTCACTGCAACCTCCGCCTTCCAGGTTCAAGCGATTCTCCTGCCTCAGCCTCCCGAGTAGTTGGGATTACAGGCGCCTGCCACCACACCCGGCTAATTTTTGTATTTTTAGTAGAGACAGGGTTTCACCATGTTAGCCAGGATGGTCACGAACTCCTGACCTCAGGTGGTCCCCCCATCTTGACCTCCCAAAGTGCTGGGATTACAGGTGTGAGCCACTGCGCCTGGCCTCACTGCAGTGGTTTTTGTGATCCTCAGACAAACTCTGAAAGTAGGAAAAGACAGGGAGTATTAGTCTGGTTGAGAACCTAAATTCCAAGAAGATTTTTCTTGGGATGTGACAAAATGATTCTAAAGTTTATCTGCTAGACCACCCACTCAAGAAAAGTGTAAGCAATTTTTGAAAAAGAACAATTATGAAGGAGGAAAACTCTACTACCAGGGGTTAAAAGTTATTAAACCACAGTAATTAAGCAGTGAGATGTTGGCACAGAATGGATCAATCAATAGAACAAAATGAAAAATCCACAAAGGGAACCCGAAGTATATAGGAAATTTGATGTAGTATGAATGTGGTTCAGGTCAATTAGGGAAATGTTTATTAAGTAAATGATATTGGGTGAACTGGCTGATCATTAGAATACACATAAAGTTTCAAATGGCTTACAACTTTTAGTGTAAAACATGAAGCTACAAAAGAACAAGTACCAGTGAATGTTTATGTGATCTTCTGGTGAAGAAAATGTTTCTAAATATAACACAAAAGGCAAATAAACATTAAATTTGACTACATGAAAAATACATTTGTAAAAAGTACAATAGATATGTCAATGTGGGAAAGACCTTTGCTGAATATATGAAGACAATTTTAAAAACTTCTTATCGGCTGGCCGGGCATGGTCGCTCACGCCTGTAATCCCAGCACTTTGGGAGGCCAAGGTGGGCGGATCACTTGAGGTCAAGAGTTCGAGATCAGCCTGGCCAACATGGTGAAACCCTGTCTCTACTAAAAACAGAAATACTAGCCAGGCGTGGTGGTGGGCGCCTCTAATCCCAGCTACTTGGGAGGCTGAGGCAGAGAATTGCTTGAACCCGGGAGGCAGAGGTTGCAGTGAGCCAAGATCACACCACCACACTCCAGCCTGAGTGACAGAACAAGACTCTATCTCAAAAAATAAATAAATAAATACATAAATAATAAAAATAAATAAATGATAGTTTGGTCATGTGCTGCATACCAACATTTAGGTCAATGACAGCCCACATATATAATAACACTGATCTCATAAGAGTATAATGCCATGTTTTTACTGTACCTTTTCTATGTTTAGATGTTTTAGGTACACAAATAGCATTGTGTTACAATTGGCTGCAGTATTCAGTAGAGTAACATGCTGTACAGGTTTGTAGTCTGGGAGCAAGAGGCTATGCCATATCATATAGCCTAGGTGTGAGGTAGGCTATACTGTCTAAGTTCACAGAAGAACACTCTGTGATGTTCACACAATGACAAAATCTCCTAACGACACATTTCTCAGAACGTATCCATGTCGCTAAGTGACACATGACTGTATATTGCTTCCATTGAATAGGAGGCAGTTATAGAAGAATACTATGCAGTTGATGTTGTAGAAGAATATTTAACGACATGAAAAATATTCCTGACAATGTATACTGCTAAGTTAAAAAGCATATTACTAAGCAGTTTTCACAGTATGATCCTATGTTTGTTTACATACCCACACGTACGGCATGAATTGTGCATTACAAATTATCATTTTCTTTTTTATTTTTCTTATGCATTTCTACTGTGCACATTTACTCATTTTTTAATAATGAAAATTAACAACTACTCCAGCCTGGGCAACGTGTCAAAACCCTGTCTCTACAACAAATACAAAAATTAGCAGGGCATGGTGGTGGGGGCCTGTTGTTCCAGCTACTTGGAAAGCTGAGGTGGGAGGATCACTTGAACCGAGAGGTAGAAGCTGCAGGGAGCTGCAATTGCACCACTGCACTCCAGCCTGGGTGACAGAGTGAGATCCTGTCTCAAAACACACAAAAAGAAATAACAATTACTATTAATTGCTACTAAGGAGAACTTTCCAAATCTTGGTCAATGGTTTTTTTGAGGCTATAGAATTACAGGGATGTTTGTGTCCTATGATATTTACTTCTGTAATGCTTGAATTTTTTAATTGTACCTGATCAATTTTATAGTCAGAAGGAAATAATTTTTAAAAGAAAGATAAAATGGGTTAGGGAACAGAGACATTCATATTCTTTAATCCAACTATTTCATTTTTAGAAAATTTCCTAACCCTGAATATGAGCAAATATTTATACAGAGATTTCTCATCACAGAAGCATTTATAATAGAAAAACAAGCAAACAGAGCAATGTTTTGTAACATTGTTTTATTTATTATATATAAAAGGCTTATATATACCACCTAAATGTCTAGCCATAGGGAGCTGGTAAAGGGAATTATAACAGGATGGATCCACAGAGGCATAGTGAAGTGAGCATGATTCCAGCCTGCCTGGGTTCAAATCTCAATTCTGCCACTTACTAGCTGCGTGACCTTGTACAAGTTACTTAACCTCTCTGATTTTCAATTTTGTTGTTAGTAAAATGGGATAATAGTACCTATATAACAAGATGATTATGAGGATTTTTTTTTTTGTCATTCAGAGTTTAGGCAGGAAACAGAAGACACTCTCAAACTGGGTAATTCAAGTATAATCTAATAAAGAGATTCTATTGAGGCAACAGCAGGGTGTCCTAGGGAGCACTTGAGTAGTCTTGGAACCTGGAGAGAGAGAGGTGTGGAGAGACGTGGAGAGGAGAAGCTGTGGCTTTGAAGAAAGGACCCAGCAGCCCTGTGACCCTTCATACATACCTTGACATTACCATCCAGTCTCCTGTCTCCTGAGATACCTGTAATTACACTCCCTGATTGCAATAATGGTATATGCAAACAACCCACAAACCTCAGTGGCTACAAACTACAAACATTTGTTTTTCTTCCTTCTGAGTTGACTGGGCCTGCTCTGCTTCAGGCTTTGGGTCAGATTCAGGTCTGCTTCATGGGCCTCTCATTTTGGAGAGAGTGGCCAAGAGGCCAACCCAAGGAAACTCCATTCCAGTCCTCTGCTCAGGGTGTCTACAAACATCCCATTGGCCAAAGTGTGTCATGTGACTGATCCTAAAATAAATGGAATAGATATTTATATTCCATATACTTTCATGGAAAATCCTAACACAGGGAGAGATTACAGAGTTGGGAATGATAATCCAAACTACCACAGCTCTCACTGGGCAAACCCGAAGAAGGAGACGTCACAGAGCCTGTTGTTGCCGTCTATTCAGATCAGCCTTCCAGGGCACAGAGCAGGGTGAGAGGGGATAGAGGCATCTGGAGGGGCAAACAAAGATATCTCTGCAGGATCGCATGAGTTAATTATTATTATTATTTTAGAGATGAGGTCTCACTCTGTAGCCTAGGCTGGACTGCAGTGGCATGAGCATGGCTCACTGCAGCCTCAATTTCCTGGGCTCAAACGATCCTCTCACCTCAGCCTCTCAAGTAGCTGGGCTACAGGCATATGCCGCCATGCCTGGCCAATCTTGGTATTTTTTGTAGAGGTGGGGTTTCACCATGTTGCCCTGGCTGGTCTCGAACTCCTGGGCTCAAGCAATCCATTCATCTCAGCCTCCCGAAGTGCTGGGATTATAGGGGTGAGCCACTGTGTCTGGCCAAGTTAATATTTTAATGAGCTTAAAATATTGGCTCACATAAAAATACCATACAAGTGTTTGTTGGATGAAAAAATAGGCCAGGCCCAGTGGCTCATGCCTGTAATCTCAGCACTTCAGGAGGCCGAGGTGGGTGGATCATTTGAGACCAGGAATCTGAGACCAGCCTGGCCAACAGGGCGAAATCCTGTCTCTACAAAAAAATACAAAAACTAGCCAGGCGTGGTGGCATGCACCTGTAGTCCCAGCTACTCAGGAGGCTGAGGCATGAGAATCGCTTGAACCAGGGAGGCAGAGGTTGCAGTGAGTTGAGATGGCACCACTGCACTGCAGCCTGGGTAACAGAGTGAGACTCTGTTCTCAAACAAACAAAACAAAACAATAAAACATGGTGCCATTGAGAATGATATTTTTAAGAATATTTAAGTATTTAAAATTTTTATAATGAATTATAAGTGAAAGAGGTTATAAAGCAGTTATACATTATAACATCATTTAAACATACTATATACCTAGAAGAAGGGCTGAATTTAGCAAAATGTTAATATTGTTGTTGGGAGGTAGAGTCATGGGGCATTTTTATTTCTGTGCTCTGTGTTCAGAATAAGGTTGTCACATATGGCCTCATAGGTTGCGCACTGCACAACTCCAGGAGGCCCCCTTTGTCCTTCTTCCTACTTCCAACTTGCATAACCTCCTTTATTGCCCACACCTTCTAGAACACAGACGTATTACTCTCATGTAATCAAACAAATAAATACAGTTTAAAAAATTGCAACCTTGCCTTTTCTTCCTAACATACTTCAAAGACAAATGAAGTTGACCTAGTTTGTCATTTTTATTAGAGCTGGAGAGAAATTACCTCTGGACTCTAAAACGGTTGTTATAAAGGTAAACTCAGCAACTCTTGGGACAATCAAGGAATGTACAGTCATGACTGCAGAACTGAAAGGTACTGCGTCACATGCGTAGGATAAGTAAACATATTTGGCCTGAGTAAGTTAATCACATTTTTAAAACCCTGAAATGTATTTTATCTACTGAAAAAATTCAGAACTGCTGAATCAGAAATGATGAATATGAGCATGAAATGCTCATATTAAATTCACAATGAAGAAGATTTAAAATAAAATGATTTAAATAAAGAGATTTAAAGTAAAATGATTCTCCCGTCATGCACAGGACAAAAGGAGCCTGGTTCTTAATGGCATTCTACACTAACCCTGGACTTCTCAGCTCCATACTTCTTATATGTAAGATAGCAAATATCTTTACTACTTAGGCCACTGTAATTGGGCACTGTTCTTTGCAGCCAAAGCATTATATAAGAAGCTTTGAACCCCTCCCTTCCCTAGATGGAGTCAAACAATTCCTCTTCTATGTGCTCACGACCCATTGCACCTCTATTCTAGAATTCAGCATATAGTGTGATATGGTTTGGCTCTGTGTCCCCCAACCAGATCACATCTCGAATTGTAATCCCCACGTGTTGAGGGAGGAAGGTGATTGGATCATGGGGGTGGTTTCCCCCATGAAGTTCTTGTGATAGTGAGTTCTCATGAGATCCAATGGTATAATGAGGCAGTTTTTCCTGCTCTTGCTTGCTCTCTGTCCTGCTACCTTGTGAAGAAAGTGCCTTGCTTCCCCTTCCGCCGTGATTGTAGGTTTCCTGAGGCTTCCCTAGCCATGCAGAACTGTGAGTCAATTAAACCTCTTTCCTTTATAAGTTACCCAGTCTCAGGTAGTATCTTTACAGCAGCGTGAATACACTGCTGTATATTATATAGAATAATATATAGAATTATTCTATATAGGATATGGAATAATATATAGAATTATTCTATATAGGATATGGAATAATATATAGAATTATTCTATATAGGATATGGAATAATATATAGAATTATTCTATATAGGATATGGAATAATATATAGAATTATTCTATATAGGATATGGAATAATATATAGAATTATTCTATATAGGATATGGAATAATATATAGAATTATTCTATATAGAATTATTCTATATAGAATATGGAATAATATATAGAATTATTCTATATAGAATATGGAATAATATATAGAATTATTCTATATAGAATATGGAATAATATATAGAATTATTCTATATAGAATATGGAATAATATATAGAATTATTCTATATAGAATATGGAATAATATATAGAATTATTCTATATAGAATATGGAATAATATATAGAATTATTCTATATAGAATATGGAATAATATATAGAATTATTCTATATAGAATATGGAATAATATATAGAATTATTCTATATAGAATATAGAGTAATATATAGAATTATTCTATATAGAATATAGAGTAATATGTAGAATTATTCTATATAGAATATAGAGTAATATGTAGAATAATTCTATATAGAATATAGAATAATATATAGAATAATTCTATATAAAATATAGAATAATTCTATATAGAATATAGAATAATTTAATTTTTTATAAATAATTATAAATATTATACTGCATTTAAAAAAATTATAAATAATAATAAATTAAATTAAATAATTTAAATATTATTTAAATTCTATATATAGAATATTCTATAGAATAATACACTATTATACATGGTGTAATAGTCATTTACATGACTTGTTTGTGAGATCATCCAAAAAATTCATGGATTGTCTTTTATTTCTGTAACCTCAGTACCCTTCCTGGTGTCTGACACAGAAACACTTGTTCAATTGGTGTCAAGAATTTATATATTCACTGTTGTGGGAGATATGGAGGGTGCTCTTTTTTGAGAGTGTAAAGGAGTGGGGATGCAGCTCATATGCATGCACAGATGAATAGTTCCATAGCCTGAGCAAGGCTGTCGGTAAAGGCTGAGTCAGAAACACCCTAGGAAGCCTGGCGTGGTGGTGCGTGCCTCTAGTCCCAGCTACTCAGCAGGCTGAAGTGGGATGATTCCTTGAGTCCGGGAGTTTGAGAACACTGGGCAACATAGTGAGATCACAATTCTTTAAAAAATAAAAAGGAAAAGGAATACCCTAAGGATCTCTCCCCATAAGCCCTGAGCCTCTGGCAGGGAACTCCAGAAAACTGGTAGATGGAACCGAAAGCAACTCTAGATGCAGGGGAGGGGCAGTATAGAGGAGTATGTCTCCTCCCCCATTTGGATTCTTAGGATTCTTTTTAGAAATTATTGTTATTTTATATTTTTACATTTTTGGAGATTAAAATGTTGGCTTCGTTACAAAGCTAGATTGAAGTATGTGGTATGGTTGTCGAGTGGGCTTGCCGTTACTCTTCTGTTTTGAACTTACCCTCCAAAGTGCCATCTTCCACCCCTGCTGGGGCAGAGCCTGTCCTGCTTGGCTTAACACATGGCTGGAGGTCAGACTAGGATGCACCTGCACTCCATAGATCAGGCTGCCAATCGCAATGGCTGGCTGGAGTGAAAGTGAATTCGGAAAGCCAGGCCTGCCTAGGACACAGGAGTTGGGGGATGAGAGGTGGAAAAAAAGGAGGAGTGGGAACAGGGAGGTGGGCACATGTACAAAGACATGAACTTACACCATATAATCTGCTTTTTTTTTTTTTTGAAATGGGGTCTCACTCTGCCATCCAGGCTGTAATGCAGTGGCACAATCTTGACTCACTGCAACCTTTGCCTCCCAGGTTCAAGTGATCCTCTGATCTCAGCCTCCCAGGTAGCTGGAACTATAGATGTGCACCACCATGCTCAGCTAATTTTTTTGTATTTTTGGTAGAGATGGGATTTCACCATGTTGCCCGGGCTGGTCTCAAACTCCTGAGCTCAAGTAATCTGCCTGCCTTGGCCTCCCAAAGTGCTGGTATTACAGGTGTGAGCCACCGCACTTGGCCTACCCTGAAGTCTTTATGATCCTTCTCACTTTTCTGTCCTGGTTTAGCTCACTGAGAGGTCACAGTTTTTAAATATGCACCCTCCCCCCACCCCCCACCAATTTTGGTTTGGCTTTTGCTTTCTTACAGTAAAAAGAATGCAGCTTCTGAACCAGCCAAGGAATGTGGGCTGTAAAGAATGGACTGTTTCATTTTGATATCATCGTATTTTGATACTTTCTACACAAAGTTCCAGTACAACAGTTGTAATTATCATTGGCAGAAATATGCAGAATTCTCAAGGTTGAAATCTGGGACCTGAGGTTGCAGTAAAAGTATACAGTCTAGAGTGCTTTTTCCAGAGTTCAGATGTTTCACTGGGCAAGTCTGATAAACCGAATTGATAAAGTGTTAATGACAGAGAATAGGTGTATATGTAAGATCACCCAAACCTCATTTGCTTTTTTTTCTTTTTTTTTAGAGATGGCGTCTCACTATGTTGCCTAGGCTAGAGAGTAGTGGTTACTGACAGGTGCAATCATAGAGCACTACAGCTTTGAACTCCTGGACTCAAGTGATCCTCCCACCTCAACCTCCTGAGTAGCTGGGACTACAGGCATGTGCCATTGTACCCCACTTCATTTGGTTTTTTGCAGCTGCTTTCAATGCCTGGCCTCAAAGGAGGTTGTCCTGGAGGTATCTTGAGCCATATGGCAGGTTTTTTCAGAGAGGGGGGCTTTATTTAGCACCCCTTAATCATGGCATAAGGGATGCTCCTATTTTATTTCCCCAACCCTCCCCACAAGGCTGGTGATTGGAAGGAACATAGTGTAAAAGTGGGGGAACTTTCCAGATCTTATTAAGAAGAAGCAAAACACAGGTGGCCCCAGAGCAGGGACCCTTCCAGCCCCACCCCATCACAATGCACTTCACCAGCCCAGGCAGAATCAGGAAGTGAGTGAGTGAGAACACAGAGCTCCATCAATATCACCATGTCTGGGTTCCGTATAGTAAATTGACCTGATTGGGCTCCATTCAACCAGTCTGAGTTCAGCCTCTTCCTTCAGTCTCCTCAGCCTAATACAGCCCTGGGCCCAAAGAGCACACGGTCCACCAGCCCAAGGTCCCACTCTACAGCCACCATCCCTACATTGCTAATCCTGCCCAGCCATCAAGCAAATGAATCTCCTGAGGGTTCTCAGGGGACTGAGTGAGAGTGTAGATGACTCAGTGTGACCTCTCCCTACTGTTAGAGAAAGCTCAAAGCAAATAGTTTGTGACGGTGAGTTAGTAATGTCAGCCGCAATATGGAATATTTTGTGGCAAGTACAGCAGTGAGTAGCATTTGCAAACCTTTAAGACTAATTTTTGTGCCATGAAAGAAAGGGGAAGTTGGAGTCAATAGACTGAGCCTCTGATGATTTATATCTGAGTTTCGACTTGTGTATTTCATTCACTTCTGCCACATTTCTTCTAGTCTATCTGCCTTTGGGGATCTCGTTGAAAGAAGAGTGAGTCATTGTTTGGCCATATCTTCTTTTTAATGTGTTTAATCCCATAATGTAAAAGAGAATTAGGCAAGAGGTTTAAGAGATTAAATAAGATTCATCACTGAATTATTAAAAATTAAGCTCTGGCTTAAAACAAGCTAATAGGAGATGTGTACAACAGTCTTCAGCATTGCAAAGGACACAAAAACTCCTTATTCAGGCATAATAGATGCTATCCATTAGTTTCTTGGTAAAATCAATAACTAACAATAATAATGTGCTCAAAAGTTATCCTTAATGTTTTTCTCAGACAGTGTGTCACTGTCACTTAGGCTGGAATGCAGTGGCATGATCGTGGCTCACTGCAGCCTCAATCTTCCAGGCTTGAGAGATCCTCCCACCTCAGTCTCCTGAGTAGCTGGGACTACAGGCATGAACCAATGTGCCTGGCTATTTTTTGTTGTTGTTGTTTTCTTTTGTTGTTGTTGATAGTGTTGTTTCTGGTAGCTAGTCTCCAAAGGTGGCCCCCAAGGATCCATGCCTCCTATGACTCCTGCCATTCTGTAGTCCCCTCCCACATGGAATCTAGACTGGCCCAGATTCACTTTAACCAATAAAACATGGTAGAAGTGATACTTACATCAGTTCCAGGCCAAAGCCTTAGAAAAGTCTCAAAGTCTCCCTTTTTGCACTTTTGGGAGCTCTGTGCTGCCAGGTATGAAGTCCACCTCCTCTGCTGGGAAGGCCATGTGGAAAGACAGAGGCCTTGAGACTATGTAGAAATAGAAAAAATCCTAGCGGCTCAAGTACCCCATCTGAGTCCAGCCTTCCAGCCATCACTGCCAAGGTACCAGACACGTAAGAGAGATAGCTTGGATTTTCCTGTACAGTAGTACTCCCAGGTGACTGCAGCCCCAGCCAACATCACATAGAGCAGAAGAACCATCCAGCAGAGCCCAGTCAACCTACAGAATAGCAAGAGAATAAAATGGTTGTTGTTTTAAACCCCTACATTATGGGATAGTTTGTTATACAGTAGTAGAAAACCAAACACTTTTTATATAACAAATCTGATTATTTTTGTGAGTAAACAAAGTTAATAAAGTACATATTATATAAAGTAATTAAAAACATTCAATTATTTTGCAGAACACTCAATCAGAAAGAAGCCCCATTGGCTTGGCACAGTGTCTTATGCGTGCAATTCCAGCACTTTGGGAGGCTTGATGCAGGAGGATTGCTTGAGCCTAGGAGTTCAAGACCAGTTTAAGCAATATAGCAAGACCCAGTCTCTACAAAAAATTTAAAAATTAGCTAGGAGGGCTGGTGCAGTGGCTCACACTTGTAATCCCAGCACTTTGGGAGGCCAAGGTGGGTAGATCACGAGGTCAAGAGATCAAGACCATCCTGGCCAACATGGTGAAACACCGTCTCTACTAAAAAAAAAAAAAAAATTAGTTGGGCATGGTGGCGTGTGCCTATGGTCTTAGCTACTCGGAGGCTGAGGCAGGAGAACCACTCGAACCTAGGAGGCGGAGGGAGGTGGAGGTTGCAGTGAGGCGAGATTGCACCACTGCACTCCAGCCTGGCAACACAGTGAGACTCCTTCTCAAAAAAAAAAAAAAACAAAGTCAGCCATGTGTGGTGGTGCATGCCTGCAATCCCAGTTATTTGGGAGGCTGAGGTGGGAAGATCACTTGAATCCTGCAGGTCAAGGCTGCAGTGAGCCGTGATTACACCACTGTATTTCAGCCTGGGTGACAGAGCAAAATCCTGTCTCAAAAAAAAAAAAAAAAAAAAAAAAAAAGGAAACAGAAAAAGAATAAGAAGCTCCCATTAAAGCAATATTTAGACCACAATGAAATAGGATAGCTATAATTTAAAAAGACATAATAACAAATATTGACAAGGATGTGGGGAAATTGGAACTCTGCACTGCTGATGAGAATGTCAAATGGTGCAGCTGCTTTGGAAAACAATCTGGCATTTCCTCAAAGTGTGAAACATAGGTTTATCATATGACCCAGCAATTTCACTACTAGCTATACAACCCAAAGAAATGAAAACCTATGTCTCCACAAGAACTTATACAGGAATTCCTTGTAGCAACACTATTCATAATAGCTGAAAAGTAGGAACAACTCAAATGTCTATCAATTGATTAATGGATAAATAACATGCGGTATTATCTATACAACAGGCTATTATTTGATAAAAAGGAATGAAGTACTGATACCTGCTGCAACATGGATGAACCTTGAAAATGTTCAGTGAAAGAAGCCAATCACAAAGACCACATAGTATATTATTCTATTTATATGAAATATGCAGAATAGGCAAATCTATAGAGACGCAAAGTAGATTAGTGTTTGCCTAGGGTTGTGGGCAATGAAGAATGATGGCTAATGGGACAAATGGGTACAAAATTTCTTTCAGGGGTAATGAAAATATTCTAAAATTGATTGTGTTGATGATTTAAAACTCTGTGAATATACTAAAAACATCATATCGTACATTTTAAATGGATGAACTGTATGGCGTATGAATTACATTTCAATAAAACTGTTATAAAAAAAGAAGAAATCTTCCATGAGACTGATGTCTATTTCATTTCATCTCCTTGGGCATGAGAGTCCTGCCTATCATCAGATAGGGCTCAATCAACCCAGATATCTAACTATAGCAGTATGTACTTGAATGCACTTTTTGACAGGGGAGTTTATAGAAACAACATATGAGCTGAAAACTGAATGTCCGTTTATTATACAATCAGTATAGTATAATTTTACAGTTCATATCTCGTCTTCTCAATAAGGTGATGATCAATACAGAGATTTGGGCTGAATTCTAACATTCTCTGATTGTGAGATTTTGTTAAGTCACTTCTTGGACCTGCTGTATTGAGTTCCACATCGCTTCTTGCTGTTCTGTCAGGTCCTTGTATCAAGATTTTTGTTTTTATTGTCTGATTATGAAGTGATATTAGCTTGTCAGCATGAAGAATGGGAGGAAGGAAGTGTTGCCCCCTCCTCAACTTCCCAGAAAATAAAATAACTATACTTGCAAGAACCATTAAAAGTATCTGAATTCACTGCTTATATAGCAAGAAAACATCAGTTACAGTTAGAGTCGCCTGCAACTGGATGACAGCAAAATTTTCATTGTCTAATGGTTACTGTATGGTTGACTATTTTAGTTGTTCTCATGTTTTTGAAATAAATATGTATGCTCTATTTGCTATTGGGTACAGTTGTATACATCTCCATTAATTCAAACTGTTTAACTGCCCATTTAATTCTTCTGTAGACTTACTAATGCTTTAGCTACTTATTTAGAATTCACTTATTATTTAGAATGTATAAGTATTTACTTATTGATAATCTAAAAAGTGTCAGGCCCCATGCTGGGCCCTGGAGATTCAATCCTAAACAGGACACAGTTCCTGCCCTAAAGTAGCTCATGGTAGATGACAAATGTCTCAGTACATGAGGTTGTAGACCTTCAATGCCAATTTGTGCTTACTTTGGATTTTTATTTAAAATGTTTAAAAGTATATATTTTATTTAAAATCTCACTTTTTTACTATCAAATATTGATAAAGCAATACTAAAATCTTCCACTATGATTGTGAAGTTATCAAATTCTCCTTTGGATCTGTTAATTTCTGCTTAATACACTTTGACTTTAAGGCTTTACTCTTAGGTACATGGTGGTTCTGATTGTTAAATCTTTCTGATGAGTTCTATTAACTCCTGTAGTGTCTAATCTGCTGTTCAGGCCACACAGTGACATTTTATCTCAGACATTATGGTTTTCATCTCTAGGGGTTCAATTTGGGCCTTTTTTATGTCTTCCATGTCTCTACTTAACATGCTCAGTCTTTCCTCTAGCTTCTCAATCATGTGAAATATACTTACAATAACTTTCAATGTTCTTATTTACTAATTCTGTCATCTGTGCTGTTTCTCAATATGGTTCTATTAATTGATTTTTCTCACTGTTATGGATTATAATTTCCTACTTCTTTGCATACCTAGTAAGTTTTGATTGGATGTCAGACATTGTGTATTTTACCTTGTTAGATGCTGGATGTTTTCATATTCTTATAAATGTCTCAAGCTTTGCTCTGGGACAGAGTTAAATTACTAAAACACAGTTTGATCCTTTCAAGTCTTCTTCTTGTTTTTAATTTCAATAGGTTTTGGGGGGGAACCAGGGATATTTGGTTACATAGATAAGCTCTTTAGTGGTGATTTCTGAGATTTTGGTGCATCCATCACCTGAGCAGTGTACACTGTACCCAATGTGTAGTCTTTTATCCCTCACGCCCTCCCTTCCTTCCCCCGGTCCCCAAAGTCCATTGTATTGTTCTTATGCTTTTGCATCCTCATAGTTTAGCTCCCATTTACAAATGAGAACATACAATGTCCATTCCTGAGTTACTTCACTTAGAATAATGGTCTGCAACTCCATCCAAGTTGCTGCAAATGCCATTATTTTGTTCCTTTTTATGGCTGAGTAGTAGTCCATGGTGCGTGTATACATACATACATTATATATATATATTTAACATTTTCTTTATTTGCTTGTTGATAGGTGGGCATTTGGGCTGGTTCCATATTTTTGCAATTGCAAATTGTGCTGCTATAAACGTTTGTACAAGTGTCTTTTTCATATAATGATGTATTTTCCTCCGGGTAGATACCCAGTAGTGAGATTTCTGGATCAAAAGGTAGATCTACTTTTAGTCCTTTAAGGAAACTCCATACTGTTTTCCATAGTGGTTGAACTAGTTTACTTTCCCACCAGCAGTGTAAAAGCGTTCCCTTTTCACCACATCCATGCCAACATCTATTATTTTTTAATTTTTTAAATTATAGCCATTCTTGTAGGAGTAAGGTGGTATCACACTGTGGCTTTGATTTGCATTTCCCTGATAATTAGTGATGTTCAGTATTTTTTCATATGTTTTTTGGCCATTTGTACATCTTCTTTTGAGAACTGTCAAAAGAAAGACTCATTATGGCAGATGTAATCCTGCACTACCCAAATCTCTCTTCCAGACCAAAGGACCTAATCCTCCAGATGCTGGGTACTGGGAGCTGGGGCTGCTTCTAGAAGACAATGCTCAAATGTCAGAAATGTCAGTCCTCTACAGGAATTGCTCTCGGCTGAATAGTGCTGCTTTACTCACAGGGTCACACTACTTCCTGGAGACAGGCTGCATCCAGTGATTGGTTGATGCAGGACTACAAAGAACCAGTCTTCTCATCCCCATGGTGGACAATTCTAAAGTTCCATGTTCGTCTCAGAGTTCCCCGTGGTAGGATGATCAACTCATCCTAGTTTGCCAGAGACTATCCTGGCTTTAGCATTGAAATTTCCACATCCTAGGAAACTTCCAAGTCCTGGGCAAACCAGGTCATTCTTTTCATGAGGTGGCTGAAGTCTTAGTTGAGACTCCATCATAACTCACCCTCTCCCTCTGCCCAGTCCTGCTTCCACCCCCGACACTGGTGCTGATCCCAAGAGCACTCCCTGATAAGCCTCCTGTGTGCTAATCTGTGTCCCAGTCTACTTCCCAGGGAAACCAACCCACCAGCCGACAACACTCACATCTTTTTAAATTTTATTATAGAAAATTCTTAGATATTCTCCTCTTTAAAGATTGCTTTTTTCATATTCCCTCTTCTTTTCTGCAGGGATGCTCACTAAATGCATGTTGAATCTCTTTTTCCTCCATTTCTCTTAATCACTCTTTTTAAATTTTCCGTTGTCTTCTAACTTTGAATTTACTAATTTTGTCTTCATCTGGGCCTAATTTTCTGTTTAACCCATCTATTGGCTTTTACACCTTAATAACTTCCTTCATCTGGCTTTGAAGACACCATTGTCACCTGGTTTTCTTCCTGTATTTCTGGGTGTTCTGTTTCAGTCTCATTTGCTGGTTCCTCTTCATCTTCCTTACTTCCTAATGATGAAATCCCCAGGGCTCAGTCCTTGGACCTCTTCTCTTTTTTACAATCTCAACCACTTTCCAGATGAAGTCATGAGTCTTATGACTTCAAATACCACAGACATGCTGATAATTTTCAAATTTATGTCTTTAGTTCAGATTTCCCCCCTAAACTCCAGACCCCTATACCTAGCTGGCTAGGAGATATCTCCACTTGGAAGTATGGAGCTCCTGATCTTCATTCCCAAACCCTGCCATTTTTCCTATCTCAGTTAATGAGATTACAGGTGGTACTCAGATATTACAGATGCTCAGTTTAAAAACCTTTAACTCCTCTTTGTCTAACACTGCAAATACTGGAAATCTTATGGGTTTTACCTAAAAATAGATCTGGTCCAAGTCACCATCATTTCTTGCCTGGATTATTGCAGTAGTCTCCTGGCTGGTCTACCTACACTTTATTCTCAATATGGCTGCCAGAGTGATGCTGTGAAATTTAGTCAGATCCTTATGTCCCTCTGCTCAGAACCCACCAGTGGCTCCCTTGTCATTGGAGTAAAACCAAAGTCTTCAGTGTGGCCTGCAAGCCCCTGCATGATTTGGCCCCCTGTTATGTCATGAACTCATCTCCCATTACTTTCTCTCTCGCTCTCTCACACACACACACACACACACACACACACACACTCTACTTCTATCCACACAGCAAGCAAGGCTCCTTGCTGTGACTTAAAAACACCAGGCAGGTTCCCCACTCAGGCCCTTTGTTCTGGCTGCTTCCTCTGCCTGAAAAGTTCTTCCCCATATACCAATTTGGCTTGCTCTCTCACTTTTTCAGGAGTGGAATAAAAATCACTTTCTCAGTGAGGCTTTCTCAGACGCCCTATCTAAAATTTCAACCGCCCCGTCTCCTCTGTTTTCTTTTTTCTTTTTTTTTTTTTGAGACAGGGTCTCACTCTGTCACCCGGGCTGGAGTGCTGGAGTGCAGTGGCACCTGCAGCCTCGACCTCCCAGGCTCAAGTGATCCTCCCACCTCAGCCTCCCCAGTAGCTGAGACTACAGGTGCGCATCGCCACACATGGCCTTAACCCCCTTTTTGATGTTTCATATCCCCCTTCCCTACTTTATTTTTTCTGTGTAGCACTTAGCCCTACCTAACATGCTACGCATTATATTTATTGTGTCTTCTTCATTAAAATGTAAACTCTGCCAGGCATGGTGGCTCATGCCTGTAATCCCAGCACTTTGGGAGGCCGAGGCAGGCAGATTACCTGAGGTCAGGAGTTTGAGGCTAGCCTGGCCAAAATGGCAAAACCCCGTCTCTACTAAAAATACAAAAATTAGCCGGGTGTGGTGGCACACGTCTGTAATCCCAGCTACTCAGGAAGCTGAGGCAGGAGAATCGCTTGAACCTGGGAGGCGGAGGTTGCAGTGAGCCGAGATTGTGCCATTGCACTCCAGCCTGGGTGACAGAGCGAGACACCATCCCCAAAAAAAAAGAAGTAAACTCTACTAGGACAAGGATTTTTGTCTGGTTTGTTCACTGCAATATCCTCAGAGCCTCTGTGTGTCTGGCACATTATATGAGCTCAATAAATATTTGACGAATGAATGAATGAGTGACTCTATTTTTCATTTCTGGAAGTTTGATTTGGTTCTTCCTTCAAATTGGCCTACTTTTATTTAATAGTGTCCTGTTGCTTTTTAATTTATAGTGATTAGTTGCATATGCTCTGGAACTAAACTGCGTGGGTTCAAATCTCAGCTCTGCCACTCTAATAGCTTGTGGTAACCATGAGCAAATTTCCTAATATCTCATCTGTAAAAGAGAGAAAGCAATAGTACCTACTTCACAGGAACTTTGTGAGGATTGAATGAGTTAATATTTTGTGAAGCCCTTAGAACAGCATTATATGTTTGCTATCATTATCATTATCACCATCATTTCTTTAATCATTTAAAGTCAACTTATTATTTATAGCATCCTCTAGATTCTCTATTGACTTTTGGTTAAGTGCCAATTTTTCTGTTTGTTGCATATGCTAACTCTCTACTGATAAAAATCTAATCACCACGGAGCATCAGGAGCCAGTCTGTAGTCTGACCAAATTAGTTATTAACTCAGTCCAGCAAGGGAGGCCACTCCGGGGGAAATGTGGAGTGTCGCTCCAAAGAGGGAAGACAGGAAGCTGCTGAAGGATTCTGAAGATTCTAAGGGAAGTAGGCATCAGTTCTGGATTGGTTGCTCCTACTCTGGTTGGGGGTGGGGTCAGTTAAGAGAAGTGGGGATTAAGTAGGTATTGGGTGCTGCCATGAGGCAGCAGTAGCTCAGCAATGGGCTAACCAGCAATAGGTGGGTATGGCAAAGCTGTCTGGGAGTTTGGTAGGAAAGCAGTCAACGTTCAAAGAGGGGGTCTTTATGGCATTTTACAGCTGCCGACTGACTTTGGGGGAAGCAATGTTCCTGTGAACTTTGCAGCTGGCTTTCTTTATGTCTGTCTTCTTTCTGGCTTGAATTGACAGTTGCTTTTTCTTTTCTTTCTTTTTCCAGTCCAACCTATTTTTCACTCTTTAAATCTTAGACAGGATTTGACTCTCACCAGCATAGTAGGGTGTTTGTAATTTTTTATTGTGAACTTGTCTTCAGCAGGTTGTTTCTCCCAATGGGAATCCTTGAAACTCTTGAGTAGTAACATTTTCTCCGCGGAGATGATTCACACATTTGCTTCTGCCAGAATGCTGAGTGTGTCAATGGCCCTCACTCCTATGCACATGGCATAGGCCCAGGGTTTAGGTTTCTCTGGATGACATTTTCCCCCTCATGTTCCAGACCTTAAACAAATGGTGAGCTTCCTGGCTGATTCCCAGGGCCCATGTCCAGTTTTTCTATCTCCATTTAAGGGGGGAAGAGTGCCACAAGGCCTTATTTATTTATTTATTTATTTATTTATTTATTTTAAGATACGGAGTCTCACTATGTTGCCCAGACTGGCCTCAAACCCCTGGGCTCAAGCGGTCCTCCTGCTTCAGCCTCCCAAGTGGCTAGGACTACAGGCATGTGCCACCATGCCAGCTCAAGGCCTTCAATTTTATGCAGGGCTCGCTGCCTTCCTCCTGTCCTCTCACAGGTATTAGCCCCCGGCCCTAACTCCAGATCCATATTCTTCTGGGCTACTATGACATCAGCTCAGCTAGCTGCTCTGCCTTTGATGGTTCTCTTCATTCCTAGCACCTGGAGATTTATTTGGATTATACTTTATTCCACATCTTCTCTGCATTTGTGCTAGAACTGGGCCTACTTCCACAGTAGTTTCGTTGACTCGGTCCTGATGCTAGGACCTCAATGGTGGTTAAAAGCTCAGGCTCTGGGGACAGACCTGGGTTTAAATCCTGGAGTCCATGGTTATTTTTTCTATGGCTTTGGTAAACTCTTTAAGTGTCCTTCTCTTGTCTGTAAAATGAGAACAATGACATGCCTATTAAATGAGGTAGTAAATACCAAACACATATATAAGAACTCAGTAGCCAGGAGCGGTGGCTCACGCCTATAAGCCCAGCACTTTAGGAGGCAGAGGCAGGTGGATCACCCGAGGTCAGGAGTTCAAGACCAGCATGGCCAAAATGGCGAAACCCTGTCTCTACTAAAAATACAAAAATTAGCTGGGTGTGGTGGCATGTGCCTGTAATCCCAGCTACTCAGGAGGCTGAGGCAGGAGAATTGCTTAAATCCAGCAGGCAGAGGTTGCAGGGAGCTGAGATCACACCACTGCTCTCCAGCCTGGGTGACAGAGCAAGACTCTGTCTCAAACAAAAACAAAAACAAAAACAAAACTCAATAGATACCATTATTATTATTACTATCAATATAGAAAATTAAAGAAATAAAAAAGAACAAGAAAGACAATAGTGTGTGCCACCTGGTGGCAAGACTTACCTCCCAAATCAGGAGGTCTTCCTCCATCCATCTTGGACACATTCTACCTATAAATACAGAATCCTTACCCATTCAGTTGCCCCCCAAAAGCCTTTGATTTCCTCAGGATGGTTCCGAAAAACACCTTCCTCTTGTTACTTTACCCGGAACATGGCTTAAGTCTTTGGCTGCTGGAGATGGAAGATCTGCCTTTGAATATGAGAGTTCTGACCAGCTACTTCTGTGTTCTGTGTTTTGTGATGTGTTGTGTCAGTGGGTTAGTGTTTTACTGCTTCCTCTTAAGTAGAAGAATAACTTTCTTTTTGGTGACTTCTGAAACAGAACGTCCCCCTCCCCAAGACACACAAGTGTGCATATACAGGCACACATCAACCAGGCAGTATGCCGAGGTCATAACACTTCATTCATAACACCATTAAATTATAATCTAACCTTTAAATTATAGTTAAGATGATCATCAGCAGTGCAATGCCATGTGAGCTACACATATTTATTCCCCACATGTCTGATTTTGGAAATCCGACATCTTCTCTAAATGAGTGCACCTTCCTCTCAATGCTCACTTTCTCAATAAAGATAAATGCATCATCTACACACATACTCAGTTTCTATCCCTAAATTTTCCAGCCAGGGAAATCTAATAACTGTTTTATATATCCAAGGATATCTATGTGTCTAGCTATCTCATGCTTCTGGAATTCTACATTCACATATTATGAAGACTAAATGGAAAAGCCCGCATGGATGTATCTAGCCCTCAGTTGGTACTCAGTCAGCCCTCAATAAATGTTGGAATTGAACATGTCCCTAGCCTCTACATACTGATGCTATCTAAGGTAGATTTTTTAAATATGCAAATAATAAATTCCCTAGTGCATTTTTTTCAAAAGTTTCATATATATGTGTGTGCATATATGTATATTATATGCATGTGTATGTATATGTTGGCCTGCCAGTCACTTTTTCTGTTTCTCAAATGAGTCAGCGTAAGCTCTGGGAAGCCAAGAGTGATTTATATTCTGTACTCAGAGTCCTCCCCCACCAGAAGGTCTTACACTTTGCATAGATTCTTCTTATACACATGATGATGTTCAGGGCTGGCTTTGGTGTATCATAGTGAACCTTAAGGGGCCTAGGGGGAATTGTGTTTTTCCCCACTCCATGACAAATATTACAGATAGGCCCACTCAGCTCCATTCCGACTCCCAGCAAAACTTTGAAATGCATTGTTCTGAGCTATAAGTGGTTGAGAATACCCTACAATGGGTTATATGTTCCCAAGGTTGATCAACTTTTATAGGATTCCAGGGCAGAAACAAGTGGGGGTAATTTTTCCGCTAATATGCCTTGCTAAATGCTTCAGATAAAAAGAGAAAGACTATTAATTTCCTAGACTCCTTTAGAGCTGAGTTCTGAGTCCATCAAGGAAACTCACTTGGGAGTTTGGAAGACAGATATAAGGTGGGGGCCACAGTTCTGCTATTCTCTGTCATTCTCCTGGCATGCACATGTGTGGAGATAAATGGAGTTCTGTGACAGAAGTGGGAAGAGTCCCAGTGTCTGGTTCTTAGCTTTGTGGGTGTCAGGAACGATGTGATCCTAGTATTTCTGGTATTTCCTGATTCTCCAACTTATTGTAGTGACAGAAGAAGCAGCTCCCTTATGGGCCACTTCTGCCATCTTGTTCTGGGGAGTCATTCTTGGAAGGTCACCGTAGGGCTCTTCCTACAGCCCCTCAAACAATTTTTTAAGTACCTATTTCTCTTGTCAAGGAATCATTTGTTTAAGTTAGCCCTAGTGGTTTCTGCAACTGAACCCTGATGGATAGACCCTAGAAACACCCCTTCCTCTCACATCCCCATGCTATCTCAACCCAGGCTGGTGACTGTAACTGTAGCTGGAAAATTCTGCCTTTGAATCCTGTAGAAGCTTATCAACATAGGGAACATATAACGCCATGTAGGACATGCTCGATCACTTATAGATCTGAACAATACACTTAGAAGTTTTGTCCTGGGAAAAAGCTTTGACTGTGTGGAAAAAAAGAAAGAAACAAAAAGGATTATGGGTGTAGTGGGCACCTTTTTTTTTTTTTTTTTTTTTTGAGACAGAGTCTTGCTCTGTTGCCTAGGCTGGAGTGCAGTGGCACGATCTCGGCTCACTGCAAGCCCACCTCCCGGGTTCACAATATTCTCCTGCCTCAGCCCCCCAAGTAGCTGGGACTACAGGCGCCTGCCACCACGCCCGGCTAATTTTTTGTATTTTTTTTTTTAGTAGAGACGAGGTTTCACCATGTTGGCCAGGATGGTCTTGATCTCCTGACTTCATGATCCGCCTGCCTCGGCCTCCCAAAGTGCTGGGATTACAGGCGTGAGCCACTGCGCCTGGCCTTAGTGGGCACCTTTTTAGAGGAGTTGCCACTGCAGGAGACAACCAGGTACTGAGCCGGAAGATAAACGTTGCCACCTCCATGCTTTTACCCCACACCTTCCCCTGATGATTGTGGCATTTGGTTTTACAGCAGAGTGTCACCATCAGGGAAACCAAGTAACTGGGAAAGTGGCTGGAAAAGTCACCCATCCCAACCACCCTCCTTGCCTGAATCTGCAGCCATGATGCAAATTTTCCAAAATGCTCTGTTTAGCAAGAGTTGGCTGTGAGTTCTAAAGAAAAAAAACCCTAATAGTATTTTTGTTCTCATCCTAAGTGTTCTTGCAGGGGAAGTATTTTTTTTTTTAATTTAAAAATAAAATGTAGTTATTTTTATTTAAGACAATTCCCCATCTTGAACACATTTACATTTTTTTCTTCCCCCATTTACAGCCTATTTCCTGAAAAATGTTGAGAAGATTTAAGTGTCTAATATTTTCCAAGGCCATCTCATGATTCATCAGTTTATTGTTTGTTAAGTATCAGCCTCAAGAAACTGGCTTAAATGGGAATGTTGATCTGGATTTTCTCCTCTGATTTACTTCACAGATGACGGGAGAATGAATTAAAAGATTAAAAAGTCAACATTTTGCTGAGTCCTTTGAATAACAAAGAGGTCCTGTAAGAACCAAGTGAGGCTAAATAGGCAATCCTTGTCCTGTGATATAGCATCACATATTAATAGAATTTGTGACAGGAGGGAGGGGGGCGGGCGCAGTAGCTCATGCCTATAATCCCAGCACTTTGGGAGGCCAAGGTGGACAGATCACCTGATGTCGGGAGTTCACGACCAGCCTGATCAACATGGAAAAACCCCGCCTCTACTAAAAATACAAAATTAGCCGGGCGTGGTGGCACATGCCTGTAATCGCAGCTACTCGGGAGGCTGAGACAGGAGAATCGCTTGAACCTAGGAGGTGGAGGCTGTGGTGAACTGAGATCGCGCCATTGCACTCCAGCCTGGGCAATAAGAGTGAAACTCCATCTCAAAAAAAAAAAAATATATATATATATAGAATTTGTGACCGGAGGGGCCTTAGGACCTGTCACCTAATTTCACAGAAGAAGAAACTGAGCCCTAAAGAAGGGAAATGACTAACTCAGGATTGCCAGTGACCAGTGGCAGAGCTGGGAGTAGAATTCAGGTCTCCTGAGGTTCACCCTCCGGTGCTTTCTCTCCTGTCTTGCTTATTTTCATGTGAACCCTTTTTGATCACACTTCCCTTTCCTGCTTTCCAGCCTTTTGATCACACTTCTACTTTCCTGCTTTTCAGCCTGAGTATGTCTACTTATGAGAAATACAGAGATCATTTAAGGAGCTGAGAATTTCCTTCTCACTTAGAGCTCCATAGAAGTCAGGACTCCCATTCACATGGAACAGATGAGAAAGAAAAAAGTTCAGAAGGGAGTTTCACTTGCCAGAGTCCACACAGCTACGGTTAGACCTCAGACCTCCTGAACAACCAAGCCGATGTCCTTCCCAACACATTAAAACAGGTGGGCTAAATAGGTGGCCTGGTACATTACATGAATGTACTGTTCTTTTGTTTAAAGAAGTGTGTGGGAAACAGAATTTGGTCTAATTAAAGGCCGTTGGGGGTGGATTAATGAAGTACAAAAAGGGCCTCATTAAAAGAAGCTGTCTTCTAAAAGGCAAGCCAATGGCAGTTATCTTTCCAAAGTGAACATTAGAAAGTGGTTCCTGTGTAATTTTCCAATCATTTAACTTAAAGATTCCTATCTATTGATACATGAGGGTCTGCATGTACTTTTGTGATGGCTTGAACCAAGGTTGACTTGAGCAAAAAGCTGCTCAAGGCCAGTGATCATTGTTTAAATTATGAAAGTAATATAAGCACATTACAGATCTTTGGAAAGTTCAGGAGGGAAAAAAATGTACCCATGGTTCTACCATCCAGCATGGTATTGTTATTATTTTGTACATTCCCTTTCTGTCTTCTCATCAGAAGTGTCTTTACGCAGTTTTAAATGGTCTTCCTCTAATTTTCATAGCATACTATGACCTTGTATTACACTTTCCCCTGTGACATTAGATCATAAACATTTTTCTCGTAGATTTTGTCTTCATGAGCATCACATCTAATGGCTGCAAAAAGGTCCACCTCATGGGGGTCCCATAAGGTGCTCGTGATTCTCTAGAGGATTCATGAACATCTTTCCAGGGGGGGGTCACATTGTCAAAGACAGCAATGGCATTTGTTTTAATTTCAAAAAATAAAAAGTAGCTCAGTTTTTAATTTGAAACATTGCCCCTTTAAAGCTGAGCAGCATGAGAGCCTCTGGATGTGTGTCACGTGGATACACACAGGGTTAGTGGAGATGATAAGCCAGTGCCTCAGTCCATACCCCGCTCAGCACAACACACTGGGGACTAACACCTAAGAAGTCTATTGGACTGTTATAAATTCCACACGGACTCATGCTATAACATGGATGAACCTTAAAAACATTATGCTGGCCAGGTGCGGTGGCTCACGCCTGTAATCCCAGCACTTTGGGAGGTCGAGATGGGTGGATCACCTGAGGTCAGGAGTTTGAGACCAGCCTGGCCAACATGGTGAAACCCCATCTCTACTAAAAATACAAAAATTAGCCGGGCATAGTGGTGGGTGCCTGTAATCCCAGCTACTCAGGAGTCTGAGGCAGGAGAATTGCTTGAACTCGGGAGGGTGGAGGTTGCAGTGAGCTGAGATTGCACCACTGCACTCCAGCCTGGATGGCAGAGTGAGACGTGTCTCAAAAAAAAAAAAAAAAAAAAAAAAGAAAGAAATTTAGGGGACACATTCAAACTATAGCAAGGAACAATTCATTTACTGGGAATAATGATTATCCATACCCCAATTCCATTTCCAAATGTACTTGTAGAAAATTGTTTGCAAATGACAGCCTGAAATCTCTCATCTCTTTGTTTTGAAACAAAACATAAAATGTCCAAAAATAAAACAGTTGAGATCCGTTTGTGATTCATAAGGGTGATGATTGGGTTTTCATGCTAATATGTGAGATGTGACTCCTTCAAACTTCCTTGTTATGACATCAGCACATTACTCATCTGATGTGAAAAGAAATTTTTAATTTAAAAAAGTTGATATTTTAAGCTAAAATGCAAAAATTCTAAACACTAGGCAATCACAATAGCTTTTGTCCATTTGACTGCCATAGCATGTAGTTACTTTTATTTTATTTTAGAGACAGAGTCTTACTTTGTTGCCCAGGCTGTAGTGCAGTGGTTTGATCTTGGCTCACTGCAACCTCTGCCTCCTGAGTTCAAGTGATTCTTATGCCTCAGCCTCGAGAGAAGCTGGGGTTACAGGCGTGTGCTACCACGCCCAGCTAATTTTTTTTTTTTTTTTTTTTTTTTAGACGGAGTCTCGCTCTGTCGCCCAGGCTGGAGTGCAGTGGCGCGATCTCGGCTCACTGCAAGCTCCACCTCCCGGGTTCACGCCATTCTCCTGCCTCAGCCTCCGGAATAGCTGGGACTACAGGCGCCCGCCACCACTCCCGGCTAATTTTTATGTTTTTTTTTTTTTTTTAGTGGAGGTGGGGTTTCACCATGTTGGCCGGGATGGTCTCCATCTCCTGACCTCGTGATCCACCCACCTCGGCCTCCCAAAGAGCTGGGATTACAGGGGTGAGCCACAGCGCCCGGCCATTTTTGTATTTTTAGTAGAAACGAGATTTCACCATGTTAGCCAGGCTGGTCTTGAACTCCTGACCTCAGGTGATCCACCCACCTTAGCCTCCCAAAGTGTTGGGATTACAGGCATGAGCCACCTCGCCCAGCTGCATGTAGTTACTTTTAATCTATACTGAATATAGGCTTGGTCCCTAAACTAACCATAATAAACAATTCCATTTCGAAATGTAAATCACAAATTATATTTTGTCTTACATAATTGATTTAAAGTATGTGTCATGTTAAACAGAAAGTTGAATTTTGTCTTAATAACATGAATATTATTGGATTATATTAAATTAATATTTTTTGTAGAATTGTAATACTTTTTTAAACATAAACAATTTTACAAAAAATTGTAAAACATATATCAATGAGCTAATATTTATAAGTGTAATATTCTAAATATTTTTGAAGTGCCTGTAACAATGCCTAGAACAGTGCCTGGTACATAATAAGCATTATATGTGTCTGTTAAATAAAAAGAAAACGAAATTATAAAATATTTTAAAATACTACAAGTTTTATAAGTATATTTATATATATGAATTGATAAAGAACATTTGCATAGTAAAAAATATATATACATTGGAAAATGCAGATTTATGTAATCACTCCCCCATTGTTGGCTATTCAGGTTACTGCCAGTGTCTTTTTTAAAGGATTACTATGGTGAACATTTTTCAAGCGTAAAGTTTCAGTAGTTTATGTTATTTTCTTAAGGTATCTTCACAGAATTGGATAACCGGTGCAAAAGTTGTGATGACATGTATTACTTTCTATATGTGTCATAGTTGCTAATATTATCTTAGTGGCACTTAGCATAAGGAAAATATAATGCCCCAACTCTGCGTCAGGCTCTGTTGCAAGAGGCTTTACCAAACTTATTGCTATGGTTGGAATATTTATTTCCTCCAAAACTTTGTTGGAATTTAATCCACAACATGGCAATATTGAGGAGGGGGTCTTTAAGAGGTGACTGGGTTATGAGGTCTCTGCTCTCATGAAGGGATTAGTTGATCGGTGGGTTAATGGATTAACGGGCTATCCTGGGAGTAGGACTGGTGGCTTTATTAGAAGAGGAAGAGAGACCTGAACTAGCATGCTCAGCCCCCTCGCCATGTGATGCCCTATGCCACCTTGGGGCTCTGCAGAGTCCTCACCAGCAAGAAGGCCCTCACCAGATGTGGCCCCTTGACCTTGGACTTCTCAGCCTCCATAACTATAAGAAATATTTTTTTTTCTTTATAAATTACCCAGATTCAGGTATTCTGTTATAACCAACAGAAAATGGGCTGGGCACGGTAGCTCACGCCTATAATTCCAGCCCTTTGGGAGGTCAAGGTGAGTGGATCACTTGTGGCCAGGAGTTTGAGACCAGCCTGGCAAACAACCTCCTTACTAAAAATACAAAAATTAGCTGGGCATGGTGGCACATGCCTGTAATCCCAGATACTCAGGTGACTGAGCCACGAGAATTGCTTGAACCCAGAAGGGGGAAGTTGCAGTGAGCTGAGATGGCATTACTGCACTCTAGCCTGGCTGACAGAGCGAGACAAAAAAAAAAAAAGGGCAATAGAAAATGGACGAAGACACTCATCTTTATGGATCTTCATGATAATTCTGTTGGGTAGGAGGTAGTATTATCATTCTTATTTTCTAGATGAATCAACTGAGACTCAAAGAGTTGAATCACAATGACCTGATGTCTAGGAGGGAACACTGAGTTTCAACTGCAAGTACACCAAGTAGGAAAGACTGTCTTGTGGTAAATTTCTTTCTCTTGGCTAAAAGTAGGGGGTGATATCGGGTCAATTTGTTATTGTCACCTACAAGAGAGATGGAAAAGGCTTCTACATTATCATGAACTTGAGAATCTTACAGTTAAAAATTGGAAAGATGAAAAATGGGGTGGAGAGTGGGGCAAGAGTGATTGGTAGGATTACTTGGTGTATCAGTTTCCTTGGGCATCCATCACAAAGTACCACAAACTGGGACGCTTAAACAATAGATATTTATTCTCTTATAGTTTTGAAGGCTGGAAGTCCAAAATCAAGGTGTCAGCAGGCACCTGCTCTCTCTGAAGGCTCTAGTTTCAGGTGGTTACTGTCAGTCTCTGGCATGGCTTGGCTTGTGCATGCATCACTCTAATCTCTGTCTTCACATGGTCTTCTCCCCACTGGGAAGACAGAGATAGTGATTTGGACACAGACACCAAGTCTCTGTGTAAAGACACTATTTCCAAATAAGATTCTGGGTGAACATGAATTGTGCAGGGTTACTATTTTTAACCCAGTACTGTACACTTGGGTAGGAGAAGCCTGATACTTCTGCCCCTTCCCACTTTCTACTTTGTGCATGCAGTGGCTAGCAGAGGTATCTCTGCTCTCAGAAGTGAGGGGAAATCCTTATGTCCCTAGGCAATGTCTTAGTAGGCTGCTGACACCCAGAAGAAACAGTCTCTTCAGACTCAGAAGGCTACATATAGGCCCATCCCCATCATCTTCCTCTACAGTTGCTGGAAGAAGGCTGCAATAAATAGCTCCCATAGTTGGGGCAACAGAGAATCTCAAAGGAAAAGATGTGCACAGAGCCAAGAATTACTAACACATCGTAAAAGAGAAGAACAAAATGAAACAAATGACTAGTACCTGAGAAACAGATCATAGAACTCACAGAAGGGGATTTTAAGAGAAGTATAATGAACCTTTCATCACAGGGATAAAAGACAATTGAATCCATAAGACAAGGAGGAAATTATGAAAAAGTATCAAATAGAGATCTTGGAAGTGAAAAGTATTCAGAAGAGAGGGAAATGGTAAAATGAATACAAATGAAGAGCTGTTTATTGAGCTGGAAACAATAGCTGAGGGATTCTCCCAGAATGTAGTATAACAGGACAGAGAAAAATTATGAAAGAAATGTTTAGAAACATGGAGGGTAGAACCAGAAGCTCCCAAATCTATCAATTCACATTCCAGAAGAAAATAAAAGCAGAAAATATGAGAGAGAGGAAAAATTAAAAACATATTAAAAGAAAAATTTCCAGAGTTGAATAAAAGCACAAATCTTCAGGTTGAAAACTGAGTAGGATGAATAGAAATGACTACACTTAGATACACACAGTGAAATTTTAGAACAAGTGTAAGGAGAAATTCTAAAAGCATCCAAAGATTTTTAAAATTTTTTCTGCAAAGACTAATATCAGAATTCTCAGTAAAAATGCATTGCATACAAGAAGGCAATATAAAATACATCTTCAACATTTTGAGAGAACATGGTTACAAACCTAGAATTCTATTTTTTTTTTTTTTTTTTTTTGAGACGGAGTCTCTCTCTGTCGCCCAGGCTGGAGTGCAGTGGTGTGATCTCGGCTCACTGAAAGCTCCACCTCCTGGGTTCACACCATTCTTCTGCCTCAGCCTCCCAAGTAGCTGGGACTCCAGGCGCCCACCACCACGCCCACCTAATTTTTTGTATTTTTAGTAGAGACGGGGTTTCACCGTGTTAGCCAGGATGGTCTTGATCTCCTGACCTCGTGATCCACCCACCTCGACCTCCCAAAGTGCTGGGATTACGGGCGTGAGCCACTGTGCCCAGCCACAAATCTAGAATTCTATACCCATCTAAACTATTATTTAAGTGTAAATGCAAAAAAAAAATACATTTATAAATATTCAAGGATCTGGAAAATTTACCATCCACAATGAATTAAGAGAGAATGAACTTAACCAGAAAACAAAAACAAAACAAAACAAACAAGAAGAAGAGAAATACACGAAACAGTATCTTATTGAAGAAATCAGTAAAATTTATTGTAAAACTCATATAAGTTAGGATAACCACTAGAAGTAGTAACAGGTGCAAGTTTTAAATTTTGAGAAGGACAAAATAAGATGAAGAAAACTCACCAATTTTGCAAAAGACAAAAGGAAATTAAAAAAATCCAGGACAAGTAGAAAAGACAAATAAAATGAGAGGAATAGTTCAGATGTCTCAATATCACATTAAATATGATTGGGTTAAGCCCATGGATAAAAGGAGAATTTTAGATTGGATGTTTGAAAACTTAAACATTATAAGAGACACATCTAAAACAAAATCATCTGAGAAGTTTGAAAATAAAGTGATGGAAAAGGATATTTCAATGAAAAAATGTGTGATTATATTTAAATCAGATAAAATGGAATTCAAGGAAGGTTTAGAAAGTGGATCTACCCAGTAGTAGTCAGCACCCCTGGTAGCTAGATAATAGTTTCTAAACATCGTTTCACACATACACATGAAATCAATGTTCACTTGAAAAAAGGCTGATTCCAGGTCTGGGACAAGAAATATACAAGAGGAGCCTGGACCAACATGTCATATCTGAGGCAAGAAAGCTGAAGACTACAGAGAGTGTCAAAACTACTTAGGAAACAACTTGAAGAGGCTCCTACTGGCTAAAGATGCAGCAATCATGCATTAATAAAAATGATAATTGCAATGATTAAAACACTTCAAATATACTCAAGTTTATGAATATGGAAATGAAATAATTTTTTTAAAAAACCCTTATTGGCCACTTTCTATTAAAAAAAAAACAGGGAACTGAGGAACATGTTAAACACTATCACAGAAAGATAATCAGCAAAATCCAGTCTGCAGGAAATTCTACAGAACAAATGACCCAAAATATATATTCCAAGCAAAAAAGAAAGTGTGTATTTGTGTGTGTGGTCAGGGAGGATTACAGACTAAGAGTTACCTAAAAAACATCACTCGATTGCATGTATGAATCTTAACTGAATCTTTTTTTTTTTAACATAAACTCAAGATTTGATTGTCTTCATAATAAAACAAAAGATGATACTCAGAACTATATCACTTGGCCCCCCTTTTCTTCTTATCTCCTCCCAGTTCAAAATGCTCGCATATCTTAATAGCCAGCATTCTCTTAGATATGCAGTTGGGCTCAACGCGCTCAAGCCTTAGCACTGTCTTCTTTGTAGTTTTAGCCTTTTTTTGGAAAATCCGCTTAGTCTGTCCATCATAGCCACTATGCTTCCCATCATAAGGCTGTTTTCCCTGGGCATATAGACAATTCTTGCCCTTCTTGTACTGTGTCACTTTGTGGGGTTGGTGCTTGCCACACTTCTTACAGAAAATCCACTGAGTTTTAGGAACACTCACAATGTTTGCAGGAGCATTATTGGCACAGAAAGCTGAATGTTGATATAAACAAATACATTGGGCCCTCAAGGTGGCTCATGCCTGTAATCCCAACACTATGGGAGGCCGAGGATTGCTTGAGCCCAGGAGTTCAAGACTAGTCTGGGCAAAATAGTGAGACCCAGTCTCTAAAAAAAAAATAATAATAGTAATAAGCAAAAAGAAAGTTTACATAATTCGCTACATGCACAAATTAAAGCATCTGATTATATCAATAAATACTAAAAAAAATTGACAAAATTTAACCCCTGTTAAGATTTTTAAAAGACTTGCAGTAGCTTGCTATAGAAGGGAAATTTCCTATCTTAATTAAGGGGCCTACCAAAAACCTATGGCTGTCACCATACTTTGTGGTGAATTTAGAGGTAATCCTATTACCTCAGGAATGGGACAAGGATGCTTGCTTTCATGCTGCTAGACAACACCAAACTGGATGATCTAGTCAATGCAATAAAATAAGAAAAATAAATAAGAAACCTATAAATGATATTTTCATCTACAAATAACAGAAAAACCAATTTGAAATAGTTTATACAATAAATACATTTTATTATCTCACATAATAATTTCTGGCTCTCTTCTTTCTTCTCTGGCCCTGTGAAGATGTGCCTTGCTTCCCTTTTACCTTCCACCATGATTTGAGTTTGGTTTACCCGAACAGTAACGTGCACTTGCTGTAAGTGGTAGAGCCCACCTACATTAGGCTGATGATTTATTGTTGAAGTCAAAAAAATTGGTGAGGGAAGATGGCGGATAGGAGATAGGGCTGACGTGCAGCTCCCATTTGTATGGACAGAACAGTGTATGGAAACTCCTGTCATGGACTTTTGCTCCAGGAACCACCGCAGGAGTGTACTAGGAAAACTGAAAGAAATCACAGATCCTTTGAAAGCAGCAGCAGGCTGCTGCAAATTCCATGAGACAGGCCAAAAGCTCTAGTGCTCTCTCAAAAGTGCCACCTCCTGGCTGGAGGCCAACCAGCTCAGGACGTTACAGCAATTCATGACAGAACAACCCTGCTGAAGTGGTGGACTTCAGTACTCCACTGACAGCAAAGACAGGTCATCAAGACAGGAAGTCAACAAAAGACCAATGGACTTAAATTATACCTCAGAACAAGTGAACTTAACAGATATTTACGGAACATTCTACCCAACAACTGCACATGGAAAATTCTCCAAGATAGACAATATCATAAGCCACAAAACAAGTCTCAATAAAATTAAGAAGATTGAAATTATATCAAGTACCCTCTCAGAACACAGTAGAATAAAGTTGGAAAGTAACTCCAAAAGGAACCCTCAAAACTATACAAATACACGGAAATTAAATAATCTGCTCCTGAATGATCTTTGGGTCAATAATGAAATCAAGATGGAAATTAAACAATTCTTTGAACTGAAAGATAATAGTGACACAACTTATCAAAACCTCTGGGACACAGCAAAAGTGGTGCTAAGAGGAAAGTTCATAGCATTAAATGCTTATATCAAAAAGTCTAAAAGAGCACAAATAGACAATCTAAGGTCAGACCTCAAGGAACTAGAGAAACAATAACAAACCAAACCCAAACCCAGCAGAATAAAATAAATAACAAAGATCAGAGCAGAACTAAATGAAATTGAAACAAAAAATACAAAAGATAGAAGAAATAAAAAGCTGGTTCTTTGAAAAGATAAAAAAATTGATAGACCATTGGTGAGATTAACCAAGAAAAGGAGAGAAGATCCAAATAAGCTCAGTTAGAAACAAAACAAGAGATATTACAACCAATACCACAGAAATAAAAAAAGATCATTCAAGGCTACTATGAACACCTTTATGCACACAAACTGGAAAATTTAGAGAAGATGGATAAATTTCTGTAAATATACAACCCTCCTGGATTAAATAGAAATAGGAAGAAGTAGAAACTGAACAGAACAATAACAAGTAGAGAGATTGAAACAGTAATTTAAAAATTTCCAACAGTAACAAAAAAAGGCCAGGTCCTGATGGATTCACAGATGAATTCTATCAGGCATTCAAGGAAGAATTGGTACCAATCTTACTGAAACTATTCCAAAAGACAGAGAAACAGGGACTCCTCCCTAAATCATTCTATGAAACCAGTATCACCTTAATACCAAAACTGGGAAAGGACATAACAAAAAAAGAAAACCACAGGCCAATATCCCTAATGAACATAGATGCAAACATCCTAAAAAAAAATACTAGCTAACCAAATCCAATGGCATATCAAAAAGATAACACACCGTGATTGAGTGGGTTTCATACTAGGGATGCAGGGATGATTTAACATATGCAAGTTAATAAATGTGATGCATCACATAAACAGAATTAAAAGCAAAAGCCCTATGATCATCTCAAGAGATGCAGAAAAAGCAGTTGACAAAATCCAGCACCTTTATGATTAAAACCCTCAGCAAAATTGGCATAGAAGGAACATACCTCAAAGTAATAAAAGCTGTCTATGACAAACCCACAGCCAACATTATACTGAATGGGGAAAAGTTGAAAGCATTCCCCCTGAGAACTGGAATGAGACAAGGATGCCCACTTTCACCACTTCTGTTCAACAGAGTACTAGAAGTCCTAGCCAGAGCAATCAGACAAGAGAAAGAAATAAAGGGCATCCAAACCAGTAAAGGGGAAGTCAAACTATCACTGTTTGCCAATGATATGATTGTATACCTAGAAAACCCTAAAGATTAATCCAAAAAGCTCCTAGAGCTGATAAATGAATTCAGCAAAATTTTAGGATACAAAATAAATGTACACAAATCAGTAACACTGTTATACACCAATATACAACAATGACCAAGCTGAGAAGCAAATCAATAACTCAACCCCTTTTACAACAACTGCAAAATAAAATAAAATATTTAGCAATATACCTAACCAAGGAGGTGAAAGATCTCTACAAGGAAAACTATAAAACGCTGCTGAAAAATCATAGATGACACAAACAAATGAAAACACATCCCATGCTCATGGATGGGTAGAATCAATATTGTGAAAATGACTATACTGCCAAAAACAATCTACAAATTCGATGCAATTCCCATCAAAATACCATCAATATTTTTCACAGAACTAGAAAAAACAATCCTAAAATTATATGGAAGCAAAAAAGAGACCTCATAGCTAAAGCAAGACTAAGCAAAAAGAACAAATCTGGAGGCATCACATTACCAGACTTCAAACTACACTACAAGACTATAGCCACCAAAACAGCATGGTACTGGTGTGAAAATAGGCACATAGGCCAATGGAACAGAATAGAGAACCCAGAAATAAAGCCAAATACTTACAGCCAACTGACCTTTGACAAAGCAAACAAAAACATAAAGTGGGAAGAAGACATCCTATTCAACAATGGTGCTGGGATAATTGGTTAGCCACATGCAGAAGAATGAAGTTGGATCCTCATCTCTCACGTTATACAAAAATCAACTCAAGATGGATAAAAGACTTAAATCTAAGACCTGAAACCATAAAAATTCTAGAAGATAACATCAGAAAAACTCTTCTAGACATTGGCTTAGGCAAAGAGTTCATGACCCAGAACCCAAAACCAAATGCAACAAAAACAAAGATAAATAGATGGGACCTAATAAAACTGAAAAGTTTCTGCACAGCAAAAGAAATAATCAGTAGAGTAAAACAGAGAACCCACAGAGTGGGGGAAAATATTTGCAAACTATGCATCCAACAAAGGACTTATATCCAGGATCTACAAGGACCTCAAACAAATCAGCAAGAAAAAAACAAATAATCCCATCGAAAAGTGGGCAAAAGATGTGAATAGACAATTCCCCAAAGAATATATTCAAATGGCCAAGAAACATGAAAAAAATGTTCAACATCACTAATTATCAATGGTCAAATTTGACCTGGAAATTTGACCAACCAAGTCAAAGGGTAAATGCATTGTAAATTACAGAAATATTAAATTCCCTTCTATTATGGTTATACCATCTTTCAGGCCCACTGGCAATGTATGAGATTACCTTATTCCCCATATATTATTCCCCATTATTATTAATATTCCCCATTATTATTCCCCATATATTCTGTTAGCTCTTCTAAAGCTGTTCAACTTTTGGATTTTTTTCTGATCTAATAAATAAAAATCACAATGTAACACCACCTTACTCTTGCAAGAATGGCCATATTTTAAAAAATCAAAAAATAACAGATGTTGGCATGGATGTGGTGAAAAGGGAACACTTTTACACTGCTGGTTTAAAGGGTAGTTCAACCACTTTGGAAAACAGTATGGAGATTCCTTAAAGAACTAAAAGTAGAACCATCCTTCGATCCAGCAATCCCACTCCTGGGTATCTGCCCAGAGGAAAGCAAGTCATTATATGAGAAAGACACTTGCACATGCATGTTTACAGCAGCACAATTCACAGCTGCAAAAATATGGAACCAGCCTAAATGCCCATCAACCAATGAGTGAATAAAGAAAACGTGGTATATATATATACCATAGAATACTACTCAGCCATAGAAAGGAATGAAATAATGGCATTCACAGCAACCTGTGTGGAGTTGGAGACCATTATTTTAAGTGAGGTAACTCAGGAATGAAAAACCAAACATCATATGTTCTCACTTATAAGTGGGGGCTAAGCTATGAGGAACGCAAAGGCATGAGAATGATATAATGGACTTTGGGGACTCAGGGGGAAGGGTGGAAGGGGGATGAGGGGTAAAAGACTACATATGGGGTACAGTATACACTGCTCAGGTGATGGGTGCACCAAAATCTCAGTAATTACTACTGCAGAACTTTTCCATGCAACCAAACCCCACCTGTTCCCTCAAAACTATTGAAATAAAATAAAAACACAAAGAAATCCTGAGGTAGGGAGTGTCCAGAGTTGGTTAATTCAGAGGTTTACTGACATCATTAAAGACCCAAGGCTGGGCGCGGTGGCTCACGCTTGTAATCCCAGCACTTTGAGTGGCCGAGGTGGGTGTATCAGGTCAGGAGTTCGAGACCAGCCTGGCCAACATGGTGAAACTCCATCTCTACTAAAAATACAAAAATAGGCTAGGCGTGGTGGCGCGCTAGTCCCAGGGCTCAGGAGGCTGAGGCAGGAGAATTGCTTGAACCCGAGAAGCGGAGCTTGCAGTGAGCCGAGATCACTGTCGCCTGGGTGACGAGAGCGACACTCTGTCTAAAAAAAAAAAAAAAAAAAAAAAAAAAAAAAACCCAGGTTCTTTCTATTTTTACCTGTACTATTCTATTCCAGGAATGTGAGGTTTGTGGCTCTCCAGCTTGCCCCTCCCAAGGAAACAAGATGGCTCCCACAGTTCCAGGCATCCTATGTAAGCATGTTAAGCGGAAGTGATGTCAACTTCTGTTTGTCTCTTTTCAAGAGTAAGGAAATCTTTCCCAGAAGTCCCCGGGATATTTTGTCACATCTCATTAGTCAGAACTAGGTCACACACGCATTCTAGAACTATGGAATGGAGTTCCCAGTGGGCCCAGGATGGACATTTTGTGGGGGAAAGAAAAAAAATCTAGGCGGTTAGACCGCTGAGATTTTGGTGTGTTTGTTACTGCAACATAACGTAGCCCATCCTGATTTAACAAAACCTAAAGTAAGGCCATAGCTGGGTGTGGTGGCACACGACTGTAATTCCAGCTACTCGGGAGGCTGAGGGAGGAGAATCGCTTGAATCTGGGAGGTAGCAGAGTTTGCAGTGAGCCAAGATCTTATCACTGCACTCCAGCCTGAGCAACAAAAGCAAAGCTCCATCTCAAAAATAAATAAATAAAATAAATAAAATTAGGCCAGATGCAGTGGCTCACTCCTGTAATCCCAGCACATTGGGAGTCTGAGGCCTGAGGATCACTTGAGCCCAGGAGTTGGAGACCAGCCTGGGCAAAATAGCCGAGACCCTGTCTCTTAAAAAAATGTTTTTTAATTAGTACACCTGTAGTCCCAGCTACTTGGGGGGCTGAGGTGGGAGGATCGATTGAGCTGGGGAAGTTGAGGCTGCAGTGAGCTATGGTCGTGCCATTGCACTCCAGTTTGGGCGACAGAGTGAGAGTCTGCCAGAAAAAAAGAAGAAGAAGAAGAAGAAGAAAAATAAAAAGGATATATCTTATTTTACCCTCTTGCTTACATAAAAGGTAGAAGATTATGTTACTATTCTGTACCTTCCTTTTGTTTCTTAAAATAGATCATTTAGCTCTTCATATCAGTACAAAAAAGCTTCCTAATTCTTTCTCTTCATCCCACTCAGTGGCCAAGGCATCTTAATTTTTTTTGCTTTGTTTTACAGCTGTATTGTGTTCCATTATATGAATACAGCACAGTTTATTTAACCATTTCCTTATTGATGGGCACTTTGGTTGTTTCCAGTCTTTTTCTATTACAATGATGCAATGATGAATTACCCTGTACATACATCGTTTTGTCAGTGTGCAGGGGAATATATAAAATCTCCAGAAGTGAAAATGCCAGGGGCATTAACAACAATGATATACTATTTCTTAATTGTGATGTAGACAAGAATTTTATATTGATTATATCAAATGCAGGCAAATGTGCAGAAAGTTGATATCCCATGTTTAATTGCTGGAAATTTAAATTGATACAATCTTTTAAAAAAATAATTTAGTGATATCGAAATTTTTAAATGTGCATAGCTTTTATGTAAGAATGCTACTTGCATAGTATATATCAGAAGAATGTATATGCTCACATGATAGAGATCTGTAATAGTAAAAATTTAAGAACAAACTGCCCATCAATCATGAAATGGCTAAATGATCTATGGGTTGTACATGTACACAAAGAGACATGTACAATACTTTTCATTGCATCACTGTTTGTAATGACAAATAGTAAAAGGCAACCTAAATAACCATCATGAAGGAATGAATAGATAAAATGTGATCTAGTCATTTGATTGATTACTACACAGAAATTAAAAGGAATAAACTAGACATAGTTATCAACATAGATGAATCTCAAACATAATTTGCATGATAAAATCAAGTTGTAGATACATATGGTATGACACCATTTTTGTAAAATGTTTAAGCTCACAAAATAATGCTGTATGTTATGTAAGAAAAATGTGGCAGGTGGGTTGAAAAAATACAAATTAAACATATGGGAGAAAAGTGGGGGTAATGGAACAAAAACCCAAACTGGCTATAACTGAGGAGTATGAATAATTAAATCATTTCAATCCATTCATACCACTGAGGTCTAACACAACTAGAAAAACAAAAACAAACAAATGGACAAAACTGTATTGTAACCATATCAAGTACTTAGGAAAGAGTTAAAAGATGTGGAAAGAACGCCAAGACATATTGTTAAGTGAAAAAGCAAGTCAAAGAACCATATGTACAATGTGTAACATTTTTGTAAAACAAAACCACAAAATAAAACTATATATTTACACACATGCATACAACCAAATGCATAGAAAAAGTTTTAGAAAAGATAACGACGTAACAAATACAAATAGTGACATAGAAAAATTTCTTACATTGTTTATAAACATTTATAAATAGTGTGGAATAAAAATAAAGGCAGATAGAAATTCCAGGAAAGGCTGGTGCGGTGGCTCACGCCTGTAATCCCAGCACTTTGGGAAGCCTAGGAGGGCGGATCACGAGGTCAGGAGTTCGAGACCAGCCTGACCAACATGATGAAACCCCTTCTCTACTAAAAATACAAAAATTTGCTGGGCGTGGTGGTGCGTGCCTGTAATCCCAGCTACTTGGGAGGCTGAGGCAGGAGAATCGCTTGAACCCAGGAGTCAGAGGTTGCAGTGAGCTGAGATCACGCCACTGCACTCCAGCCTGGGTGACAGAGAGAGACTCTGTCTCAAAAACAAACAAACAAACAAACAAACAAAAAGAAATCCCAGGAAAACAGAAAGAAATAAGAAATGAAATGTGACCGTTATGATCATTGCTTCTGCAATAAACAGTATTTACATAGTGTTATGAAGTGAATGTTTGTGACTACCCCAACCACCTGCCAAGTTCACCTGTTGAAGTCCTAAATCCCAATGTAATGGCCTTAGGAGGTGGAGTCTTTGGGAGGTAATTAGGTTTGGGTGAGGTCATGAGAGTGGAGCACCCGTGATGGCTTATAAGAAGAGAAAGAGACACCAGAGCTTGCTTTCTTTGCCATGTGAGGATACAGCAAGAAGACAGCCATCTGTAAGCCAGGAAGATGACTCTCAGTGAGAACCAAATCTGCTGCCACCTCAGTCTTGGACTTCTCAAATTCCCGTTGTTTAAACCACCTCATCTATAGTATTTTGTTATAGGAGGCTGAGGTGACCAAGACACATAGTCACAATAATATCTGTACATTAATTTTTAGTTGTTTATAACCAACCTACAGACAAAGCTTAGAAAATGTAGTTAATAGACAAAGCTTAGAAAATGTAGTTATATTATAAAAATTATCAACCTTGACAATGCAAAAGACAAAAGGTGCAAAGTGAGGTGTAGAATTGCTGAGTGGACTGGTTGGGGAGCTATTATCTTCATTTTATAAAAAGCATTAAAAGATAGTTGATGGAACAAAAAATAAAGGTATTAGGATGCCATTTGTAGTATAAAGGCAACCAACAGAGAAGCTAAAAGGCGCAGTACAGGAAGTATTGAAAAATGAGCTGAAAACATCTATCATATGACAGATTAAATAGATAATGTCTAAAACTGTAAGGAAATGTATTGGCTCTTATCACTAAATTTCCAGAGGTAGGGCAGGTTTAAGATTGATCCAATCCAGTGTCTTCAGCTCTGTTTCACTAAACTTCTCTTGGCCCTGGATTTATTTATGGGTTGGCCTCATTCTCAGGTTGACATCAAGATGGCTTAAATTCTAGGTTTTTCTATATTTCCAAATCCTGGAAAAACTGATTTCCAGTCCAGAAGGAAAATAAAATTTCCTCTTTCCCTCTCCCACTGAAGACCCTTCTTATATTTTTATATCCTGACTGAAAATTAACCTATTGTCAGGATCATTGGTGGCAGGAACATCTATTCTTTATAGGAAGGAAAGACCTGGACTACTTTTATGTGGGCAGGCCATCACAATGGGCTTAGGAAGTAGCTATAAGTTCCTCTGGGAGTGGCCCACCCTGCCCATTGCTCCCAACCTCCAGTAAGTGTTATTGTTATTAAAGTTACAGCTCAGTTTCAATGCTGCTGGGAGAAAACAGGAAAGAACTGGGGGCCTAGGCAGGGGGCAAAGAGTTAGAAGGAAAAGTGTCTTAAACCTGAGCGGAGGTGGTTAGCAATAGCCATCAGCAGAAGAGAGTCATGTCTAGGAGAATGGTGAGCAATGAGGAGTTTCTCAAACACTTTCCCTGAACGTGGAGCAGAGTATTATGTGGTCATTTATAGGAAGTATTGTGCTAGGGGCTTGAGCCATAATTATTTGGGTATAATTATTTGGGTACAAAAAAGAAGAATGACCTTATTTTACATATGGGTTTTATATAGATTGGATCTCAACCCAATAGCTCATCAATCTTTTGCTCCTTTTGGGAATATTTTCTTAGGAAATATGTTCCTTTATTATGTAAAAAAGTCACTTCCCTCTATACATGAATTTCCAGGAGAGAATCCATGACCTGATGAGTGAAGAGAAGACATCCTATCTAAGACATACACACCTTCTTTTTCACTTAGCATTGATCGCATTTTTAAAAACTCTCTCATTTGTATGTCCTGTATGTCAGTGGGCCTATTTGTGTTCAATAAAAAAATTATAGCAAGTTAAGGCCAGGCACATTGGCTCAAGCCTATAATCCTAGCATTTTGGGAGGCCGAGGCTGGTGAATCCTTTGAGTCCAGAAGTTTGAGAACAGCCTGAACAAGATGGCGAGACCTCGTCTCTGCATAAAATACAAAAACTAGTTGGGCATGGTGGCACATGTCTATAGTCTCAGCTACTGGGGTGGCTGAGGTGGGAGGATTACTTGAGCCAGGAAGATTGAGGCTACAGTGATCTATGATTGCACCACTGCACTGTCCATAAAAGATGCCGTCTGTTGGTGATGCCCTTCCAGGAGAACTATCTCTTTTTTTTTTGAGATGGAGTGTTGCTCTTGTCGCCCAGACTGGAGTGCAATGGTGTGATCTCGGCTCACTGCAATCTCTGCCTCCCAGGTTTAAGAGATTCTCCTGCCCCAGCCTCCCATGTAGCTGGGATTATAGGTGCCCGCCACCACACTGGGCTAATTTTTTGTATTTTTAGTAGAGATGGGGTTTCACCATGTTGGTCAGGCTTGTCTCAAACTCCTGACCTCAGGTGATCCACCCGCCTCAGCCTCCCAAAGTGCTGGGATTACAGCCATGAGCCACCACACCCAGCCAGAGAACTATCTTAATAGGGTAGCTGTGGGGCTAGAGATATTTTGACTAAATATGCAAGAGAACTTTAAAATGTTGGACAAGACTATCTGGGAAAGCAATGGATTTCCCGATTCCTAGAAACCTTTATGAATGGAATGGACTGAAACTTGTCCTTAATAGTTTAGCTGTTCATCTGTCTGAAAAAAAGAGCACACAATCAGGTACCCTTTCTTGGTCCTTTTCTAGTTCTGGGTTATTGCACTTTTATTTTTAAATTTTATTTATTTATTTTTTTGAGACGGAGTTTCCCTCTTGTCACCCAGGCTGGAGTGCAGTGGCGCGATCTTGGCTCACCGCAACCTCCGCCTCCCAGGTTCAAGCAATTCTCCTGCCTCAGTCTCCTGAGTAGCTGGGATTTCAGGCGCCCACCACCACGCCCGGCTAATTTTTTGTATTTTTGGTAGAGATGGGGTTTTGTCATGTTGGGCAGACTGATCTGGAACTCCTGGCCTCAGGTGATCTGACTGCCTGGGCCTCCCAAAATGCTGGGATTACAGGTGTGAGCCACTGCACCTGGCCTGCACTTTTCAAATTTAAGAGCGCAGGTACATTTTGAGCTTCCCAGGGTAGCTTAAAATGGGTACATAAGTATGTGATATTGAGCATGGAGATGATAAATGGAGAGCAAAAATTAAATTTAAACTTGTTTTTCCTTACGATGACAAAGTTTATGATTTGCTGCATATTCTACACAGCTTTGGAATAGAAGTGTTCCTCCATTTATTCTTATAGAATTGTTATATTCAGAAGAAAGGCAAAGGAAATAATATGCTTTTTAAAATAAGGTTTCATTCAAGGCTGGCAGCCGTCAATGTTCCAGGAAATAATAATAGGGCAATAGTCATTTATTCTGTCTGCAAAGTGCTTTTCCATGGGAGGACCTTGAAGAATATGTACAAATGATGATTTCATCAATCCCAGCCACATATATGTGGGAGAAACAGCACACATGTGTGACAATGTTACAGTCAAAGGGCTGCTAGGCAAAGTTAAGTGATTTGCCAAAGGTCAATTTACAGATCCCCGGGAACAGTCTGAGGAATATTTTCCTTCTCAATATTCTTATATAATATGTTAATCACTGACAATGGTTTAATACATTTCTTTTTCAAGAGTATGGGAACAATGTCTTAAGTCTCTGGAATAATCTTTTTCTTTAAAATATAATTTATTTTACTTTCTCAGATTATGAAAGTAGTACATGTTCATTGTGGAAAATTTGGAAATCATAAAACAATGAGAAGGTGGGAAAAAGTCACTATAACTCCACACTCTCAAAAAACAGTATCAAGGCTGGGTGCAGTGACTCATACCTGTAATCTCAGCACTTTGGGAGGCCGAGGTGGGTGGATCACTTGAGGTCAGGAGTTCGAGACTGGCTAGCCTGGCCAATATGGTGAAACCCCGTCTCTACTAAAAATGCAAAAATTAGCTGGGTGTGGTGGCGTGTGCCTGTAATCCCAGCTACTCAGGAGGCTGAGGCAGGAAAATTGCTTGAACCTGGGAGGCGGAGGTTGCAGTGAGCCAAGACTGTGCTACTGCACTCCAGCCTGGGTGCAGTAGACTGAGTGAGACTCCATCTTTAAAAAAAAAAAAAAAACACAGTATCAATACAGGGGTTCTTAATTTGGGGTCCATAGTCTCACGGTGGTCACGAGGTTCCATGAAGCCCTGAAAATTGGTGCAAATCTGTGTAGATATGTGCATTTTTCTAAGGAAAGAATCTATAGCTGTACCAATTAAGGTACAACCAAGAGGTTGTAAAACACAGAGACCAATGCTGGTTAACTTAGACCAAAAATGTCTTTTGAAAAGCCATCAAAAGTGTTAGGGAGGCTGAAAAACCAGGCTAGAAAAAGCAGCAGATGATTGGTGGACCGGCAGTCCTAGGGAGAGTCTGGTGGGGAGGACGCCCCTGCCATCACAGGACACTTAGTGCTGCCATCACTGAACTCTCAACCCGACGCTGCCACCATGGACAATCTCTAATTGTCCTTTCCCGAAGATTTAGATCCCTGAGCAGGAGGGTCTGACTGGCGGGGCATTGGTCTGGGACTGCTCCTAGCTGTCTGGAGTTGGAGAGGTACACATAGGATTCCTCACCTCCTTTGCTATAGAAGACAGGATCCAGCTCCCACCAACATTCACCTAGTGAAGGATTCCCCTAAAATAGGAAGAGGGGTTGGATGCTAGACAACCAAAAGGAAGCAAAAAGCAAAAGTCACTTCGAGTGTTCTCATTAGATTCTCAAAGGGACCTGTAGCCAAAGAGCTAAAGTTAAGAACTACTGATAAAATTGATGCTATGTTTCATGGTAACTATAGTTAATAATAATGGATGTATCCTTAAAAATTGCTAAGAGAGTAGATTTTCAATGTTCTCACCACAAAAAAGCATGTGAGGTGAGAGATATGTTAATTAGCTGGATTTAATACTTTCAAAATGCTCACATATATCAAAATATCACAGTGCACACTGTAAATACATATGATTTTTATTTGTCAGTTATACCTTAATAAAGCTGGGAAAAAATTATGCAATATTTGCTTTTAGACTTTTAGTATACATTTTGATATGTGTAATATGCACATTAAAATAAATATATATTTAAAAATAAAAATATTGTACTGAATAGAATATTTCATATTAAATAATAAAATAAAAATATGGCCGGTGTGGTGGCTTACGCCTGTAATCCCAGCACTTTGGGAGGCTGAGGCGGGCAGATCATGAGGTCAAGAGGTCGAGACCATCCTGGGCAACATGGTGAAACCCTGTCTCTACTAAAAATACAAAAATTAGCTAGACGTGGTGGTATGTGTCTGTGATCTCAGCTACTCAGAGGCTGAGGCAAGAGAATTGCTTGAACCCAGGAAGCGGAGGTTGCAGTGAGCCGAGATCGTCCCACGGCACTCAAACATGGCAACAGAGTGAGACTCAGTCTCAAAAAAAAAAAATTATATATATATATATATACACACATATATATATACATATATATATACACATATATATACACATATATATATACACATATATATACACATATATATATACACATATATATACACATATATATATACACATATATATACACATATACATATATATACATATATACACATATATATACATATATACACATATATATACATATATATATACATATATATGTAAAATGTAGGTTTGTATCATTTTTTTCACATAATGTTATAACATAACTATTTTGCTATATTAGAGCTCTTTTGGCTGGGTGCGGTGGCTCACTCCTGTAATCCCAGCACTTTGGGAGGCCGAGGCGGGTGGATCACCTGAGGTCAGGAGTTCGAGACCAGCCTGGACTACATGGCTAAACCCTGTCTTTACTAAAAATACAAAAAATTAGCTGGGTGTGGTGGTGGGTGCCTGTAATCCCAGCTACTGGGGAGGCTGAGGCAGGAGAATCGCTTGAACCCAGGAGGCAGAATCGTACCACTATACTCCAACCTGGGCAACAAGAGTCAGACCCCATCTCAAAAAAAAAAAAAAAAAAAAAGAACTCTTTCATAAATATAATTTAAAATAAACACATAAAGATTCCATTTTGTCAGTGTGCCATAGGGAACATAGGGAATGAATTGTTCTAAAAGTCTGCAATCCTTTATCTGAAACTTTTAGGACCCAGTGTGTTTTGAAACTCAGAATTTTGGGGCCTTGTGTGGTGACTCATGCCTGTAATCCAACACTTTGAGAGGCCTAGGTGGGAGGATTGTTTGAGCCTAGGAATCAGAGACCAGTCCTGGCAACATAGCGAGACCCCATCTTTACAAAAAATCAAACAATTAGCCTGGCATGGTGGCACATGCCTACAGTCCCAGCTACTCAAAAGGTTGAGGTGGGAGGATTGCCTGAGCCGGGGAGGTTGAGGCTACAGTAAGCCATGATTGTGCCACTGCACTCCAGCCTCAGTGACAGAGTGAGAACCTGACACACACACACACACACACACACACACACACACACAGAATGTTTGGATATTAGATAAATAATATTGTAATTTTACCATATATTACTCAATGCCCTCTTTGGGGTGTAGGGCAATACCTTGTAATCCAACTTGATTATTCTGTAAAGAAAACATGTAGATATTCACGCTAAATGGAATAAATACCTGAACTGAACTGAGTAGTCTTATATCAGGTCAGTTTGTGCTGCCAATTGTGTTTGTACCAAACTTAAGAAAAAAATCTTTTGGTGTTCAGAGTGTTTTGGATTTCTGGATTTAGGGATGAGTGATTGTGGACATGTAATAGAATTTGATGCTTGATAAGGAAGAGTGGGAGAAACAGATGGGCTGGATTGTCTGTTAGCAACCATTCTGGGGACCGAACATCAGCTTTTCCAGGGGTTGGAAATGTGGGAAGACCTAGAATGCTAGCTAACCTAACACCAACCTGAGGATGAAGACAGTGCACAAATAAGTTCAGGCCAACTGAAGTGCAGGGAAACAGAGCTAGAGATACTGGATCAGTCTTAAACTTGACTACCTCTGGAATTGTAGTGATGACAACCAAAATATTTCATTATAATTTAAACTAAATTGAGTTAGAGTTATTTTTATTGGGGAAAAAAAGGCATCCTGATAGCTGAGCTGGAAGCTTGGGAAAGATATTTCTCCAAATCCCTTGCCAGTAGATCCCAGGAAAGATTCTGCCAATGAGAAACATTTACAGAAGATCTGGAAGGCACAGCATCAGAAACCATAATTTTTCCTCCAGCTGTGAGGAGCAGATATGTGACATTTGACAGACAGGACATTCAGCAGCAGCCTCTGAAAATTACCCCTGTGGGTGCTGTAGGCATCAGTGGTGATTCCCTTCAGTTCCTCATCTAGATGACAGGAGAAACTTTTACATTCTTTGAAGTCAACCATGGCATGATTATGAGAGCTCGTGGCACTTTTTCTAGATTTCCAAAAGTTGAAAAATGTGAACTTTTGAAATTGGAATATCAGATCAATGGACATAAT